>NC_000014.9:63551106-63854137 GCF_000001405.40 Homo sapiens
AAAACAAAAATTAGCTGGGCATGGTGGCACACACCTGTAAACCTGGCTACTCTGGAGGCTGAGGCAGGAGAATTGCTTGAACCTGGGAGGTGGAAGTTGCAATGAGCCGAGATCACGCCACTGCACTCCAGCTTGGGCGACAGAGTGAGACTCCATCTGAAAAAACAAACACACAAAAAATAAAAGAGGCTCAAAGTATTTTTGCTCTGGGCTTATCTATTTCTCATCCTCATTTTAACCTCTAAAACTGCACCAGGACTGAGATTCCAGTTTCTAATCCTAGCCCTGCGTTTAATAGTGGTCTGGCCTTGGTGTTTTGAATACGTGCCTCCCAACCGTCCCCTTCTTTTCCTTTGAGGCCCACACCCTCCCTCACTTTATGTGATTCTGATGGGACTGTTACTCATGGTGCTTCCCTCTTCCCTCCCTCCTCCCCCAGAGAGATGGGTACATGACTCAACTGGGTCTTCCCCAAGATTTGCTTTTTGAATGCTGGAGGAGGGATGCCTCTCTTCCTCTTGGATCAGAAACCATGAAATGATATAAATTAGAGCTGCTTATAACTGTCTCCCTTTTCCTTCCTTCATCCTAGAGGAAGCCAATCCTTTAGAAGAGACTTTGGCAAATTCCAAGTTCCATCAGCCTTGTTGGAACTGCTGGATTCAGCTTTACCTAAGCTAGTTTCAGTTATATGAGCCAGTAAATTCCCTTTTTTGTTTAAGCCACTGTGGAGTTTGATTTCTACAATGGACACCCAAAAGAATCCTGACAGGCAATTCACTTAACCTCTTCAAGCTTCAGTTTACTTTTTAGACCCTGAAACTGAGGTTTTCTAAATGTTGAGAACTAAGTGAAACGTTTATGAATCTTAAGCATGAAAGGAAATAATTTAAAGTGACCCTGCCAGGAGTTCTTTCCTAATGTAATTGATCAAGTGTAATTTATTTCTGGGTTTTTTTGTTGTTGTTTGTTTGTTTGTTTTTGAGACGGAGCCTCGTTCTGTCACCCAGGCTGGAGTGCGGTGGCGTGATCTCAGCTCACTGCAACCTCCACCTCCTGGGTTCAAGCAATTCTCCTGCCTCAGCCTCCTGAGTAGCTGGGATTATAGGCATGCGTCACCAAGCCTGGCTAATTTTTGTATTTTTTAGTAGAGAGAGGTTTCACCATATTGGTCAGGCTGATTTTGAACTCCTGAACTCATGACCCACCCACCTCGGCTTCCCAAAGTGCTGGGATTACAGGTATGAGCCACCACACCCGGCTGATTTCTGTTTTTCTTAAAAGTTTAGACTCAAAGAAGATATTCTTAAGAATTATGCATTTTTGGCCGGACGTGGTGGCTGATACTCATAATCCCAGCACTTTGGGAGGCTGAGGCAGGCAGATGGCTTGAGGTCAGGAGTTCAAGACCAGCTTGTCCAACATGATGAAACTCCCTCTCTATTAAAAATACAAAAAAATTAGCCTGGCATGGTAGTGCACACCTGAAATCCCAGCAACTCGGGAGGCTGAAGTGGAAAGGTCACTTGAACCCAGGAGGCAGAAGTTGCAGTGAGCCGAGATGGCGCCACTGCACTCCAGCCTGGGTAACAGAACAAGACTGCATCTGAAAAAAACAAACAAACAAACAAAAAAAAAAAACCTACGCATTTTCTAAGTGACAGGGAGCTCAGGAAAAAAAAATTAAAAAGGAATTATGCATATAGAGTTAAGTCCTTCTAGAACACAAGGAAAGAATAGTGTAATGACCTACTAAACATGAAAATAAGCCTTATTTAGCAAACTGTATGCTGCTTTTCAATAGTTTATTTTTACTGAGTCTCTTAATACACCAAGGCCATATTTTAGAAAATGCAACCTATGGTTGAGTGTTACATCTAGGCTTCTTATCGATCATAGAGAGAGAACATTGTTTTTGAGCTATCAATAAAATTGGGTAAAATCTATGAACATAGTACGAATCAGACCTAACACATTCTAAGGGGCAAGACAACCAAAAGAGGGTGAAAACTGAAATCTGAGCACACTGTTATTGAAACAAAATAAACCAATAAGGACAATGCATAGTATGGTACTTGTAAAAATCTCATATGGTATTGGTAAAAATAACTGCAAGCATGTGCATAGCAATTTAGTGCATTTTCATATGCAGTATTTAATTTGAGCCTTAACTCTGTAGATACATATTATTTTCATTTCAAAAATAAGAAAACTGAGGATCAAGGAGGTTGCCCAATGTCAGACAGCTAGTAATGAGTGGAACCACAATTTGAATCCTGTTTGTCCAAGAGCCAGGTCTTTTCACGCTATATACCAAGTTATCACTGTGTTTAAGTCATTTGCTACTAATATATCCAAGTAATTGAATATATGGCTACTATTTTCTTCATCTTACAAAGGAAAGACTAATAAGATACAGAGGTTAACTGTGACCTTTTATGAGATCATAAAGTAAAGAAAGTAGAAACAATGGTCCAAGTCTTCCATCACCATAACTCCCATTCATTGAACACTATGAGCTAGGAACTGTGGCAGACACTTTACTTGTATTATCTTGGTTTTTGTTTCGTTTGTTTTGTTTGGTGTGGGGTTTTTTTGTTTTTTTGTTTTTTTGAGATAGAGTCTTACTCTGTCACCCAGGCTTGAGTGCAGTGGCACGATCTCGGCCCACTGCAACCTCCATCTCCCGGGTTCAAGCGATTCTCCTGCCTCAGCCTCCTGAGTAGCTGGGATTACAGGCGCCCACCACCACGCCCAGCTAATTTTTGTATTTTTAGTAGAGACAGGGTTTCGCCATGTTGGCTAGGCTGATCTCGAACTCCTGACCTCAGGTGATCTGTCTGCCTCGGCCTCCCAAAGTACTGGGATTACAGGCGTGAGCCACCGAGCCTGGCCATAGTATCTTGTTTAATCCTCAAAATAACCTATTGATGTAGGCACTATTATTCCACTTTTTTAGATGCAGAAACTAAGATACAGAAAGCTTAAGTTTCTTTATTTTATTTTTATTTTATTTTATTTATTTATTTTATTTATTTATTTTTGAGAAGGAGTCTCGCTCTGTCCCCCAGGCTGGAGTGCAGTGGCGCAATCTCAGCTCACTGCAAGCTCCACCTCCCGGGTTCACGCCATTCTCCTGCCTCAGTCAGCCTCCCAAGTAGCTGGGACTACAGGTGCCCGCCACCACGCCCAGCTAATTTTTTTGTATTTTTAGTAGAGACGGGGTTTCACCATGTTAGCCAGGATGGTCTAGATCTCCTGACCTCGTGATCCACCCACCTCAGCCTCCCAAAGTGCTGAGATTACAGGCGTGAGCCACCACACCCGGCCTTTATTATTATTTTTAGAGACAGAGTCTCTGTCACCCAGGCTGGAGTGCAGTGATTCAATCATAGCTCACTGTAACCTCAAACTCCTGGGCTCAAGCAATCCCCCACTTAGCCTCCCAAGTAGTTGGAACTACAGGCAGGTGCCACCACATCTGACTAGAAAGCTTAAGTTTCTTTTCCAAGGTTATACATCTAGTAAGTGGCAGAGCTTGGATAGGAATTCTGACTAGAAGAAAGGTGCTGAAATTCTAAACTTAGTTTACTACCTTTTCCCCATAGAAATCCTCTATACCAGCAGTCCACAACCTTTCTGGCACCAGGGACTGGTTTTGTGGGAGACAATTTTTCCACTGACTGGGGTGTGGGGACTTGAGTGGGTGGTTTCGGGATGAAACTGTTCCACCTCAGATCATCAGGCATTAGATTCTCCTCGTAAGGAGCACGCAACCCAGATCCCTTGCTTGCACAGTTCACGGTAGAGTTTGCGCTCCTATGAGAATCTAATGCCACAGCTGATCTGACAGGAGGCCGAGCTCAGGCAGTAATACTGCCTTGCCTGCCACTCACCTCCTGCTGTCCAGCCCAGTTCCTAACAGGCCATGGACTGATACCGGTCCGTGGCCCAGGGTTGGGGACCCGTGTTCGACACATTCTGGTCTATATATAGTGCTGTGTAGAGTATCTAGAAAACATAATGCCTTTCCAGCTCATTTCCTTTGATATTTAAGTCTTTTTAAAAAAACATAAAGAAACCCTATTCTGTCTTTGGAGAGAAGCACACTTTGCAGGTAGAGGTAAATTTCAGTGTGAATCCAAATCAAGCTTCTTTTTTTGTATCTTAAGTTTTATCTTTTTAACATGGCCTAGCATTAGAACAACTTTCTTCTTAATGAACAGAAAATGTTGTAGGAAACTTCGGTTTAAAGAGCTTTGAAAACAAGGATAGAGGCAGTAGTCATCTCCAGTACTTGAAAATGTTCCGTTTGATGGCATTTCTAAGTCAAGGAAGCATATATTCTGATTTGGAAGGTCGATGACCCAGTTAACAAGCCAATTGGCAAATGGAACAGGGTATTTATGAAAAAGTATTTTTGAAAAAAAAAAAAGTATTGAAAGAGACTAATTCAAAGTATATAATCACAGCTGTCTTGACCCCTAAAATGAAACAAGTTATAATTAGCTAAAAGTCACTGCCTTCATTGGCAAACTGTCGCAAACGCTCAACTTCAAGAGAATTCATCATCTCATGATGATCAGTACATTTCCATAAGCCTTTCATACACGTCATATAGAAGTTTCCTAACCAAACTTTCATTATTGTATTTAATCATTCCCTCATACATAACATTCCATACGTTTAAGTACCTACTTGGCACTCTGGGGCAACTCAAATATGAAAAAGACATAAATAGTATCACTTGGTTGGGCGCGGTGGCTCATACCTGTAATCCCAGCACTTTGGGAGGCAGAGGTAGGTGGATCACGAGGTCAGGAGTTCAAGACCAGCCTAGCCAAGATGGTGAAACCCCATCTCTACTAAAAATACAAAAAAAAATTAGCCGGGCATGGTGGTAGGCACCTGTAATCCCAGCTACTCAGGAGGCTGAGGCAAAGAATTGCTTGAACCCAGGAGGTGGAGGTTGCAGTGAGCTGAGATGGTGACACTGCACTCTAGTCTGGGCAACAGAGCGAGACTCCATCTCAAAAAAAAAAAAAAATACTATCACTCTACTCTACTACAAGATGTTATGAACAAGGACTAATTACTATGAAAGCCCAGAGTTTGTTGCAATATCTTATGATCAGGAGGAAAAAATGGAAAAAATAAAAAGAGAAACAGAGGCGGTGATACTGGTTATACTCAGAATTCTCCTTCAGGCCTGGCCTGGCACACTTGGCCTCCTTTTGTTTGTTTAAAGTATTGTTTACTATGAGAGGCCGGGCACGGTGGCTCGTGCCTGTAATTCCAGCACTTTGGGAGGCTGAGGCGGGTGGATCCCTTGAGATTAGGAGTTTGAGACCAGTCTGGCCAACATGGTGAAACCCTGTCTCTACTAAAAATACAAAAAATCAGCCAGTGTGGTGGCACACACCTGTAATCCTGTAATCCCAGCTACTAGGGAGGCTGAGGCAGAAAAATTGTTTGAACCTGGGAGGTGGAGGTTGCACTGAGCCAAGATTGTGCCGCTGCACTCCAGCCTGGGCAACAGAGAGAGACTCAATCTTAGAAAATAAAACAACAACAAAAAAGTATTGTTTACTGTGGGCCAGGAACTGTCTAAAGTGGTTCACATAGAATATTTATTTTCGCCGGGCACAGAGGCTCACACCTGTAATCCCAGCACTTTGGGAGGCCGAGGTAGGTGGATCACCTGAGGTTAGGAGTTCAAGACCAGCCTGGCCAACGTGGTGAAACACTGTCTCTTCTAAAAATACAAAAATTAGCTGAGTGTGGTGGTGGGCGCCTGTAATCCCAGCTACTCGGGAGACTGAGGCAGGAGAATCACTTGAACCCGGGAGGCAGAGGTTGCAGTGAGCCGAGATTGTGCCATTGCAATCCAGCCTGGGCGACAAGAGCAAAACTCCATCTCAAAAAAAAAAAAAGAATATTTATTTTCATTTTACCAAGTGCTCCACCAGTATTAAGTTCTTCCTTCTGCTCCTCTCTTCTCCATGGTAGACCTTCAGAGTTGGAAATTAAATGTTTCCCTCACTCCCTCTGTTCTGCAATATTGAGGCACTGAGCAGGATCTGGGGCTCTCTCTCTTGAGTTGGAGCAGCAGGAGCTTTACCAGGGACTTACTGGAGTTGGCACGCGCAAAGGAGGATAATTGCTATTAGGATTTTGGGCAGGGATGCACTTAGCCTCAGCAAGCAGGGACTAGCCGTAGGATGGAAAAGCACTCAGGCCTTTCTGTCTCTGTCCTTGCTGTGATTGTGCTTCGGTCATTCTCCTCTCACTTTTTCTGAGGGGCAGGCTAGGTTGGGCAAAATGGCAGGTCAAGCTCTCATTTTTGCATTGTCTCCATTTAATAGAGCAGCCAGAACATAGGCGAGGATCCGTTAGTGTTAATTCAAAGTTCCTGGGAAAGCGACCCTAGCCCAGGTTAGCTCAGGTACCCTCACCTGGTCCAATCAAATGTGGTCAGGATATGAGACTCACTGCACAAAATGAGTGTTGGAGGCTTTCTGCTGTTTCCATGTGCATTGGAGGAGAAAAAGAGGAGAAGGAGCTTGACATTTTGGGCTGGATGATTCTTCACTTGGAGGTAGTGGGGAGAAGAGTAGGAGCAGTAGCCCTGAGATGTAGCCAATGGGTGTCTACTTATGACATCTTTATTTCCTCAAATTTGTGAAAGTAGAATTCATGATTTAAGGATATGAATTTTTTTTTTTTTGAGATGGAGTCTCACTCTGTCGCCAGGTTGGAGGGCAGTGGTGCGATCTCAGCTCACTGCAACCTCCACCTCCTGAGTTCAAGCAATTCTCCTGCCTCAGCCTCCAGAGTAGCTGGAATTACAGGCGCGTGCAACCACGCTTAGCTGATTTTTGTATTTTTAGTAGAGACAGCGTTTCACCATGTTGGCCAGGATGGTCTCGATCCCTTGACCTCATGATCCGCTCGCCTCTGCCTCCCAAAGTGCTGGGATTACAGGCGTAAGCCACTGCGCCCAGCCCCAGGATATGAATATTTTAAAGCTCTTTTTGTATTGTGGTTGTTTTTTGAGATGGAGTCTCATTCTTGCCCAGCCTGGAGTTCAGTGATGAGATCTCAACTCACTGCAACCTCCGCCTACCGAGTTCAAACGATTCTCGGACCTCAGCCTCCCAAGCAGCTGGGATTACAGGCACAGGCCACCACGCTGGGCTTTTTTTTTTTTTTTTTTTTTTTTTTTTTTTTTTTTTTTGCTTTTTTTTAGTAGAAATGGGGTTTTACCATGTTGGCCAGGCTGGTTTTGAATGCCTGACCTCAAGTGATCCTCCCATTTCAGCCTCCTAAAGTGCTGGGATTACAGGGATGAGCCACCATGCCTGGCCATATTTTTAAGTTCTTGCTAAAGTTCTGCCACATCACCATTACTTTCTCCTCTCATCTTGTTAATTACAGAGATAGAATAGTTAAAATATTTTCCATGTATTTAGTAGTCATTGGTATTTCTTTTTCTGCAAATTGACTATTGGTGGGTTTTGCTTATTTTTTCCATTACAGTTTTAGTGCTTTTGTGATTTATCTATATGAATTTGTTATATGTTGATTTGACACAAGAGTATACCATATCTCCCTTGAGATTTCTTTCATTACTAAGCATAAATTCTTAGAACGTCTTTCCCTTAAAAATTCCTCCCCCCTGGCCAGGCACTGTGGCTCATGCCTATAATTCCAGCACTTTGGGAGGCCAAGGCAGGTGGATCACTTGAGGTTGGAAGTTTGAGACCATCCTGGCCAACATGGTGAAACCTCATCTCTACTAAAAATATCAAACTTAGCCAGGTGGCTATGCACCTGTAATTCCAGCTACTTGGGAGGCTGAGTTGGGAGGATCGCTTGAACCCAGGAGCTGGAGGTTGCAGTGAGCTGAGAGCATGCCACTGCCCTCAAGCCTGGATGACAGAGCAAGACTCTACCTCAAAAAAAAAAAAAAAAAAAAATTCCTGCCCCAGAACTCTTTCTTACAAAAATACTGCTAATGTTCACCTGGGATATTCACTGCAGAATTTCAGTGACAAAATATAGAAACAGCTGGGCGTGGTGGCTCATGCCTGTAATCCCAGCACTTTGGGAGGACAAGGCGAGTGGATCACCTGAGGTCAGGAGTTCGAGACCAGCCTGGCCAATATGGTGAAACCCCGTCTCTACTAAAAAGGCAAAAATTAGCTGGGCGTGGTGGTGGGCACCTGTAATCCCAGCTACCTGGGAAGCTAAGGCAGGAGAATCGCTTGAACCTGGGAGGCGGAGGTTGCAGTGAGCCGAGATCGAGCCATTGCACTCCAGCCTGGGCAACAAGAGCAAAACTCTGTCTCAAAATAATAATAATAATAATTGAAAAAAAAAAAACTGTCCCCATGATCTCATTAGCTCCTCCCAGGCCCCACCTCCAGCACTGGGGATTACGTTTCAACATGAGATTTGGGTAGGGACACAGATCCAAACCATATCACTACCCAAGTGTATAATTTAATCTTTATCACCTACCTCAGTGCATGCCCAAAGATATTCACTACTAACAGTTCCATGTATATCCTTCCAATACTTTTCTAGATATGTACAGGTGTGTGTTTGTGTATGTGTATGGGTGTATATAACATAGTTTTCCCTAGTATACATAGGATACTACTTTACTTATAGTGCTGTGGCTTTTATTTTTCATGTGACATCAGAGACACTTTTCCATATGATATACATCTCCCTTATATCTTTTCTCTCTCTCTCTCTTTTTTTTTTTTTTTTTTTTTTTTTGGCATTCTGGGGTGGGCCCGAAACATCTCCCTTACATCTAATGTCTGCCTAGTATTTTATAGTATGGATGAACCTCCGCCTCCCAGGTTCAAGCATTTCTCCTGTCTCAGCCTCCGGAGTAGCTGGGATTACAGGTGCCCACCACCACGCCTGGCTAATCTTTTGTATTTTTAGTAGACATGGGGTTTCACCATGTTGGCCAGGCTGGTCTCGAACTCCTGACCTAAGGTGATCCACCTGCCTCAGCCTCCCAAAGTACTGGGATTACAGGCGTGAGCCACCATGCTTAGCCTATTTTATTTTTTTTGAGACAGGGTCTCACTATGTTGCCAAGGCTGGTCTCAAACTCCTGAACTCAAGCGATCCTCCTGCCTCAGCCTCCCAAAGTGCTGGGATTATGGGTGTGAGCCACCGCGCCTGGCCAGATCACAGGGGCAGCTTCTAATGGTTTAACACCATCCCCCTAGTGCTGTTGTCATGACAGAGTTCTCATGAAATCTGGTCGTTTAAAAGTGTGTGGCACCTCCCACCTCTCTCTCCCTCCTGCTCTGGCCATGTAAGACGTGCCTGCTTCCCCTTCACCTTCAGACATGATTGTAAGTTTCCTGAGGCTTCCCCAGCCATGCTTCCTGTACAACCTGCAGAACCGTGAGCCAGTTGAACCTGTTTTCTTTATAAATTACCCAGTCTCACTGGGCGTGGTGGCTCACGCCTGTAATCCCAACACTTTGGGAGGCCGAGGTGGGTGGATCACGAGGTCAGGAGTTTGAGACCAGCCTGACCAATTTACTGAAACCCTGTCTCTACTAAAAATACAAAACTTAGCCAGGCATGGTGGCACATGCCTGTAGTCCCAGCTACTCGGGAGGCTGAGGCAGGAGAATCGCTTGAACCCGGGAGGCAGAGGTTGCGGTGAGCCAAGATCAGGCCACTGCACTCCAGCCTGGGAAAAAGAGTGAGATTCCATCTCAAAAATAAATAAATAAATAGATAGATAAATAAATTACCCAGTCTCAGGTATTTCTTTATAGCAATGCAAGAATGGATTAATACAGATATCACTTTAGTTTTATGAGGAATATGTATTACTTTTACCTTTTTTTTTTTTTTTGAGACAGTCTCACTCTGTTGCCCAGGCTGGAGTGCGGTGGTGCGATCTCGGCTCACTACAAGCTCCGCTTCCTGGGTTCACGCCATTCTCCTGCCTCAGCCTCCTGCATAGCTGGGACTACAGGTGCCCACCACCACGCCCGGCTAATTTTTTTTTTTTTTTTGTATTTGTAGTAGAGACGGGGTTTCACTGTGTTAGCCAGGATGGTCTCGATCTCCTGACCTCGTGATCTGCCCACCTCGGCCTCCCAAAGTGCTGGGATTACAGGCATGAGCCACCACTCCCGGCTTACTTTTACATTTGAAGAAAAGGAAGGTAAGTGGAACTTTCCTGGAGAGACAGCCAGTAAGAACAGATGCTGGTAAAAGGAGCAGCAGCCATGCTAAGTATTCCACTTTTTTTTTTTTTTTTTTTTTTTTTTGAGACAAGGTCTCACTCTGTCTCCCAGGCTGGAGTGCAGTGGTGCGATCATGACTCACTGCAGCCTTGATCTCCTGGGCTCAAGCAATCCTCCCACCTCAGCCTCCCAAGAAACTGAAGCTGAAACTACAGGTGTGTGCCACCATGCCCAGCTAATTTTAAAATTTTGTGCAGCCACAGGGTCTTCCTATGTTGCCCAGGCTGGTCTCAAACTCCTGAGCTCAAGCGATCCTCCCACCTCAGCCTCGCAAAGTGTTGGGATTACTAGTATGAGCCACTGCATGCAACAGGCATTCTACTTTTACATCTCAATAAACTAAGCTGAACAAACAGAAATCTGAAGTGTTTTATCCATTAGTGGAGAAAAGTAGGCTAAATATTAATAATGCAGTATCAAAAACATAACTTACTTGTTTTTTGGTTTTGGTTTTTGTGTTTTGGAGATGGGCACGATCTTATCTCACTGCAGCCTCGACTTTCTGGGCTCAAGTTATCTTCCCACCTTAGCCTCCCAAGTAGCTGGGATTACAGTCATAAGCCACTGCACAAATATCAACTCATTTGTTAAGATTGTTTTGCCTTTCAGAGAAAAATGAGCACGTAAGACAATATAAGTCATATTCCTTTACTAGGAAGGCTTAGTTGAATTAATCAATCCTCATTCTTTCAAGTAAAAGTACAGTCAGCAATGAGTATATGTTCAAGCTCGTATACAATCCCTAATCATTCAAGATGCTCTAAAACTTAGTTTGATCTTAAATTTCTTTCTTTCTTTTTTTTTTTTTTTTTTTTTGAGACAGAGTTTCATTCTTGTTACCCAGGCTGGAGTGCAATGACATAATCTCAGCTCACCACAACCTCCGCCTCCTGGGTTCAAGCAATTCTCCTGCCTCAGCCTCCCAAGTAGCTGGGATTACAGGCATGCACCACCACCACACCTGGCTAATTTTGTATTTTTAGTAGAGACGGGATTTCTCCATGTTGGTCAGGCTGGTCTCGAACTCCTGACCTCAGGTGATCCGCCCACCTCAGCCTCCCAAAGTGCTGAGATTACAGGCATGAGCCACCACACCCAGCCTGATCTTAAATTTCAAAATACATATTTCCTAATCTGTTGACCACAAAGTTGTGTGGTTTTAATACTGACACTTTACATGATAAAGAAGTGAATGGGCAGAGAAATGCACAAAACCCAGGCAGCACCAATACGCAGGAGACATAATGTATGAGTCATCTCAAAGCTAGATGATTGAGAGTTGGTTTATGGATCAGAGAGATTGATTTACCAGTGGTTCAGTAATTGAATAGTAAATTGATTCAATGTGACATTGCTGATTGCAGTGGCAGAAGATTACATACAATTTGCCAAATGAACAACAAAAATCATCTGACACATTTTTCAGTTTCTCTTTTTTATTTTTCTGTATTAATTACTATAACTAATTTTAAAGAAATCGAGCCCTTTATTTAGCAGAGGTGGAAGGGAATGAGAGGTCAGTATTAACTAGGCACCTATCCTGTGCAGTCATGCTAGGCTCTTACTGAGTTCTTCCAATAACCCCAGGAAGTAGGTGTAATATTATTTACAAATGAAAAAACTCAGATTTAGAAGGGTAAAGTTAACTTTCTAAGACATACGAGAGGAGTTGAAATTAGATGTGAATCTAGAATCGCTCCCCTTTCTTTTACTATCCCACAACCAGATCAATTTCCCTACTGATGCAAATTTAGACAGCATGTTGGGTTTCAATTAATAAATGGAATGTATTCTAAAACTTGAAAAGCTTGTCAAATAGTAAACCTGAGATGCAGGGCTTTCCAGTGCACAATGTACAGTAAGAGTAACAATACACTAGTGATATTAGAAAGATGAAACAGGTTGCATGTTATTCTCTAGAACTGCCATGAGCCTAAAGCCATCCAAAGCATATAGAAACCACCAGGTATATCTTCCTTAGGTTCTGGAGTGACATCAGAGGGAATGACAGAGTGAAGACTTTTGAAAATATACTCTTTCATTAGAACACTGAAAACACTGACAAAAATTGTCAAAATCAATTTCTTTGGAACACTGTACAATAACAAACGTTTTGCAGCAAGTCCAGGAGCATTTATTCGAGAAAAATGGCTGAATCTTGGTAAGAACAGTGAACTTTGTGACAATTTATCTTGTCCTATTCTCATCCCCATCTTTTTAGGTCCACAGTAATCTTGAAAACCAACTACTCTGTATCATGGCGAACGAACAGCCTAGTAGCCACTGTAGAAAACCAAATGGGTTTAGAGCTCCCCAAAGCACCATTCACAGAGAATTCTCATTATTTGACCTGTCTGGCAGTTCCCTGGAAACCTCCACTCACAGGACTTGTCTTTATCTGATCTGACTCAGAACTCAGTGCAAAAAGTCTTTTCCCTCAGGGCATTGGTCAAAAACAATCAGTAACAATTATTTAACATTACAGTTGCTATGGTAATGATAACAACTAGAGCAAACCAGAAGCTGAACAAAAAACCCGAAAAGAGAATCTGGGGGCTGGGTGCGGTGGCTCACGCCTGTAATCTCAGCACTTTGGGAGGCTGAGGCAGGTGGATCACCTGAGGTCAGGAGTTCAAAGCAAGCTTGGCCAACATGGTGAAACTCCATCTCTACTAAAAATACAAAAATTAGCCAGGCATGGTGGCACATGCCTGTAATCCCAGCTACTCGGGAGGCTGAGGCAGGAGAATCACTTGAACCCAGGAGGTGGAGGTTGCAGTGAGCCGAGAGTGCACCACTGCACTCCAGCCTGGGCAAAAGAGCGAGACTCCAAAAGCTGAGGTATAAGATATCCACAGGGGGCTTTGGAAAACTCTTTAACACATTCCTTGGAATCTACAAGTCCTTGAGCATGTGCAAAGTTGTGCACTTGCCCAGAAAATGCCTGAAAGTCCCTATATTCTCATTTCTGTCAGACCCTGAGGCCCTTCACAAGCAGAAAGTAAAGGCTAAGGCAGAGTTGTGAAAATCCTGCCTGAGCATTGAAGGCAGGCCCCCCCACACAGTCTCTCAGGAAAGGCTGCGAGACTTATTGGTTCCTGGAATTTGAGGAACTCTGTGTCCAGTAATCAGCTGACTACTAAGCTAACTGAACAGATTTCAGTGCCACACCCTTGAAAAGGAATACTGACTTGGCTGGGTGCAGTGGTTCATGCCTGTAGTCTCAGGTCTTTGGGAGGCCAGGCATTTGAGACCAGGCTGGAAAACACAGTGGGACCTATCTCTACAACAATTTAAAAAGAAAAAGGAAAGAGACTCAGCTGGGAGCAGTGGCTCACGCCTGTAATCCTAGCACTTTGGGAGACCGAGGCAGGTGGATCACCTTAGGTCAGGAGTTTGAGATCAGCCTGGCCAACACGGTGAAACCCTGTCTCCACTAAAAACACAAAAATTGGCTGGGCGTGGTGGCGGGTGCCTGTAATCCCAGCTACTTGGGAGGCTGAAGCAGGAGAATCTCTTGAACCTGGGAGGCGGAGGGTTGCAGTTTGCCAAGATCACGCCATTGTACTCCAGCCTGAGCAACGAAGCCAGACTCCATCTCCAAAAAAAAAAAAAAGGAAACAGACAAAAAGGCATAAGAATGATATAATGGACTTTGGGGACTCAGGGGTAAGGGTGAGAGGGGAATGAGGGATAAAAGACTGCACACTGGGTATAGTGTACACTGCTCGGGCGATGAGTCCACCAAAATCTCAGAAATCACCACTAAAGAACTTATCCATGTTATAGTCTTGCCAATGCACCACAATGTAGCAGTCTCTCCTTGCCTGAGGTAGTACCCAGAGTCCTTTGTCTCACAACCAAGAAAGTTAAGGAGCACGGACACCAAGGATGAGGTTAGAACAAAAGTTTAATAAGGGAAAGAAGAAAGCTGTCTTCTGCGGAGAGGGGACCTGAAGAGGGTTGCCATTTTTTACAGCTGAATGCAAAGGCTTTTATAAGAAACCAGTGAGGGCTGGGCATCTCATTTGTATAAGGCGTGAATTTCTGGTAGCTTACCCCATCCTCCTAGTGCGCATGTGAGCCCTTAGCTTGAGTTACTCCATATTGCTTTGTTCCCCTTACTAAGCAAGTGTCAGAGGATGGAATTTTCCATTGCGAGTATGTCTGGGCAAGTCACCTGGGTAACCTTTCTTATCTGTGAGACTGTGGGCATGTATTAGGCAAGCCCCCTTGTGCAAGTTCCCTTACCTGTGCCTGCAGGCTGTTCTTTTGTTTGAAAGGATTCAACCGAGGACCCACCCTAACTGCCTGCCTGACTGGGTTTTTTTCTTTCTCCTCTCTCATAACCAAACACCATCTGTTCCCCAAAAACCTATAGAAATAAAAATAAATAATAATTTAAAGAAGAAAATAAAAGAAAAAAACTAGCTGGATGTGGTGGTGCATGCCTATAGTCCTAACCACTCAGGAGGCTGAGGCAGGAGGATTGTTTGAACCCAGGAATTGAAGGCTGCAATGAGCTAGGATTGATTGCATCACCGTGCTTCAGCCTGGAAGACCAAGAAAGACCTTGTCTTTAAAAAAAAAAAAAATACAAACTTTACAAAATGGGTTCAGGAAGTCACTAAACAAACAAAGAAACAGCAGCAGTAAAACTCCTGGGGAAAGAAGGGAATCCAATTTCAATTATTGCCATGTTATATTATTTTGAATCCCCAGTTTCCAACAAAAAATTACACAACATGCAAAGAACAAGAAAGTGTGTCCCAGGCACTGGGAGAAAACAGTCAATAGAAACTCCCTGAGGAAGCCTAGACTTTGTACTTACTAAACTTTAAGTAAGATATTTAAAATATCTTTACGGCAAGCATGGTGGCTCATGCCTGTAATCCCAGTACTTTGGGAGGCCGAGGTGGGCAGATCACCTGAGGTCAGGAGTTCGAGATCAGCCTGGCCAATATGGTGAAACCCAGTCTCTATTAAAAATACAAACATTAGCCAGCGTGGTGGTGGGCGCCTGTAGTTCCAGCTACTCAGGAAGCTGAGGCAGGAGAATTGCTTGAACCCGGGAGGCGGAGGTTGCAGTGAGCCGAGATCACGCCATTGCACTTCAGCCTGGGCAACAGAGCGAGACTCCGTCTCAATCAATCAATCAATAAATAATAAATTACCTAGGTGTGGTGATGCATGCCTGTACTCCCAGCTACTCAGAAGGCTGAGGTGGGAGGATCACTTGAGCTCAGAAGTACAAGGCTGCAGTGAGCCATGTTCATACCACTGCATTTCAGCCTGGGTGACAGGACAGGAGCCTGTCTCACAAAAAAAAAGAAAAAAAAAAAAAGAAGAGTTAAAGAAAAGCATGAGAAAGATATCTCAGCAAATCTCAATGAAAACATGAAGAAATAGAAATACTTATTTCTCTACATATAACCAAATAGAAATTTTGGAGTTGAAAGTATAACTGAAATGAAAAACTCTCTAGAGGTGCTCAACAGTAACCTCTAGTTTGCTATACCCGTTCGTTACAAAAGCTTGAGGCCAGGTGCGGTGGCTCATGCCTGTAATCCCAGCTCTTTGGAGGCCAAGGTGGGCAGATCACTTGAGGAGTTGGAGACCAGCCTGGCCAACATGGTGAAACCCGTCTCTACTAAAAATACAAAAATTAGCCAGGCATGGTAGCACGCGCCTGTAATTCCAGCTACTTGAGAGGCTGAGACATGAGAATGTCTTGAACCTGGGAGGTGGAGAGGTGGAGATTTTGGTGAGCCGAGATGGTGCCACTACACCCAGCCTGGGTGATTATGACTCTGTCTCAACAACAACGATAAAAAAAGCTTGGGAGTGTGTTTGGGAAGAGACTGCTATATTATCATTGACATCATTAGTTATCTCTGCCTTTTCCTTTCTGGAATGTTTGAGCAGAAAAGACCTGGATAGACCCGGCATGGTGGCTCATGCCTGTAATCCCAGCACTTTGGGAGGCTGAGGCGGGTGGATTACCTGAGGTTGGGAGTTCGAGACCAGCCTGACCAACATGGAGAAATCCCGTCTCTACTAAAAATACAAAATTAGCCGGGTGTGGTGGCGCATACCTGTAATCCCAGCTACTCGGGAGCCTGAGGCAGGAGAATTGCTTGAACCCAGGAGGCGGAGGCTGTGGTGAGGCGAGATTGCGCCATTGCACTCCAGCACTCCAGCCTGGACAATAAGAGTGAAACTCTGTCTCAAAAAAACAAAAGTCCCTGATAACTCAGTTTGTCTTGACCTCTCATTTAATAGGTAAGAGAACCAGATAGCTTATGAGATCTTGCTAAACTCCTCACCTTAGCTCCCAATGTAATTTATGATGTCTTGATGTAATGCCTTGAGACCTACAAATTAACATAACCAAGAATTTAAAGTAGATATGTTGCAGGGATGGAGGAGTGACTATAAATCTCATCTATTCCCATTTGAGCTAGCTCCATTCTCCTCCAGTGTTTCAAGAAATACCTTCAGGGAACCGCTGCTTTCTTTCTCCCACAATCTGTAGTTCTCTTGCTTTCCAACTTGGGCCCGGCAGGATCGCTCTTGCAAAGAAGGATGGCAAGAAGAAGAGCCTTTCTGCCATCAGCATTCACAAGCGCATCCATGGTGTGGGCTTCAAGAAGTGTGCCCCTCGGGCACTCGAAGAGATCCAAAAATGTGCCATGAAGGAGATGGGCACTCCAGATGTGCACATTGATACTAGGCTCAACAAAGCTGTTTGGGCCAAAGGAATAAGGATTGTCCCATACCGTATCCCTGTGTGGTTGTCCAGAAAACGTAACGAGGATGAAAATTCAACAAACAAGCTCTATACTTTGGTTACCCATGTACGTGTTACCGTTTTCAAAAATCTACAGTCAATGTGGATGAGAACTAACCACTGATTGTCGAATACATCAAATGAACTTATAAAACAAACAAACAGAAATGCTTTCTATTTCTCAACCTATGCTTTTTTTTTTTTTTTCTTTTTTGACAGTGTCTCACTCTGTGGCTCAGGCTGGAGTGCAGCAGTGGCACAATCTCGGTTCACTGAAACCCTGCCTCCCAGGTTCAAGTGATCCTCCCACCTCAGCCCCCAACTAGCTGGGACTAAAGGCGCATGCCACCACACCTGGCTAATTTTTTTTTTTTTTTTTTGTATTTTTAGTAAAGACAGGGTTTTACCATGTTGCCCAGGCTGGTCTTGAACTCCTGAGGTCAAGCAATCTGCCCACCTCAGCTTCCCAAAGTGCTGGGATTACAGGTGTGAGCCACTTTGCCTGGCCTAAAAATGCTTCATTTTTTTTGTTTGTTTGAGACGGAGTCTCACTGTGTTGCCCAGGCTGGAGTACAGTGGTGCAATCTCAGCTCACTGCAACCTCCACCTCCCGGGTTTAAGAGATTCTCCTGCTTCAGCCTCCTGAGTAGCTGGGCTCACAGGCGCCTGCCACCACACCCGGCTAATTTTTTGTATTTTTAGTAGAGACAGGGTTTCACCATGTTGACCAGGCTGGTCTCAAACTCCTGACCTCAGGTGATCCACCCGCCTCAGCCTCCCAAAGTGCTGGGATTACAGGCATGAGCCACTGCACCCGGCCGTAAAAACACTTTCTTTACTGAAACAGTGGCATTGCTGCTTTGATAGACTGTTATGATCACATGGATTGGATTTGGGCCACATACACAAATGCTTGTACAAGCATTTGTACTAAGCAAGTGCTTAGTACAAATTTATTTCAATGAATATTGATTAAATTAGTAGTCCTTTCCTCAGCTTCTTTCTTGCTGCCATTTCTTTGCATTTAAGGGGTAGGAAGTAGGAGGAACAGAGAGACAGTTCTTTCCCACAGGTAGGCAGTAACATGGCATCATCACTGCTATCCCGGGTCTCCTTTCCATTTCAGAAAATCCAAAAACTCATTTTACAGAATTGATCAAATTATTGAGTCCTTGAGCAATTTGAATAGCACACAAGCCATATCTTAATTTTTGTTTTGTTTTGTTTGTTTGTATTTTTGAGACCGAGTTCCATTCTGGTAGCCCAGGCTGGAGTGCAATGGTGTGATCTCAGCTCACTGCAACCTCTGCCTCTGGGTTCAAGCAATTCTCCTGCCTCAGCCTCCCAAGTAGCTGAGATTACAGGCAACTGCCACCATGCCCAGCTAATTTTTGTATTTTTTTTTTTTTTTTTTTTAGAGACAGGGTTTCACCATGTTGGCCAGGCTGGTCTTAAACTCCTGACCTCAGGTGATCCACCCACTTTGGCCTCCCAAAGTGTTGGGATTACAGGTGTGGGCCACCACACTGGGTCCATACCTTTGTATTCTGATCACTTGATTATCTTTCTAGCTCTACTACCTTTCATTCTTCCTACTTTACACTTTATGCAAAAGCTAAGAAAAACTACTTGAAATTTCCTGAATGCACCTGAAAATAATGCAACCACTCTTTGCATTGATTTTATATAAAAAATGAAGATGGCCGGGTGTGGTGGCTCATGCCTGTAATCCCAACACTTTGGGAGGCTGAGGCAAGCGGATCATTTAAGGTAAGGAGTTCAAGACCAGCCTGGTCAACATGGTGAAACCCCATCTCTACTAAAAATACAAAAATTACCCAGGCATGGTGGCAGGTGCCTGTAATCCCAGCTACCTGGGAGGCTGAGGCAGGAGAATCTCTTGAACCTGGGAGGCGAAGATTGCAGTGAGCCAAGATTTCGCCACTGCACTCCAGCCTGGGCAATAGAGGTATACTCAGTCTCCAAAAAAAAAAAAAAAAAAAAAGGCCAGGCACGGTGGCTCATGCCTATAATCCCAACACATTGGGAGGCTGAGGTGGGCAGATCACTTGAGGTCGTAGTTCGAGACCGGCCTGGACAACATGGTGAAACCCTGTCTCTACTAAAAATACAAAAATTACCCGGGCATGGTAGCACGCGCCTGTAGTCCCAGCTACTCAGGAAGCTGAGGCAGGAGAATCGCTTGAACATGGGAGGCTAAGGTTGCAGTGAGCCAAGATCGTGCCACTGCACTCCAGCCTGGGCAACAGAGTGAGACTCCATCTCAAAAAAAAAAAAAAATGGAGATAAGAATATGTGACAAAAATAGCTAATTGTCTCCCATTATCTGTTCTTCCCTTTCACAGGTATAGAATGCCAAATTTTTCGGTGGAGACGTGATACCCAGAATAAATACTATATTTCCCAGAGAATTTTGCTGCTAATTGTGGTTAGGAGACTGTGTTGGGCTAATGGGATGGATGTGGACTAAGAAACTGCATAATATGATAGTTGTAAAGTTCCTTTGGATTTCTTCTGTGCTATCTGGAGTGTGGATGTGATGGCTGGAGCACTAGCCAATGTCCTGGACCATAAAGGATGAAGGCCACACCTTGCTTTTGGAATAGTTGGATAAAGAAGTCTAGGATCCTGAGGTCTTTGTAGAGACAGAAATAAATTGCTTGGTTGTTTAAACCACTGTTATTTTATTTTATTTATAATTTTTTTAAGACAGAGTCTGGCTTTGTTGCCCAGGCTGGAGTTCAGTGGCACGATCTCACCTCACTGCAGCCCAACTTCCGCCTCCTGGGTTCAAGTGATTCTCCTGCCTCAGCCTCCCAGGTAGCTGGGACTTCAGTAGGTGTGCACTATCATGCCTGGCTAATTTTTGTATTGTTAGAAGAGACAGGGTTTCACTATGTTGGCCAGGCTGGTCTCAAACTCCTGACCTCGAGTAATCCGCTTGACTTGGCCTCCCGAGTCCTGGGATTACAGGTGTGAGCCACTGTGCCCAGCCTCACTGTTATTTTAGGTCTCTGCTCCAAGCAGTGGAAACTGCTTGCTTTGTAAAAGCTGTTCCCTCTGCCTGACAGTTTGCTTGAAGTATTGGTCTAGGTTGCCTAGAGAAACAGAACTAATAGGATGGATGGATGGGAAAATAGATAGGTAGACAGACAGACAGATAGATGAGAGGGGATTTATTAGGAGAATTGGCTCATGCAGTTATGGAAGCTGAGGCCTCACGACATGCTGTCGAAAGGCGGAGGACCAGGGAAGCAGGTAGGGTGGCTCAGTCCAAGTCCAGAGACTTGAGAACCAGGGGAGTCAATGGTGTAACTCTCAGTCCAAGGCCAAAGACCTGAGAACATAGGGGTCTGCTGGTGCAAGTTCTACAGTCCAAAGACTGGACAACATGGGGTTCTGATGTGCAAGGCAAGAAAAGATGGGTGTTTCCGTTGAAGGGGAAGAGGGGGAGTTCTTTCCTCTGCCTTTTTGTTCGATCTGGGTCCTCAGTTGATTGGATGGCGCCTGCACACATTGGGTGAGGGCAGATCTTCCTTACTCCGTCCACTCATTCAAATGCCAATCTCTTCCAGAAACATCCTTGGAGACATACCCAGAAATAATGCTTTACCCGCTATGTGGGTATCCCCTTAATCCAGTCAAGCTGACACCTAAATTAGCCGTCACACTCAACAAACTTCTATTTATCTTTCAAGACTGAGATCAATCCATTTCCTCCTCTGTGGAACTTCTGATCTCCACCTGGGGATTTAATTCTTCTTTGGCTTCATACCAGTTCTTAATCTTTTGCATAGTTTTATAGCAAGCTGCACATTTCCGTTTATAAATTTGTCTCCCTACTAAAACAGTCTCTCACTTAAAAAATAATTGGAATTTTTGTTTTCTTTGAGACAGAGTTTCACTTCTGTTGCCCAGGCTGGAGTGCAATGGCACGATCTCGGCTCAACCTCCACCTCCCAAGTAGTTCAAGTGATTCTCCTGCCTCAGCCTCCCAAGTAGCTGGGATTACAGGCGCCCACCACCACGCCCAGCTAATTTTTTGTATTTTTAGTAGAGATGGGAGTTCACCATGTTGGCCAGGCTGGTCTTGAACTCCTGACTCCTGACTTCAGGTGATCCACCCGCCTCAGCCTTCCAAAGTGCTGGGATTACAGGCGTGAGCCACCGTGCCCGGCCTGAGATCTCTTTGAATAAACATAAAAAATCTCATGGCTCATGCAGATTCTGAAACTGCCCACCAAATCTATTGCAATATTGAATATGCCAATCCTGCAAGCCACCACTACCTATCCAAAGATTCTGATTTACTTTTTTTTCTTTTTTTGAGACATGGTCTTGTTCTGTTGCCCAGGCTGGAGTGCAGTGGCATGATCTGATCTCGCTGCAACCTCTGTCTCCCAGGTTCAAGCGATTCTCCTGCCTCAGCCTGACATGCAGCTCGGACTACAGGCATGCACCACCACACCCTGCTAATTTTTTTTTGTTTTAGTAGAGACAGGATTTCGACATGTTGCCCAGGCTGGTCTGGAATTCCTGGGCTCAAGCGATCCACCCACCTTGGCCTCCCAAAGCGCTGGGATTACAGGTGTGAGCCACTAGGCCCGGCATTGATGTATATTCTTTGAGGCGGAATTTCGCTCTTCTCACCCAGGCTGGAGTGCAGTGGTGCGATCTTGGCTCACTGCAACTTCCACCTCCTGGGTTCAAGGGATTCTCCTGCCTCAGCCTCCTGAGTAGCTGGAATTACAGGTGCCTGCCACCATGCCCAGCTAATTTTTTATATTTTTAGTAGAGACGGGGTTTCGCCATGTTGGGCAAGCTGGTCTCAAACTCCTGACCTCAGGTGATCCACCTGCCTTGGCCTCCCAAAGTGCTGGGATTACAGGAGTGAGTCACCACACCCAGCACTGATGTACTTTTTAGGATAAGAATAACCTTCCTCTCCTCTCCTGGTCCACTCAATTGATCCATTGAATAAATACCTATTTGGTTGGGCACTGAGGTAGATGCTGGGGAGAAGAGGTTTGGGTTCTGCCCTCAAAGAGCCTGCAATGTGCTAGGTGAGACAGATCCTCAAATAATAATATGACATACGGAGAAGAGAAGTAGGAGAGATGAGGAAATAATTCATTCTGTTCTCAGGCACAGGTTATGATGATGCCTGGACTACATTCTGAAAGAATAATACTTTACCCAATGGACTGGGGAAAGGGGAGAAAAGGGTAACAGAAGATATAATGGGCAGAAGGAATAACATGTGTGAAGGCGCAGAGGCATAAAATACGTGATTAATTTTAGTCATGAGCATTGCACTCAGGTCTTACGAAGTTTCCCTGCAAACACATTCACAGAACATTTCTTAGGGTGAGTTACCTCTACAGATGGTGCATCTCGTCGATTATGTCTTGATTTATCACTGTTTTAATTCTGAGGACAATGTTTCCCTGAGCCTGTTCCCTAGACTCCATACCACTTGGTAATGACTGAAGCTGTTAATTATACTGTTCCTGGAAAAAATTTTCCCTAGTGCCAGTTCAAGGCCCCACCATTGACTCATCCTGCAGTTATGTACATTCAGGAGCTCTTCCTTCTAAAGGCTTATTCTTTTTGCTGATATTCGGAACACTTGTAAGACTGTATTGTAAAAACTTCCTGGTTAGTTTTTAGCTACTTGTTTTTAGTTAACAGCAGGTTTGTCAGTTTCCTGTCGTCTGTCTTTATTTTTTGTATGTGAATATATGTTCCTTTTTTTTACATTGCATCATATATATGTATATGTATATATATATATATATATATATATATATATATATATATATATATATGTATATGTATATGTATGTATGTATTTTTTTTTTTTGAGATGGAGTTTCACTCCTGTTGCCCAGGCTGGAGTGGCACAATCTCAGCTCACCACAAACTCTGCCTCCCAGTTTCGAGCGATTCTCCTGCCTCAGCCTCCCGAGTAGCTGGGATTATAGGCATGTGTCACCATGCCCAGCTAATTTTATATTTTTAGTAGAGACAGGGTTTCTCCATGTTGGTCAGGCTGGTCTCGAACTCCTGACCTCAGGTGATCCACCTGCCTCAGCCTCCCAAAGTGCTGGGATTACAGGCATGAGCCACCACACCCGGCCATTGCATCATATATTGTGCAGGAAATATTTAAAAGTAAAATTTTGGGGCCAGGTGCAGTGGCTCCTGCCTGTAATCCTAGGACTTTGTGAGGCTAAGGTGGGTGGATCACCTGCGGTTGGGAGTTCGAGACCAGCCTGGCCAACAAGGCAAAACCCTGTCTCTACTAAAATTAGCTGGGTGTGGTGGTGCATGCCTGTAATTCCAGCTACTTGGGAGGCTGAGGCATGAGAATCACTTGAACCCAGGAGGTGGAGGTTGCAGTGAGCAAAGATCATGCCTCTGTATTCCAGACTGGGAAACAGAGCAAGACTCCATCTCAAAAAAATAAAAAGAAAAAAGAAAAGTAAAATTTTTAGAGCAATTTCAATCTTTATATTGTGGTAAACAATTTATTTCTTTTTCAACTTATATTTTAGAATTGGGGGTACATCTGCAGGTTGTTACAAAGGTATTTTGCATGGTACTGAGGTTTGGGGTATGACTGAACCCATCATCCAGGCAGTGAGCATCATAGCCAACAGGTAGTTTTTCAGCACTTGCCCCACTCCTTCTCTCCCTTCTCTAGTAGTCCCCAGTGCCTACTGTTCCCATCTTGTGTTCATGCGGACTCAGTGTTTAGCTCCCACTTATAAGAGAACAGGCAATATTTGGTTTTCTGTTTCTTTCTTTCTTTTTTTTTTTTGAGACGGAGTTTCACTCTTGTTGGCCGGGCTGGAGTGCAGTGGCACAGTCTCGGCTCACTGCAACCTCTGCCTCCCAGGTTCAAGAGATTCTCCTGCCTCAGCCTGCCGAGTAGCTGGGACTATAGGTGTCCGCCACCATGCCTGGCTAATTTTTGTATTTTTAGTAGAGATGGGGTTTCGCAATGTTGGTCAGGCTGGCCTCAAACTCCTGACCTCAAGTGATCCATCCACTTCAGCCTCCCAAAGTGCTGGGATTACAGGCGTGAGCCATCACGCCTGGCCTCTGTTTCTGTCTTAATTGGCTTAGGATAATGGCCTTTAGTTCTATCCATGTTGCTGTAAAGGACATGATTTCATTCTTTTTCTATGGCTGCATAGTATTCCATGATGTACATGTACCACATTTTCTTTATCCAGTGCACCACTGATGGACACCTGGGTTGATTCCATGTTTTTGCTATTGTGAACAGAGCTGTCATGAACATATGAGTCCTTTTGGTAGAAAAATTTATTTTCCTCTGGGTATATAACCAGAAGTGGTATTGCTGGGTTGAATGGTAGTTCATCACTTAGTTCTTTTTTTTTTTTTTTTTAGACGGAGTCTCCCTCTGTTGCCAGGCTGGAGTGCAGTGGCATAATCTCAGCTCACTGCAACCTCCACTTCCCGGATTCAAGTGATTCTCCTGCCTCAGCCTCCCGAGTAGCTGGGACTACAGGCGTGCACCATCACACCTGGCTAATTTTTGTATTTTTAGTAGAGACGTGGTTTCACCATATTGGCCAGGCTGGCCTCTATCTCCTGATCTCGTGATCCACCCGCCTCAGCCTCCCAAAGTGCTGGGATTACAGGCATGAGCCACCGTGCCTGGCTCATAACTTAGCTCTTTCAGAAATCTTCAAACTGCTCTCCACAGTGGCTAGACTAATTTATATTCAGTGTATAAGTGTATAAGAGTCTTCAATAAATAATGTTGAATGAATGAATTTATAAAACTGTGTATACACTTATACACAGTGTATAAGTGGCTGGATAGAGCTGCAACACTCTGCCTGGTAATTCCTTTTAAAGTTGGATTGAGTTTTCTGTAAGCCTGGATGGCTATTCTGGATCTGAATGCCACCTGTAGGCACCTGGAAGTGCTATTTTCTCTCAGTTTCCATTGCTCTTTACTCACTCTTCTGCAGTTACATGTATGACATGCTGTAGATTTTTATTTCCATTTCTGACGGTTCCCTAGTGTATGTAGCCATCAACCATTACCATCATTAGCATTGACCAAAGCCAAATAATTGAATTAATAAGAAGTAAGTGTCCCATCTTGTCAATATGGATGTTTTTTTTTCTAACAGGAGCCTCATTACTTGGCCATGACTGATAAGGACCGAGTTAGAGTGCTGAACCTTGACATTAATCTGGCCATGCAAATGTATTCATTAATAGATGCTTAATTAATTGTTCCTTTTAGATTAGGATTGCTTGTTTTTTGCAGCAGTGTGGTCCTTTTGCTTCTCTTTGCTGCTGCATCTGTTGCAAAGCAAACAATCACTGCCGGGCATGGTGGCTCACACCTGTAATCCCAGCATTTTGGGAGGCCGAGGCAGGCTGATCACCTGAGGTCAGGAGTTCGAGACCAGCCTGGCCAACATGGTGAAACCCCATCTCTACCAAAAACACAAAAATTAGCCAGGCGTGGTGGTGGGTGCCTGTAATCCCAGCTACTCAGCAGGCTGAGGCAGGTGAATCACTTGAACCCGGGAGGCAGAGGTTGCAGTGAGCCGAGATTGCACTATTGTACTCCAACCTGGGTGACAAGCAAGAGTGAAACTCCATCTCAAAAACAAAAACAAAAACAAAACAAAACAAAAACAGAAAACAACAACAACAATAAAAAATCATGGCCGGGCGCGGTGGCTCACGCCTGTAATCCCAGCACTTTGTGAGGCCGAGGTGGGCGGATCACGAGGTCAGGAGTTCGAGACCAGCCTGACCAACATGCTGAAATCCCATCTCTACTAAAAATAAAATAATAATAATAATAATAAACAACAATCACTAACTCTGGGCTCTAGGTTTGATTGCCTTCTCGGCTTTGCTACCTGAGGCTATGCTATGGTTTGAATGTGTCCCCCAAAAGCATGTGTTGGAAACTGAATCCCCAATGCAACAGTGTTGGGAGTTGAGGGCTAAGAAGAGGTGTTTAGGTTATAAGGGCTTCACCTTCATGAATGGATTCATGTCAACTATAAAAAGGCTTGAGGCTGTGAGTTCAATTTCTCTCTTGCACATGTGAGTGCTCTTTTTCCTTTCAGCCTTCTGCCATGGGATAATGGGCTAGAAGGCCTTTACATAATGTTGAGCAGATGCTGACACCATGCTCCCGAACTTCCTAGCCTTCAGAGGCATGAACAAAATAATTTTGTTCCTTTTTTTTTTTTTTTTTGAGATGGAGTCTTGTTCTGTCACCCAGGCTGGAGTGCAATGGCGCAGTCCTGACTCACTGCAACCTCACTTGAACAGGGTTCAAGCAATTCTCCTGCCTTAGCCTCCTGAGTAGCTGGGACTACAGAAGCACACCACCACGCCCAGCTAATTTTTGTATTTTTAGTAGAGACGGGGTTTCACTATGTTGGCCAGGCTGGTCTCGAACTCCTGACCTCGTGATCTGCCTGCCTCAGCCGCCCAAAGTGCTGGAATTACAGGTGTGAGCCACTGTGCCCGGCAAAATTTTTTTCTTTCTTTTTTTTGAGGCAGAGTCTCTCTCTCTGTCACCTAGGCTGGAGTGCAGTGGCATGATCTCGGTTCACTGCAGTCTCTGCCTCCTGGGTTCAAACTCCTGTATCAGCCTCCCAAGTAGCTGCAACTACAGGCACACGGCACCATGGCCGGCCAAATTTTTTGTAATTTTAGTAGAGATGGGGTTTCACCATATTGGTCAGGCTAGTCTCAAACTCCTGACCTCAGGTGATCCACCTGCCTCAGCCTCCCAAAGTGCTGGGACTACAGGTGCACACCACCATGCCCGGCTAATTTTTGTATTTTTAGTAGAGACAGGGTTTCACCATGTTGGCCAGGCTGGTCTCAAACTCCTGATGTCACGATCTGCCCGCCTCAGCCTCCCAAAGTGCTAGGATTACAGGTGTGAGCCACCACGCCCGGTCTAATTTTTTTCTTTATAAATTACCCCGTTTGTTGTATTATAACAACACAAAATGAACTTAGACAGGCAGTGTTAGAGATAATCCTTGCAAACAACTTTGTGAGATAAGAACCACTAATATGTCCATTTTATATATGAGAAAACAGAGGTTTACAGAAGTAAAGTTGATTAGGATTCCAAAATTGGAGCAAGAAGCAATGTAGGGATGGGAAAGAATGAGCTCCAGGGCTCATCCTCAGGACTTTGTGTAAGAGGCAGTAATATGAATTGGTTAACAGTGCTGACTCAGATGCCAGATTGCCTGAGTTGAAGTTCTGGCTGTATTACTTACTACCTCTGTGATTTGCGGGGGCAAGTTACAACTTTTTTGGGCCTTAGTTTCCTCATATGAAAAAAATGTGGAAATGACTATCCCTTACCCTTTGTTATAAGAATTAAATGATTTAATGTGGGTGAAATATTTAATATAAAGCTCTGGATATAAGAAGTGCTCAATAAATGTTAGCCATCATCATTATCATCATCATTATTGAAACTAAGTTTGCCTGGTAGTAAGAGTCAAATAAAATGAGGTGCAGAGGTATTAGTCACTTATCACACATTTTTTTTTTTCAAGATGGAGTCTCACTAGTTGCCAGGCTGGAGGGCAGTGGCATGATCTCAGCTCACTGCAACCTCCACCTCCCAGGTTCAAGTGATTCTCCTGCCTCAGCCCCTCAAGTAGCTGGGATTACAGGCGTGCGCCACCACACCCGGCTAATTTTTGTATTTTTTAGTAGAGATGGGGTTTCACCGTGTTGGTCAGGCTGGGCTCGAACTCCTGACCTCAGGCAATCCACCCGCCTCTGCCTCCCAAAGTGCTAGGATTACAGGCATGAGCCACCATGTCGGGCCCATTATCACACAATTTTGTACTTACATAATGCTTTCCAGCATTCAGAGAACTTTCATATTCATTATCTTACGTGATTCCATCACTACAACGCTCTTGGCTAGTACAGTCAATTATACCATCTCCGTTTTATAAATTCATTCATTCAACATTATTTATTGAAGACTCTTATGCACCAGGCATTGCTATGTCCTGAACATTCAAAGATGGGAACTTATGGTCCCTGTTCTTACATTAACCAAAGCTATCTTTGGGAGTATGTGGTGTTGTTGTTATTTAAGACAGCCAGGCTGGAGTGCAGTGGTGCCATCTGGGCTCACTGCAACCTCCGCCTCCCAGATTCAAGCAATTCTCCTGCCTCAGCTTCCCAGTAGCTGAGATTACCTGCGCCTGCCACCATGCCTGCTAATTTTTGTATTTTTGGTAGAGACGGAGTTTCACCATGTTGGTCAGGCTCGTCTCGAACTCCTGACCTCAAGTGATCCACCCACCTCCACCTCCCAAAGTGCTGGGATTACAGGCATGAGCCACCCATGTCGGGAGTATGTTTCTAAGGGACGTTTTACTTTTACTTTTTACACTTCGTTTGAATTTTTTTTTTTTTTTGAGATGGATTTTGTTCCGTTGACCAGGCTGGAGTACGGTGGCCCAATCTCGGCTACTTGCAACCTCCACCTCCTGGGCCCAAGCAATCCTCTCACCTCAGCCTCCCAAGTAGCTGAGACTACAGGTGTGCACCACCACACCCAGCTAGTTTTTCTGTATTTTTTTTAAAGAGACAAGAGTTTCGCCATGCTGCCCAGACTGGTCTCAAACTCCTGAGCTCAAGCGATCTGCCTGCCTTGGCCTCCCAAAGTTCTGGGGTTACAGGTGTGAGCCACCACGCCAGTACAGAAGTGGCAGTTAAGCAGAGACAGAAAAAAATGAGTAAAAGTTTGCCAAATGAGTGAAGAGAGAATTTCAAGCAGAGTAAGCATGAATGAGCATGGTGTATCCCGAAAGAACTACCTACTGTTCAGTATTGCTTGACATGAAGTGAGGGGTAAATGATGTAAGTTAAGGCTGCTTGGGTAAGAAGGAGTCAAATAATGAAAGAATGTACTATACAGAGATGTTCAGAATTTGCCCTATAGGCATAAAATTATCCCCATGAAGAATTTTATGTTGGGGAGAAACATGGTCAGATTTGTCTCACACTGTTGGCAGTGTGTGTGATGGAAACTGATCATTCTCTAAAAGGCTAATGTGGTCCAGGCAATACTAATATCTGAATGCAGATCTTCTGAGCCCAAGTTTAGTGAGTTTTCTATTAAGCCACGTTGACTCTTCTATAAAGCAATAAATAAAAGATTCCACTATTCACTGTATTGATTTGTTAGTAAAATTTAAACTCTTGACTAAGGAAATAAGAAACTATTTCATGTAATCACTAAGCAACCCAACCTTGTCTTTTATCCCTTTGGGGGGATATGCCTGTTAAAAGGTATTTTTCTCTTGAATTTCATCTCTTCATTTGAATGGAAGTGAACTTACAATTCATTAATGCTTCAGATATGTGACAGCATCATTTCCACTGAACAATTTGCTCCAGGGCCTATATACCCTTTATAAATTATGCAATTTTTGTTCTAAGTTTAATTTCTATTGATACAGTGTAATCCCATTTTCTCCAGTTAATTTCCTAAGATTATGTATCAAGTGCAAAGATGTAAAGACAGCAGCCTTTAGCAGGAGAGCTTGATAACTACTCTTGGTGTGTTGAATCCCCTCTTTACTTCACACTCCAGTCCCCATCAGAGGGCTTCAGTGAGCCTCGTGTGCAGCAAGCTAGACAGCAGGGAATCTTCCACTTAGGGTGTGACGAGGCTTTTGCTTCCAATGCTCCTCGCCCCACCCACCCAAACCCCAGAGTCCATGCTGTGTGGCAGAAGAGAAGGGGAAGCAGGTCCTGCACTATTAGCACTCCCTTGGGGTTTTTTTTTCCTAGAACACAATCCCGTTAATCTGAAAGGACCTTATCATTAGCATTCCATGGGTTTCCCAACTCCTCAAATCTTCATGGCTGGTATGATCCTATGTGATCATCAGAGCTTTACTCTGAATTCATCCTAGGGATGGTATCATCATTCTGGCAAAATTCATGTCATCAAATGTCTCTTTGCCATCTGTGTTCCACTTCCTGCTTGCTGGAAAAAGAGGTACTTTTCTCTCACTCCTGGAGCTAAGTTCAATTTTTTACACTATTTCTAGCAACATGGTCTTCTTATTTATGCACTCACTGGTTCATGTATCCATTCTTTTTGAGTGCTTATTCTATGCCAACTACTGTGCTAGTTACTTGGGGCACAGTTTGAACAACACAGGTCCTTCCATCAGGAATCTTCTGCTCTAGTGACCCTGATACTGGGGGAGGGCGTTGATAAAAGTAAAGAACAGCTTGTTGACTGAGACTGGGAGGAAATGAAAGCGTCTACAGTTGCCAGCAGTGTAATTGATGCATCTTAAGTAAGAAGTTTAAACATATTTTAATGGTTATATATGAGCATGATTGCTATTTTCAATTTAATTAGAGGGAAGGCAATATGCCACTTCTTCACATATTGCACTACAGTCCGTGAGAATGGGGCTATTTGTTTAAAAGTTAACATGATTCTTCAAAAAACTAAAAATAGAATTACCATATGATCCAGCAATTCCACTTTTGAGTATATATCCAAAAGAACTGAAAGCAGGATCTTGACGAGATATTTGTACACTCATGTTCACTGTAGTATTACTCCCAACTGGCAAGAGGTAGAAGGAGCCCAAATGTCTGTGAACACATGAAAAGTTAAAGAGAATGTGGCATATACGTACAATGGAATATTATTCAGCCTTAGAAACAGAAGGACATCCTGCCACATGCTACAACGTGGAGGAACCTTGCAAATATTATGCTGAATGAATAAGCCAGTTATAAAAGGACAGATTCTGTAGGATTCCACTTATGTGAAATATCTAGAGTCGAAATCATGGACAGAGAAAGTAAAGTGATGGTTCCCTGGCACTGGCAGGAAGGGGAAATAAGGAGTTGTTTGATGGGTACAGAGTTTCAGTTTTGCAGGATGAAAAATTCCAGAGATCTGTTACACAACAATGTGAATACAGTTAACATTACCTGGTTCTACATTTTAAAAATGGTGAAGTGAGTTAATTTTATATTGCATGTGTTTGCCACAATTTTTTTTCTTTCTCTTTTTCTTTTTTTTTTTTTTTTGAGACAGAGTCTCACTCTGTTGCCCAGGCCTGAGTGCAGTGGCGTGATCTTGGCTCACTGCAACCTCCGACTCTTGGGTTCAAGCCATTCTCCTGCCGCAGCCTCCCAAGTAGCCAGGATTACAGGCACATGCCACCACACCCGGGGCTAATTTTTGTATTTTTAGTAGATAAATGTTTCATCATGTTGATCAGGCTGGTCTTGAACTCCTGGCCTCAAGCGATCTGCCTGCCTCAGCCTCCCAAAGTGCTGGGATTACAGGCGTGAGCCACCGTGCCCAGCCCACAATTAAAAATAAATTTTAAAAAAATACTTTAACTCCAGTACAATGGCTAGAGCCTGTTATCCCAGCTATTCAGGAAGATTACTTGAAGCCTGGAGTTCATGATCAGCCTGGGCAATATAGCAAGACCTTGTCACATACACACACAAAAATGAAAGTTAACATGCTCAGGAGACTGAGGCAGGTGGATTGCTTGAGCCCAAGAGTTCAAAGCCAGCTTGGGCAACATAACAAGACCCTGTCTCTTAAGAAAAGTCAGGCCGTGCGCAGTGGCTCATGCCTGTAATCCCAGCACTTTGGGAGGCTGAGGCAGACGGATCACCTGAGATCGGAGTTCGAGACCAGCCTGACCAACATGGAGAAACCCCATCTCTACTAAAAATAAAAAATTAGCTGGGCATGGTGGCTCATGCCTGTAATCCCAGCCACTCGGGAGGCTGAGGCAGGAGAATCACTTAAACCCGGGAGACGGAGGTTGCAGTGAGCCAAGATCTCGTCACTGCACTCCAGCCTGGGCAACAAGAGCGAAACTCCATCTCAAAAAAAAAAAGAAAGAAAGAAAGAAAGAAAAGTCAACATAGTTAATACGGAAGCAGCTGTGGGTATGGTAGAAAGGGTGGTGAAATGGAGTCAATTATAAGGTCAAGGTTGCAGACCTGGCACTGCTAATTCCTAGCTGTGTGACCTCGGGCTTACATTTAACCTCTAAGCCTCCGTGTCCTTACTGGTAAAATGAAGATCATGCCTCCTACTGCAAAGAGTTTTGCAAGGGTTAAATGCAATGATGTGTGTGCAGGATTGCCAACACTAAAGCATGATTCAAAAGGAAGGCATGGTGATAACGATGGATTTCTCTATAACTTGGCTTCCCCACTGTCATGTCTGGCCATATCTTGGCATGGTGGGGCATTGGGGCATCAGCTCCAGCTTCTTCACTTTTCCATCTGTCCTACTTTCTCAACATCAGGGCGTCAGGTTAGTTTATCAAGTTTAACTGCTGGCCGGGCATGGTGGCTCAAGCCTGTAATCCCAGCAGGCTTGGGAGGCCGAGGCAGGCGAATCACGAGGTCAGGAGTTCAAGACCAGCCTGGCCAATATTGTGAAACCCCATCTCTACTAGAAATACAAAAAATTAGCTGGGCTTAGTGGTGGGTGGCTGTAATCCCAGCTACTCTGGAGGCTGAGGCAGGAGAATCGCTTGAACCCGGGAGGCAGAGTTTGCAGTGAGCCGAGATTGAGCCACTGCATTCCAGCCCAGGTGACAGAGTGAGACTCCGTCTCAAAAAAAAAAAAAAAAAAGTTTAACTGCTAACATTTGACTTTGTTTCTCCTTTGGCCCCTCTCTCCAATATTATACTATTTAATTTAGAGGGACAGTTTCTTCTAGTGTACAGCAAATACAAATATACAAACTATTCTTGCTGTTCAATCTGCTAATTAATTTCAAATCTGAAAGAATAGATTTTGTAAGATTCAGTCACCCTACAAGTAATCATTAGTGTCAAGCATTGGCTAACAAATACAGTAATAAACAGTGGACAAGATCATTGCCCTCAAGGACCCAATCATTTTAGCAAGTGAGACAGGTATTAAACAAGTAAGCAAAAGTATAGACTGTGATCATTGCTAGGAAGGAAATAATCAGAGTGGTGTAATGGAGAATGACTTCAAAGGCAGGGGCTCCTTAGATAATAATGCAATATCAGACAGGGTGTGGTGGCTCACACACCTGTAATCCTACCATTGTGGAAGCTGAGGCTGGAGGATCACTTGAGACTAGGAGTTTGAGACCAGCCTGAACAATACAGAGAGACCCTGTCTCTACACAAAAACTAAAAATAAAAAAGAGTAGCCAGCATGATGGTATGCTCCTGTAGTCCTAGCTGCTCAGGAGGCTGAGGCAGGAGGATCACTTGAGCCTAGGAATTTAAGGCTACAGTGAACTGGGATCATGCCACTGTACTCTAGCCTGGGCGACAGATCAAGACTGTCTCAACAACAAAAAAACCAATATAAAAAATGTAGCTTATTTGCTAATATTGTTTAGCCTCTCAAAGAAAAATGAGGGTGGGAATGGTTACAATGTATCATCTTCCATGAATATATCTAAGTCTTTTAAATTCTACCTCGGGTTTGTATACTTGCTGTTTCCTCTGCCAAGAATGTGCTGCCTTCAACTTTTTAACTCCTTATCTTTCAGGTCTCAGTTCAAATATTGTCTCCTAAAAGCAAAGCTTCCCAAAAAGCTAGGAAGGTTTATACATACCATGCTTCTGCAGTCATGTGCCACATAATGACATTTCAGTGACAGATCACATATATGGAAGTCCCGTAAGATCATAATGGGTATTTTTACTGCACCTTCTGTATGCAGTGGTGCGATCTTGGCTCACTACAAACTCCGCCTCCCGAGTTCAAGTGATTCTCCTGCCTCAGCCTCCCGAGTAGCTGGGATTACAGGCGCCTGCCACCATGCCTGGCTAATTTTTGTATTTTCGGTAGAGATGGGGTTTCACCATGTTGGCCAGGCTGGTCTGAAACTCCTGACCTCAGGTGATCCACCTGCCTCGGCCTCCCAAAATGCTGGGGATTACAGGCATTAGCCACCGAGCCCGGCCCCTTCTGTATGTTTAGATACACAGATACTTACTATTGTGTTACAATTGCCTACAGTATTCAGTGCAGTAACATGCTGTGCAGGTTTGCAGCCTAGGAGCAACTGGATATACCATATAGCCTAGGTGTGCAGTAACCTATACCATCTAGGTGGTGTAAGTATACTCTATCATGTTCTTACAACAAAATTGCCTAATGATGCATTTCCCAAAATGTATTCCCATCATTAAGTGATGCATGGTTGTATTTCTTTTCTGGTTTTTGTTTGTTTGTTTTTTGAGACAGTGTCTTGCTGTGTCACCCAGGCTGGAGTACAGTGGCACCATCTCGGCTCACTGCAAGCTCTGCCTCTCGGGTTCAAGCGATTCTCCTGCCTCAGCCTCCCGAGTAGCTGGGATTACAGGCAGCTGCCACCACACCCAGCTAATTTTTGTGTTTTTAGTAAAGACGGGGTTTCACCATCTTGGCCAGGCTGGTCTTGAACTCCTGACCTCATGATCCACCTGCCTCGGCCTCCCAAAGTGCTGGGATTACAGACGTGAGCCACCATGCCCCACCTTTTCTGAATATTTTTAATTGAGCTGTCTTAGTCTTCTGCTGCATCTGATGTTAAATTCATCCATTGAGTTAACTTAGTGACAGAATGTCCGTTTGAATTTTTATAGATATGTTAATGTTACTGTTGAAATTATCCACCTTTTCATCTTTTTAAATGTTTCATATGTTAATCAGTAATTATTTTTAAATTTTTTTTCATTCAGGAAGTTCCTAAATTATTATTTTAAGCCTTTTTCTGCAAATGCTAATATCTGGATCTCCTTTTATTGTATGTTTTTCCCTCTAGATTATCAGTCTATGGTTTTGTCTTTTTTTTTTTTTTTTTTTTTGAGACGGAGTTTTGCTCTTGTTGCCCAGGCTGGAGTGCAATGGCGCGATCTCAGCTCACTGCAACCTCCGCCTCCTGGGTTCAAGCAATTCTCCTGCCTCAGCCTCCCGAGTAGCTGGGATTACATGCATGTGCCACCACGCCCAGCTAATTTTGTATTTTTAGTAGAGATGGGCTTTCTCCATGTTGGTCAGGCTGGTCTCGAACTCCCGACCTCAGGTGATCCGCCTGCTTCAGCATCCCAAAGTGCTGGGATTACAGGCGTGAGCCACCACGCCCGGCCGGTTTTGTCTTTTTGCATGCCTATTTAGTATTGAATGTCAGACATTTGTGTGTATGTGTGCACACACACGTGGCCCAGATGATATTATTTTTCCCCAAAGATGATTCCTCCTTTCATGATTTTTCTTTAATTAATTTCATATTTTTTAGAGATGAGATATTGCTATGTTGCTCAGGCTGAAGTGCAGTGGTTATTACAGGTGCAATCACATCACACTACAACCTTGAACTCCAGGCCTCAAGCGATCCTCCGATCTCAGCCTCCTGAGTAGCTGGGACTATAGGCTTGCACCACATGCCCAGCCCCTTCATGAATAATTTTAATACAATCAATTAAAGGCTTACATAAACATTGTAATTCCTAGAATATCAAATATCAGACCTACAGCACTGGAGTAGGTAGTTGTTAAGTTCTTAAGACCTTCTCTTGAATTTGTGGTAAATCTCACAGACTTCTACGAAATCATAATCTGTAGCAGCATAAAAAATAGTTCTCTAGAAGCTCAACTAGAAGCTGTCTTAAAATTCATATATGCCCAGTTATCTGCCTTTACTTGTCTTTATATAATAATGGCCTCATTTATTATTTATTTATTTATTTTTTGAGATGGAGTTTTGCTCTTGTTGCCCAGGCTGGAGTACAATGGCGCCATCTTGGCTCACCGCAACCTCCGCCTCCCGGGTTCAAGCTATTCTCCCGCCTCAGCCTCTGGAGTAGCTAGGATTACAGGCATGCGCCACCACGCCGGGCTAATTTTTTTTTTGTATTTTTGGTAGAGACGAGGTTTCTCCCATGTTGGTCAGGCTGATCCCGAACTCCCGACCTCAGGTGATCCGTCCGCCTAGGCCTCCCTAAGTGCTAGTATTACAGGCGTGAGCCACTGCACCTGGCCTATAATAGCCTCATTTCTTTTTGACCTTTCAATACTCACATGAATGCCTCTTATTAGTAGATGTGTCAGACTAAACTGGATAGGAAAGAGGTTCTGAGAAACGCAGTTCCTAGATTCTCTGCAATGCAGAGAAACCCTTAAAATGGGGGTGTTTGTGATGCCAAGTTGACAATAAACAATTCAACTTAAAAAAGGCATTTGATCCAATGTCAGATTTGGGGCTACAAACTTTTCTTCAGCATTTTCATCACAGAAAACAGTTCAAATAAAATTTAGCAGTAAAACACAAAGCAAACAAAACAACTACAACCTGACGATCTGTTAGTGTAATTCAACTAGAATACCAAATTCCAAACCAAAAAGCTGTTATTTGAATTATTATTATTATTATTATTTTGAGACGGAGCCTCGTTCCGTCGCCCAGGCTGGAGTGCAGTGGTGCGATCTCAGCTCACTGCAACCTCCGCCTCCCGGGTTCAAGCAGTTATTCTGCCTCAGCCTTCCGAGTAGCTGGGACTACAGCTGGGACTACAGGCGTGCGCCACCACGCCCAGCTAATTTTTTTTTTTTTTTTTTTGTATTTTTAGTAGAGATGGGGTTTCACCATATTGGCCAGGCTAGTCTCGAACTCCTGACTTTGTGATTTGCCTGGCTTGGCCTTCCAAAGTGCTGGGATTACAGGCGTGAACCACCGCACCTGGCCTCAATTATTTTTAGTGCAATTTTCTCTTGAAATACTTAGGAGCGGAGCTTGAGTCATGCCTGTAATCCTAGTACTTTGGAAGGCCTAGGTGGGTGGATTGCTTGAGATCAGGAGTTCGAGACTAGCCTTGCAACATGTTGAAACCGTCTCTACAAAAAATACAAAAATTATCTGGGCATGGTGATGCATGCCTGTAAATGGTGTCACTGCACTCCAGCCTGAATGACAGAGTAAAACACTGTCTTAAAAGGAGGAAGGAAGGAAGGAAAGAAGGGAGGAAGGAAGAAAGGAAGGAAGGAAAATACTTGGCTTTGGTTTTCTTTGTAATCCAGCTGGTAAGAGGCAGTTGAAAGCAAATATGTATGTAATATGTATTTATTTCTTTTTTCTTTTTTTTTTTTTTGAGACAAAGTCTCACTGTGTCGCCCAGGCTGGAGTGCAGTGGTGCGATCTCGGCTCACTGCAAGCTCTGCCTCCTGGGTTTACGCCATTCTCCTGCCTTAGCCTCCCAGGTAGCTGGGTCTACAGGCGCCCGCCACCACACCCGGCTAATTTTTTTGTATTTTTTTTAGTAGAGATGGGGTTTCACCGTGTTAGCCAGGATGGTCTCAGTCTCCTGAGCTCGTGATCCGCCCGCCTCAGCCTCCCAAAGTGCTGGGATTACAGGCATGAGCCACCGTGCCCAGACTATTTATTTCATTTCTTATTTCTCTATGTTTTCATGTGGACCAGTCTGCTAGTACAATAATAGTGAAATAACAGTGGACCAACTAACATTTACACTATTGCTTTCAATAACTTATTGGGGAAGTCACCTAATAAAGTTGGATGAATATGTTACTCCTTTAGAGCAATGGCTGAACTTCCAGATATTGTTTTTTTTTTTTTTTTTGGTTTTGTTTTGAGACAATGTCTCTCCCTGTCACCCAGGCTGGAGCGCAGTGTGTGATCACGGTGCTCTGCAGCCTCAACCTCCCAGGTCAAGTGATCCAACCACCTCGGTCTCTTGAGTAGCTGGAACCACAGATGTACACCACTACACCTGGCTAGTTTTTTTGTTTTTTGTAGAGATGGGGTCTCACTATATTTCCCAGGCTAGTCGTCTCAAACTCCTGAGCTCAAGCAATCGGTCGGCATTGGCCTTCCAAACTGCTGGAATTACATGTGTGATCCACTGCGCCCAGCCCTGAACTTCAAGTTTTTTAAAGGAAGGTAGGGTTTTCCAGTGATCAGATCTTTTTTTTTTTTTTTTTTTTTTGAGACAGAGTCTCGCTCTGTCACCTAGGCTGGAGTGCAGTGGCACAATCTTGGCTCATTGCAACCTCCACCTGCCAGGTTCAAGCAATTCTCCTGCCTCAGCCTCCCCAGTAGCTGGGACTACAAGCACACACCACCATGCCCGGCTAATTTTTTGTATTATTAGTAGAGATGGGGTTTCACCATGCTGGGCAGACTGGTCTCGAACTCCTGACCTTGAGATCCGCCCACCTCGGCCTCCCAAAGTGCTGGGATCACAGGCATGAGCCACCGCGCCCGGCCTTTTATTTATTTATTTTTCTGAGACGGAGTCTTGCTCTGTTGCCCAGGCTGGAGTCCAGTGGCACGATCTCAGCTCACTGCAACCTCCGCCTCCCTGGTTCAAGTGATTCTCCTGCATCAGCCTCCCGAGTAGCTGGGACTACAGGCACGTGCTGCCACGCCTGGCTAATTTTTGTAATTTTAGTAGAGACAGAGTTTCAGCATGTTGGTCAGGCTGGTCTCGAACTCTTGACCTCGTGATATGCCTGCCTCCACCTCCCAAAGTGCTGGGATTACAGGCGTGAGCCACTGTGCCTGGCCGTGATCAGATCTTTAAAGAGAAAACAAATTAATAGTATAAACTCATAAAAGTAGTATCAGAGAAGAAAAAAGAGGCAGATTTTAAGTAAATAAAAATAGCAACAAATACAAAAACAACAAATAATACCTAGGTGCCACTGTCCAATAGAATATGCAATCTAATAATTTCCACAGCTCAAGATCATGTTATCTTTGTTTTTGTTTTTGGGACAGGATCTGGCTCTGTCACCCAGGCTGGAGTGCAGTGGCATGATCTCAGCTGCCTGCAGCCTCTGCCTCCTGGGCTTAAGCCATCCTCCCACCTTAGCCTCCCAAGTAGCTGGGGCTACAGGTGTGCGCCACCACACCAGGTTAATTTTTGTGCATATATATATATATATATAGAGAGAGAGAGAGAGAGAGAGAGAGAGACAGAGACGAGGTTTTGCTGTTTTGCCCAGGCTGGTCTCAAACTCCTGGGGTCAAGCGATCTGCCTGCCTTCGCCTCCCAAAGTACTGGGATTACAGGCATGAGCCACTGTGCCCTGCCAAGATAACGTTATCTACATCAGAGTTACCTTTAATTCTTGCTATTTTGTAGACCTTGTTTTCAGCTTCTTTCTGAATTTTCTCACTTAGAGAGCAAGGGAGCAGTGATGCACAGATGTGTATACAGAAATACAGGCTCGCTAATTAGGCAAGGACATGAGTTGTTGGGGCCACTTGAGACCAGTTGGGGAAAGAGTTTGAGGCTCAGTGGTAATTGTGGTGGTAGTTGGACTAAAGCAGTGTTGAAAGTGAGTTCACAAGAGGTACAAGATTTTCTCCTGGTTGGGCACATTGGCTCACACCTGTAAACCAACACTTTGGGAGGCTGAAGCAGGAGGATCACTTGAGCCCAGGAGTTCGAGGCTGCAGTGAGCTAATTGTGCCACTGTACTCCAGCCTGGGCAACAGAATGAGACTCTGTCTAAAAAAAGAAAAAACAACGAGAATCATAGGCAAAGAAACAGACCCTCTTCCACTGGATGTTGTTGAATGTGGACATGATCACTGGCACTATTACAGTCATCTTATGAACTTGAAGGTAACTAGCTGACAAGCTGAAGATTTGCAGAACAAAAAAATGGAGAGCTGGGTGGGGTGGCAGTCATCTGTAGTCCCAGCTACTTGGAAAGCTGAAGTGGGAAGATCCCCCAGGCCCAGGAGTTGAAGACCAGCCTGGGCAACACAGTGAGACCCCAACTCCCCAAAAAGAAAAAAGGTAAGAATTTGGATTCTTGCTCACAACCAATCCTGGAAATGTCCTACTTCTGAACTTATGTGAGATAATTTTTTTTGTTGTTTTTTTGAGATGGAGTCTCACTCTGTTGCCCAGGCTGGAGTGCAATGGTGCGATCTTGGCTCACTGCAACCTCCACCTCCCACGTTCAAGCAATTCTCCTGCCTCAGCCTCCTGAGTAGCTGGGATTACAGGTTCCTGCCACCACACCAAACTAATTTTTGTATTTTTAGTAGAGACAGGCTTTCGCCATGTTGGGCAGGCTGGTCTCAAACTCCTGACCTCAGGTGATCCACCTGCCTTAGCCTCCCACAGTGCTGGGATTACAGGCATGAGCCACCATGCCTCGCTGGAATTTTAAAATTTTATGTAGGAACAGGGTCTCACTATATTGCCCAGGCTGGTCACGAACTCCTGAACTCCAGTGATCCTCCTATTTCAGCCTCCCAAAGTGGTGGGGTTACAGAAGTGAGCCACTTAGTCTGGCCACATTTGTATGTTTTCTGTATGCCTATTACTAGCTCCCAAACACACCAATATTCATTCAAAGTGACTTTCTTTTCAAATTTCTTCTCTTTCTCCCTCTGTCTTCCTCCCTTTTTCCTTCTTTTTTTTTTTTTTAAATTTTGAGACGGTGTCTCACTCTGTTGCCAAGGCTGGAGTGCAGTGGCACCATCTCGGCTCACTGCAACCTCTGCCTCCCAGGTATAAGCAATTCTCCTGCCTCAACCTCCCGAGTAGCTGGGATTACAGGTGTGCACCACCACGCCTGGCTAATTTTTGTATTTTTTAGTAGAGATGGGGTTTCATCATGTTGGCCAGGCTGGTCTTGAACTCCCAACCTCAAATGATCCGCCCAACTCCCTCCGTTTTATTTCTATACCCGCTCCCATTCCCTTCTCCCCCATGCCAGGTAACCATTCTATGGTGTTAATATATAAAATTGTTATGAGTTCTTGCATAAAGTGAACTGTTAGTTGTAATATTTTAATTAATATAAATGATTTTCCCCACACATGCATTCTTACTGCTTTCACTGGGTACTATTTTTTATGATTGAGCCATATGGCTAAGTGTACATCTTGTCTGTGGTTTTTAACTATTGTTACTTCATTGTCTACATCCACCACATTTTTACCTCTCTCCAGGTGTAGATATCCAGGTTGTCTCCGACCCCATGATGTCAAAAATAATTCCCAATAATGGACCTTTATGAAAATCTCTTTAGGATATTACACCAAGCAGTGCAATTGCTAGGTCAGAGAGTACATGAACACTTAGGTATGTTCTTGCTCTCCAGAATAGGTGCATCAATTTACACTTTTTTTTTTTTTTTTTGAGACAGAGTCTCGCTCTGTCGTCCAGGCTGGAGTGCAGTGGAGCGATCTCGGCTCACTGCAAGCTCCGCCTCCTGGGTTCAAGTGATTCTCCTGCCTCAGCCTCCCGAGTAGCTGGGACTACAGGCGCCTGCCACCACACCCAGCTAATTTTTGTATTTTTTAAGTAGAGACAGTGTTTCACCATATTGGCCAGGCTGGTCTCGAACTCCTGACCTTGTGATCATCCCGCCTCGGCTTCCCAAAGTGCTGGGATTACAGGCATGAGCCACTGTGCCCGGCCCTTCCATACAAATTTTAAAGTAAGCTTGAGTTCATCAAAAAATCCAACTGGAATTTTTATTGGGATTAATGTAATCTGCTTTTTCACATTAAATTTAGAATGTTCACTTTTATAATATTGTCATCTCATTGGAAGCACAGAATGTTTCTTAGGTTATTTTCTATGTCTTCATTAGAGTTTTTAAAGCTTTCTTCAAATAGACCTTGTGTAACCTTGGTTAATTCCTTGATATTTTACATTTTTATACCTATTGTGAAATGATATGCTTTGGATTTTCATTGGCTGATCTTATTTATAACTGGCGACCTTGCTGAATCTCTTAGGAGTTAGAATAGTTTGTTGATTGTTGAATTTTTTAGGTAGATATCATTTGCAAAGGAGAGGTTTTCTCTTCTCTTCCAATCCTTACATGCTGTAATCGTTTATCTTTCCTTATAGTATTAATTAGGATCCATACTACTATAAGCCTCCCCAGTGAGTCGTGGTCTCAAAAGGAAGGCATTTAATCTAACATTTCTCCACTAAATATAATGTTTACTGTAGGTTTTGGTGTTTGTTTTGAGACACAGTCTCACTCTGTCACCCAGGCTGGAGTGCAGTGGTGAGATCATGGCTCACTGTAGCCTCCCACCTGAGCCTCCCAAGTAACTGGGACTACAGGAACATGCCACCACACCTGGCTAACTTTTTGTATATCTATTTTTAATTTTTGTAGTGATGGGATTTTGCCACGTTGCCTAGGCTGGTCTCAAATTCCTGGGCTGAAGCACTCTGCCTGCCTCGGCCTTCTAAAGGGCTGGGATTACAGGTGTGAGCCAGCACACCCGGTCCCTACTGTAGGTTTTTATTATATAAACTTTCACCAAGTTTAAGTACTGTATTGCTAACTTAGCCAGGCATGGTGGTGCACACCTGTAGTCCCAGCTACTTGGGAGATGAGGCAGGAGAATCGCTTGAACCCGGGAGGCAGAGGTTGCAGTGAGCTGAGATCGCACCACTGCACTGCAGCCTGGGTGACAGAGTGAGACTCTGTCTCAAAAAAAAAAAAATTCATTCATTTTTATGGCTGAATAATATTCCACTGAATGGATATACCATGTTGTTTGTTTTGTTCTGTTTTGTTTTTTCACAGCCAATTTTCATACTGTTGTTTCACATTCTCACAGCCCTCAGCACAGGCCACGTCCCAGCCCAGCTCTGGGACTCTGGTTCAGGGCTCAGAGCCTCTGGTCTGGGCTGATCGAAAACCTCCTTTGACCTTATGGCAGTAGGTGGACCTTGGCTCTGCTTGTCCCTACTCAGAGCTCAGGGCAGTGCCCTGTACAGCCGCCCCACTTCCACGAAGGCCTCCACGTGGTAGTCAATGTCTTCCTCATTGTGCAATGCTGAGATCTGTATCCGGATCTGGGCCTTGCCCTTGGAGACCACAGGGTAGCTGAACCCAATAACAAAGATGCCTCTCTTCAGCATGTCATCCGCCATGCAAGGTCAGCTGGGCATCACCCAGCATCACAGGACGGATGGGGTGACTGGCTCCTGAGACAGTGAATCCAGCAGCTTCCATCTTACTACAGAACCACTGGGTCCTGGCAGCCATAGACTGGACGATGGTGTTGCTCTCCATGAGCAGATCTAGGGCCTTAGAGGTGCAGCCAACAACAGCAGGTGGCAGACTGTTGGAGAAGAGATAGGGCTGGGCAGCAGCAGTGACACCAGGGGCCCAGGCCCTGTCGTGTAGCCCCCTGATGCACCACCCAGGGCCTTCCCCAGGGTGGAGTTGATGATGGTGACCTGGCCCATCACACCCAGCAGCTCATCTGTGCCCTGTCCTGTGAGTCCCAGGAAACCAGTGGCATGGCATTCATCCACAAAGACCAGGGCGCCATATCTAGAGGCGAGGCGGCAGATCTTCTGCAGGGGCACGATGTCGCCATCCATGGAAAAGGCCCCATCGGTGGCCACCAGGAACAGCCGATGCTTCTGGGCCTCCTGAAGCTTGGTTTCTAGGTAGGCCACGTCCAGGTGGCAATAGTGGTACTTGTGGGCCTTGCACAGGCAGATGCCGTGGATGATGGAGGCACAGTTCAGCTCGTCCGACAGGACTGCGTCCTCGGGTCTCAGCAGGACCTCAAAGAGGCCGGCGTTGGCGTCACAACAGCTGGGATAGAGGATGGCATCCTCCCGCTGGTGGAAGCGGGCTATTTTTGCTTCTAGATTCTTGTGGATGCTTTGGGTTCCACGGATGAAGCGGACCGAGCTAAGGCCAGCTCCAAAGAGCCTGCAGACCTGCCTGAATCACCTCAGGGTGGCTGCTCAGGCCCAGGTAGTTGTTGGCACGTTAAGTTGAGGATTCCTCCGGAGACGCCGTCCACGTGGATGTGCGGCCCCTGACGGGACGTGATGACCCGCTCACTCTTCCAGGTGCCAGCTCCGCGGATCCCTTCCAGCTCCCCCTCCAGAATGCCGCGCAGCTGGGCCAGTACTGACTGCGCGCTGCGGCCGCACGGCACCCCGGAAAGCGCGGCGCGCCAGGCGTTTCCAGCCCACATTGCTCCTACCTCGCCAGAGCGCACCTTCCTGCCCGAAAGCCGTGCGCACCGCCCACATTGTTTATCTACTGATGAACGCTTGGATTCTTTCCACCTTTTGGCTAGTATGAATGTTACTATGAACACTCATGTACAAGTTCCTGTGTGGACATATGTTCTCAATTCTTCTGGGCATACACCTAGGAGTGGAATTGCCAGGTCAAATGGCAACTGTACAACTCCCTGAGGAACTTCTGGACTGTTTTCCAAAGCAGCTCCACCATTTTACATTCCCACCAGCAGTGTATAAAGGTTCTGATTTCTCCAGATCTTCAGAAGATACAATTTTTATTAATATTATAGCCATCCTAATGGGTGTAAAGTGTTCTGGTTTGCATTTCTCTGCTAATGATATTGAGTATCTTTGCATGTGCATACTGGCCATTTGTATATCTTCTTTGGAGAAATGTCTATCCAGATCCTTTGATCAATTTAAAAATTGGGTTGTCTTTTCAATATCGAGTTGTAAGATTTCTCCGTATGTTCTGGACACAAGTTCCTTATCTATGATTTGCCAACATTTTCTCTCATTCTATGCGTTAGTATTCTATGGGTTGGTGCAATTACTTTTGCACCAACCTTTTTAAGGGTCTCTTTTAATTGGTGGGTTAAATCCACTTATACTATTTACAATGTTCTCCACATGGTCAAATGCATTGGGTAACCTATACGTTCAATTTTCTCCCTGGACATCTCCCTCCTGATATCCTCTGTCCTGCTCCAGTCTGGACTGAATATAGTGCTGCAAAGCTGTTATCTTGCCACAATGCTAGGTTGGTTCCCTGATTTTTGCTATCTCTGCTCTTCCTTGATTTACTTCCTTAATTTCTGTGGAGTGTATCCTTCAGCAGCCTTTGAAAAAAACGGCATGAAGAGTGAAGTTTGAGATTTTGTATGCCTGCAATGTTTTGTTTTGAGATAGAGTCTCACTCTTGTTGTCTAGGCTGGAGTGCAATGGTGCACAATTTTGGCTCACTGCAACCTCTGCCTCCCAGGCTCAAGCAATTCTCCTGCCTCAGCCTCCCAAGTAGCTGAGATTACAGGCGTGTGCCACCATGCCTAGCTCATTTTTGTATTTTTGGTAGAGACAGGGTTTCACCATGTTGGCCAGGCTGGTCTTGAACTCCTGACCTCAGGTAATCCGCCTGCCTCGGCCTCCCAAAGTGCTGGGATTACAGGCGTGAGCCACCACACCCAGCCAACCTGCAATGTTTTTAACTTCACACGTGAAGACAGCCTGACTGGTCATAGAATTACTATTTCCTGGGTTTAGTCAATGAGAGTTTGGTTACAAATGGATACTTTGTTAGCTGTATCAATTTGGTTCCTGAGGTTCAGAGAACAACTAGGAAATATTCATTTGACAAGGGATATCTCAAAAAATTTATCATCTATTTGCTGCATGAGTTTGGAGAGCTGTAAATTCAAATAGGTAGGAATCTGTCCTCAGAACTCTGAAGGCATTGATCCACCATCTTTTGTCATCCAGATTTGCTAATGAGTCTAACACAACTGTAAATCTGTTCCTAAGTGATTTTTTTTTTCCGGACACTTGCAGGATTTTCTATTTACTCTGAAACTTCACAGTGCTATGCCTTGATGTGGATCTTTTTCATTCATTACACTTGACACTCTGCTGTGCCTTTCAATCTAAAGATTGAAGTTCTGGAATAGCCACTATATTAGTCCATTTTCACACTCTATAAATAACTGCCCAAGACTGGGTAATTTATAAAGGAAAGTGTTTAATTGACTGAAGAGTTCAGCATGGCCAGGGAGGCCTCAAGAAACTTACAATCATGGGGGAACGCAAAGGGGAAGCAAAGCACCTTCTTCACAAGGCTTCAGGAGAAAGAGTGAGGAGTTAAAGGGGCAGAGCCCTTTATAAAACCATCAGATCTTGTGAGAACTCACCCACTATCAGGAGAACATCGTAGGGGAAACCACCCCCATGATCCAATCACCTCCCACCAGGTCTCTCCCTAGACACATGGGGATTATGGGGATTACAATTCGAGATGAAATTTGGGTGAGGACACAGACAAACCATACCAGCCATTTATGTTATTTCTAATAACCCACTGCCCCCATTTCTTTTTTAACTTTTTTCACTTTCTAAAACTGTTAGTCTGGTTTTGACCCCTGTATTTATCTTCTGTGGCTTTCATCTTTTCTCTTTGTCTCTTTCAGTTCTACTTTCAGGAATATTTTCTCACCTACATCTTCCAACACTATTAATTACTTTTGAATTTTAAATATTTTTAATTTTAAAAAGCCCTATTGTTTTAATAGTTTCACTTCCAATTGTTTTATGAATGCGATTTCTCCAGATATCTTTCAAACTAATTTTTTTATTCACTAGATAGCACTGTCTTATATTTTAAAGATTCTGAAAAACACAATTTTTAACGCTTATGTAGTCCGCCATCAAAACATCAATGTACTGAAGATTTTAAGCAGCATGAGGCACCATCACGTTTTTGTTTCTTCCCCCTCATTTCCCCGCCCCTACCAGATCTGTTTTTGATGTTTAGCCTAGAAGTAGCAAGAAGGATGAACTGAAGCAGATTAGAGATCGAGCTGGTAATCCAGATGAGAAATAATGAAAGTCTTCTCTAGGGTAATAGTGGTGAGGTAAAGGCAAAAGGATAGCTGACAGACGTTAGGAGGTGAAATGGCACAGGACTTGGTGAAAAACTGGTTAGGAGAAGAGGAAAGAGAAAAGCCCAGGTTATCCTCAGATTTATGGTTTGGACAACAGGAAGAATAGCAATTTCTCCAAGTCGAGTCCTATTATAAATATTTTCATTTTTGTATTTCACTTTGAGTCTCAATTTACCAAGATAACTTCCTTTCAATCAGCAAAACACCTGTTTACTACTTACTAACAATATTAAAGATGCAAATATTTACGAAACATATTTTTCTCACTTTACATAGATGCCTATCATTTCATTTGTAAAAAAGGTTAATTCTATTTACTCATTAAAATACTTACATTTAAATACTCCAGCATAATACATTAGGTGTATTAAACATATAGATGCTCCTCAGATGAAGAATATAGTCTAATCTGGTTTTATACACAATAAAGACAATTTAAAATGTAAAAAACTGGGCTTAAAAAATGCAGCCAACCACCTGTTTTATTAAGTTTTACCAAGTATTTCCTTCTAAAAAGTCCTTATCGGAGCTATTTCTTTAAAGCCAACATTTACTACATTAACAGATGGGTTCTTTAAATAAGAAATTTTACTTTCAACTCACTGATTTTATACTTAGAGGCTTTAAAATTTTTTAGAATATGTGAAGACCGGAATTAAACCATTCTCACCATATTTTTCCAGGACTGTTTGCTAACTGGCTTGTTTTTACATAAAGCTTTAAACATGTCTACCATGGGTAGTAAACAAGAAGGACTATTTGAAACTATAAAACCTACCAAACAAAGTGCCAAATGCATTATCACTGCTTTTTCCTTCTTTTATAAGAATCATTACTATGAACTCGTACTCGTTGGTGCACAGAGGATGCTATTTTCATACTCTCTTTCTTTGTAAAGGTCTTCTCTATAGCTCCAGGTTTCCAAAGTAACAACTGTGCATCTTCTCCTCCAGTCAACAAAGAATCATCTTGCACATTCCAACAGAAAGAACGGACTGTAGCAGCATGCCCTCCCTGAAGGCTAGTCACATGGGTCAGTCCTGACATGCTGCAGTTCATCAAATGAATCCTTCCTTTGTTTGTTCCTCCAATAACATGCAATGTGTCTGTCTTTTCATGATATAGGCCACCAATCAAATAGTCCAAAGCATCTTCTTTCATGTTAACTACTTCTCTGACATCCTGGATGTTCAAACGTGTAACTGGTTCATCAGTGTCCAGATGATTAAGATCCCACCAATAAAATCCTTCATCATGTGTCATGCAGTAAATCTGTTTATAACCTTTCCCAGACCAACCAATACAGCTTACTGATGAAATTGAGTTACAGGTTGTAACCAGTGCATCCTCCTCATTATCAATATTAATATCAAATACATTTACCAGGCCATCAGATGAACCTGAGACTACCATGTTGGGATTGCTGGGATGGAAACGTACTTGAGTGACATCATCACTATGTGTCTCTGAATATGCACCAAGTGAGTCTTTAGTTGTAGATAAATTCTGAGAATTCATCCTTGCATCCCAAAACACCAACAATGCATCATCATCAACTTTTTCTGTACCAGCACAAATAATATGATCATTACAATTAATATCAAAACTGATAAAAATATTGGAAGGGTAACCCTTGAAGAGCTGAACAGGTTTTTCTCTGGCTACTCGAGCATCCCAGCATTTCACAGTGCCATCAGTACATGCTGAATATACACTGTCACAGGAATTTGCAAATCTGACTCCATTAAGAAGTCCAGGATATCCACTAAATTCTCGTAGTACATTTAACCTTTCTTTATCATATATTCTGATTGATCCATTAGAACATAAAACAGCAACCAAGTTTTCCTTTCCTGCTTGGACAGTCTTTGATGTGTCTATACCAAGAAGGTAAGTGGGCTCTTTGGTTCCTAAGGAACATTTAACAATGTGCAGATTAGCAAATTGTTCCTCAATCTTTTCCATGTCAACAGCAGCATCCAAGGGTAGTAAAACTCTGTAAAAAATAATAATAATAAAAATAAAAATTAATGCTTAACAAGGGAGACACATAAAAAAATTTAACTTGAAGTTTCTCTAAAATTGCAATTAAATCAAGAACATTTTCCTCTGAGGGCTGGCATGAATCAATCAATCAACAGAAATGTATTCTAATACTATAATCATTTCCTTCCTATGATGTAACTAAAACTCAGTTGCCTTCTAATTCAATCACTCTTTAATACTGAATTCACTACCAGGAGTGGTGGCTCACACCTGTAATCTCAGCACTTTGGGAGGCTGAGGTAGGAGGACTGCTTGAGGCCAGGCATTAGAGACCAGCCTGAGCAACATGGGGAGACCCCCCCGCCGTCTCTTCAAAAAATAAATTAGCAGGGCATGGTGGCCTATGCCTGTAGTCCTAGCTACTCAGGAGGCTGAGGTAGGAGGACTGCTTGAGACCAGAAGTTGAGACTACAGTGATCCATGATCATGTCACTGTCATACAGCCTGGGGAATAAAGTGAGATCCTGCCTCAAAAAAGAAAAAAAAAATGCTGAATTTACTATATATATTTTATGCTAGTAAGAGAATAAAAAACATGTACATACGCCACCCAGTAGTTCCTTTTAGCTCAAACCCAATTACTGGTTCTACTCAAGTCATCTTCAGGATTGGCAAGGATCTCCACTTTGGAATAATCTTCTCCTGGCCCCAGCTGCCTTACACAACTTTAGAATTTAAACATAGATATGTAGGCAAAAAAAAAAAAAAAAAAAAAAAAAAAAAAAAAAAAAGGTTTCCCAAAAATATTCATGCCTTAATCCCTGGAATCTGTGAATATGTTAGGTTACAAAGGAAAACTGAAGTTGTACATGGAATTAAGGTTGCTTATCAGCCTAATATAAGGCTAACCTTAAAATAGGGAGATTATCCTAGATTATCTGTTATCACCGTGGCCCAATATGGTAACAACTGTCTTCAAAAGTGGAAGAGGGAGGCAGAAGAGTCAGAGGAAGAGGTTCCCATAGAAGAAAGGCAAAGACACAGAGAGATACAATGTTGCTGGTTTTGAAGACAGAGGCTGAGAGTGGCCTCTAGAAACTAAAAAGCAAGAAAAGATTGTCCTCTAAGCCTCCAAATGGAAATGCAGCCCTGTTGACATCTTAATTTTAGCCCAGTGACATCCATTTTGGACTTCAGACCTCCAGAACCGTTAAGATAATAAACTTAATGTTATTTCAAACAACTAAGTTTGCAGTAATTTGTTATAGCAGCAATAGGAAACGAATACAACAGAGGTTCCCAGTATAGAATCCTGGAGAAGTCCTTCTAAGGCAGTAGCAGCTTGTGATAGTAGAACTGGGATTTGAACCTAGGCATTCTGGCTTCAGGCTTCACGGACTGTGCTCTAAACCACCATACTAGATTGCCTCTCCAGGGTGGGCTGTATGTAGGACAAGTTCAAGGCCAGAAAAACATGCATGCCTAGTAACACTATAATAAATTCTTGACACTAGAGCAGAGTACGAGTCTGAGGTGGAGGGAGTCATGGCAGGACAAGCGTTTAAGTTTCTTCCACTCTTTGACCGAGTATTGGTTGAAAGGAGTGCTGTTGAAACTGTAACCAAAGGAGGCATTATGCTTCCAGAAAAATCTCAAGGAAAAGTATTGCAAGCAACAGTAGTCGCTGTTGGATCGGGTTCTAAAGGAAAGGGTGGAGAGATTCAACCAGTTCGTGTGAAAGTTGGAGATAAAGTTCTTCTCCCATAACATGGAGGCACCAAAGTAGTTCTAGATGACAAGGATTATTTCCTATTTAGAGATGGTGACGTTCTTGGAAAGTACGTAAACTGAAATAAGTCACTATTGAAATGGCATCAACATGAAGCTGCCCATTCCACCGAAGTTCTGAAATCTTTCATCATGTAAATAATTTCCATATTTCTCTTTTATAATAAACTAAATAACTAATGAAAAAAATAAAATAAATTCTTCTATTGTGCTTTCTCATCAGTGAATATTCTTTCTAGCCTGTCTAACAAATTCATTTTCATTCTTAAGATGAAATGTTTTTTCTGTTGCTTTAGTGATATCTTCTTAAGCATCTGTCTTTTCATCTTTAAAAGGGGAAATGAGTACTAACTCAAGAACTGTTAGGAGGATTAACTAATGCATGCCATGTGTTCTGCACAATGTATGGCATATCATAGTACCTACACAATAGATGTAATAGGTCAGGCATGGTGGCTCATGCCTGTAATCCCAACACTTCTGGAGGCCGAGGCAGCGATCACTGAGGTCAGGAGTTCGAGACCAGTCTGGTCAACATGGTAAAACCCCGTCTCTACTAAAAATACAAAAATTAGTTTGGTGTTGTGGTGCACACCTGTAATCCAGCTACTCGGGAGGCTGAGGCAGGAGAACTGCTTGAGGTAGAGGTTGCAATGAGCCAAGGTCTTGCCACTGCACTCCAGCCTGAACAACAGAGTGAGATTCCTACTCAAAAAAAAAAAAAAAAAAAAAAAAAGATGGCTGGACATGGTAGCTCACGCCTGTAATCCCAGCACTTTGGGAGGCCAAGGCGGGCAGATCACCTGAGGTCGGGAGATTGAGACCAGTCTGACCGACATGGAAAAACCCCGTCTCTATTAAAAATACAAAATTAGCCAGGCGTGGTGGCACATGCCTGTAATCCCAGCTACTCGGGAGGCTGAGGCAGGAGAATCGCTTGAACCCAGGAGGAGGAGGTTGCGGTGAGCCGAGATCGCGCCGTTGCACTCCATCCTGGGCAACAAGAGTGAAACTCCATCTCAAAAAAAAAAAAAAAGATGTAATATAAAAATTACCAGTATCACCATATAAGGGAGAATTTGGATCTATCAGAGAGCTCCAAATAGCACAATTACATCAAACAGCAAAAAATATTAGTAAGTTGGATTTGGGTTTTTTAAAATTTATTTTATTTTTTTGTATTTTTAGTGGAGATGGGGTTTCACCGTGTTAGCCAGGATGGTCTCGACCTCCTGACCTCGTGATCCGCCTGCCTCGGCCTCCCAAAGTGCTGGGATTACAGGCGTGAGCCACCACGCCCAGCCTGGATTTGGGTTTAAAATAGAAATAAGCATTCCCTCCAACTTTTAATTTTCAACATTTATTTTTACTTATTTTTCCTTTGGAGATGGCATCACAGCTCATTAATTTTCAACATTTATAAGTGCGCACACACAAAAAGTTCTAATGCACACACACAGTTCACCTTCTAGGTTCACTGTTAACTTCTTGCCACATTTGCTTTCTCTCTCTACACACACACACACACACACACCCCACTGCTTTTTAAAAATGAACCTTTTGATGAGAGTTAGCTGCAGACAAAGTATCACTCCATTCCTAAATACTTCACTATAACAGCATCTCTCCAACCTTCTGTTTTTCATGTCATGGAATTTTTTGAATATCCTATTCTTCAACAACTTTCATCCAAAGAGTTCAGGATCTATTAATTGTCCTTGCCTAAATCAATGATTATGCTAGAATCTGTAAAACAGTCCTTTTCTATCATTCTTTCTACCTTAGCAGGCATTCTTCTATAAACAAGAGCTTTTTTCCTTTCTCTGCTTCTTTGACTAGGAAATCACAATTCTTAAAAACTGTGTATCATAATCTATCGCTTTGTTGCTTTTTGATGCTCAAAGTGTCTGGACTTGGCCATTAAGACCCTTTAAGCCAGCTTCTGAAGCCTTCTGATAGGACCCCATCAGTCTGTAAGCCCCACATGAGAAACTCCGTGGAAGCATTAGGTAGCTCTAAAAATGGTGTTCTTCCTTCAACTTAAGTATTCAGACATGAAATGACCATTTTCCAGTAACGCTGGGGTAGTCACCTCCACAGCTGCTGAGGTAGCTAGCACAGTACAACTGTTCTGTGGTTTTCCCGCCAGACAAAATAGCCTTACCTTGAACACGTCAGGCTTGCTCCTGCCTCAGGACTGCAGCAACAGCTGTTTGCCTGGAGTATTCTTTCCCTGCATGTCTGCATGAGTGACTCCTTCCTGTTATTCAGGTCTCAGCATATGTCACCTGCCCAGAGAGAGTCTCTCCACTGCCAATCAACGTGAAAAAGCCCCTGTCATTTCCTATCACATCCTTACCCTGTTTCACTAATTTAAAAATTAAAAATGATGGCCAGGTGCAGTGGCTCATTCTTGTAATCCCAGCATGTTGAGAAGCCAGGGCAGGCAGATTGCTTGAGCCCAGGGGTTCGAGACCAGCCTGGGCAACAAGGCTAAACCCCACCTCTACAAAAAAATGCAAAAATGAGGCAGGTGTGGTAGTGCACGCCTGTAGTCCCAGCTACTTGGGAGGACTGCTTGAGCTCGGGAGGTGGAGGTTGCAATGAGCCAAGATCATGCCACTGCACTCCAGCCAGGACAACAGGGCAAGACCCTGTCTCAAAAAAAAACTGACACAAAATTTAAAATGTTTAATTATGAAGTATTTCAAATGTACAAAGGTGTAGAAAAAAATATAAGACACCCAAACATGTACCACCTATACTTAACAAATATTAACATTTTTTACTGTATCTGCCTCAGTTTAACAAAATGGAACATTACAGACACAAGTAAAACTTCACTCCAATAATTAAGAATTTAGAATAATGGCACCATATTTATATGTATCTTTCTTGCAATTTGCTCTTTTCACTCAATATAATTTTTAAAAAGTCCTGTTTTAGTGGTGAACTTATTACCTAACTCTTTCTTGCTTATTTGTTAATAAGTGGTTGCTGAATACATTAATGCCTAACTGATTCAACTTTCACACATTAAAATCACCACGTAAGGACGCTGCGGTCAATGACAGACCACATTTATGATAGTTAAGATTATAATGGAGGCCAGGTGTGGTAACCCATGTGTGTGATCCCAGCACTTTGGGAGGCCAAGCCGGGCAGCCAGGCAGATCACTTTAGCCTAGGAGTTTGAAACCAGCCTGAGCAACATAAAGAAACCCCTTCTCTACACAAAAAATACAAAAATTAGCCAGGCATGGTGGTGCACGCCTATAGTCCCATCTACTGGGGAGGCTGAGGCAGGGGAATGCTTGAGCCCGGGAGGCTGAGGCTGCAGGGAGCTGTGATTGCACCACTGCACTTCAGCCTCGGCGACAGAGCAAGACACGTGCTGTCTGTCTCTCTCTCTCTCTATATATATATATATACACACACACACACATATATACATACACATACACACACACACACACACACACACACACACACGAGCTGGGAAAGTTCCATCATCTAATTGTGGTCCCTGCAAATTCATGGCACAATGCATTACTCATGTGTCTGTGGTGATGCGTGTATAAACAAACCTATTGCACTGCCAGTCATATAAAAGTATAGTGCATACAATTATGTACAGTACATAATACTTCATAAAGACAATAAAGGACTATGTTACGGGTTTATGTTACTCGTTTAAAAGTCCAATACTATACTTTTTTTTTTTTTGAGACGGAGTTTCGCTTTGTCACCCAGGCTGTAATGCAGTGGCACCATCTCAGCTCACTGCGACCTCTGCCTCCCGGGTTCAAGAAATTCTCCTGCCTCAGCCCCCGAAGCAGCTGGGATTACAGGCATATGCCACAATGCCCAGCTAATTTTTGTGTTTTTAGTAGAGACAGGGTTTCACCACGTTGGCCAGGCTGATCTCGAACTCCTGACCTCAGGTGATCCACACACCTCGGTCTCCCAAAGTGCTGGGATTACAGGCATGAGCCACCATGCCCGGCAAGACTATACTTTTAATCGTTATTTTAGAGTGGACTTTCTCTACTTATTGAAAGGAAGTTAACTGTGAACAGCCTCAGGCAAGTCCTTCAAAGCGTATTCCAGAATGCACTGTTCTCATAGAAGATGACAACTCCATGTGTTATTGCTCCTAAAAACCTTCCAGTGGGATAAGACATGGAGTAGAAGACCACAAAATTGATGATCCTGACCGTGTGTGGGCCTAGGCTAATGTGTGTGTCTTTTTTCTTCTTTTTTTTTTTGGAGGCAGGGTCTTGTTCCATCACTCAGCAAAGTAGCGCCATCATGGCTCACTGCAGCCTCAACCTCCCAGGCTCAGGCCACCACATCCAGCTAATTTTTGTATTTTTGGTAGAGACAGGGTCTCACTATTTTGACCAAGCTGGTCTCAAACTTCTGGGCTCAAGCAATCTTCTTGCCTCAGCCTCCCAAAGTGGTGAGATTACAGGCATGAGCCACTGTCCCCAGCCTGTGTCTCAATTTTTAACAAAAGAGTTTTAGAAGTAAAATTAGAAAATAATAAAATAAAAATTAAAGTAGAAATAGGCTTATGGAATAAGGATATATGAAGAAAATATTTTTGTACAGCTGTACAATGTGTTTGTGTTTTAAGCTAAGTATTATTACAAAAGAGGAAAAAAGTATCACGCCAAGTGCTCTCTACAGGTATACCATTTGTTATCATTTATACCATAATTTTATTATACCTTTTTATGTTTAGATCTACAAGTATTTACCATTGTGTTACAACTGCTTAAAGTATTCAGTAGAGTAAAATGCTGTACAGTGTAGTGTAGGTCATACCGTACAGCTCAAGTATGTAGTAGGCTATACTATCTAGGTTGGGTAAGTACAGTATACTCCATGATGTTCCCAGGATGAAACTGCCTAATGACCCATTTCTCATTGTTAGGCAATGAATGACTGTAATCATAACTGGAGTTCACCAAATGCTAGGCTATGTGCTCGAAACTTCTATCCAGTTTTTAAATCCTCATCATTTAACCCTATGAGGCAGATATTATTATCACTATTTTACAAAGGAAATTGAAGCTCAGAGAGACTAATTTGCCCTTGCTCTCATAGCTACTAAGTGAACATATTGGAGGAGTCTGGTTTGAAATTCAAGTTGTAACTTCAAAACCTGTGAATCTGTGTTCATTCCAATGTTAAGCTATTGATCTTCTATGTAAGTATTAAAGTACTGCTGTCAACTTTAATCCAGGGATATGCCCATGAGGCTTTAGAGGAGGAATTACATGTAAATTCTATGTATCAGAAGAGAAAGGAAGCAGTGTATGATTGTAAAAACATGTAATAACCCAGAAAAGAGTTACAATAAGCAATCATCCTTTACTTTTAATTTTTCATGTGATCTACTTTTCTCTTTAAAACTTTTTTTTGAGACGGAGTCTTGCTCTGTTGCCCAGGCTGGACTGCAGTGACACCATCTCGGTTCACTGCAAGCTCTGCCTCCCGGGTTCACGCCATTCTCCTGCCTCAGCCTCCCAAGTAGCTGGGACTACAGGTGCCCACCACCATGCCCGGCTAATTGTTTTGTATTTTTAGTAGAGACGGGGTTTCACCATATTAGCCAGGATGGTCTCCATCTCCTGACCTCGTGATCTGTCCGCCTCCGCCTCTCAAAGTGCTGGGATTACAGGCATGATAAAACTTTTTATTATGGAATGTGCATGGAGTAGAGAACAGTAACAGAAATCCCCACATGCGCATTATCCAGCACAATTATATTCCCCAAAAGTTATCAGGGATGGAGAAGTCAGTTATACATATTTTACTGAAGGGCAATTAAGAAACCCCAGGCCAGGCATGGTGGCTCACATCTGTAATCCCAGCACTTTGGGAGGCCGAGGCAGGCAGATCACCTGAGGTCAGGAGTTCGAGACCAGCCTGACCAACATGGAGAAAACCCATCTCTACTAAAAATACAAAATTAGCCAGGTGTGGTGGCACATGCCAGTAATCCCAGCTACTTGGGAGGCTGAGGCAGGAGAATCGCTTGAACCCAGGAGGCGGAGTTTGCAGTGAGCCAAGATGGCGCCATTACACTCCAGCCTGGGCAACAAGAGCGAAAGTCTGACTCAAAAAAAAAAAAAAAAGAAAAGAAAAAGGAAAGAAACCCCAGGCCGGGCGCAGCAGTGGCTCATGCCTGTAATCCCAACACTTTGGGAGGCCAAGGCGGGCAGATCACGAGGTCAGGAGTTTGAGACCAGCCTGGCCAACATGGTGAAACCCCATCTCTACTAAGAATACAAAAATAAGCTGGGTGTGGTGGTGCATGCCTGTAATCCCAGCTACTCGGGAGGCTGAGGCAGAAGAATCACTTGAACCTGGGAGGCGGAGGTTGCAGTGAGCTGAGATTGTACCGTTGAACTCCAGCCTGAGCAATAGAGTGAGACTCTGCCTCAAAAACAAAACAAAACAAACAAACAAACAAAAAACAACTTAATATAGAATTGCCTCTGGCTGGGCATGGTGACTTACACCTGTAATCCCAGTACTTTGGGAGACTGAGGCAGGAGGATCACTTGCAGCCAGGAGTTCAAGACAAGCCTGGGCAACAGAGTAAGTCTCTTTCTCAAAAAAAATAAATAAATCAATAAAAAATAAAAAAATCTGTCTAGTAAGTTTCTGTATGTTTTAATAATGTATTTATATTTTTGAATATACAACATAGTCAATGGTCCAAAATTAAAAAGGTCCCCAAACTATCTTAGAACATCTCTGTCCTCAAGTCCCTTTCCTGTCCCAGGAGGCAATGTTACTAGTTTCTTATAAATATTAATATTTTCAGAGATTGTCAATTTGGAGTACAGTGTAAATACTGCAGTGAAGTATCTCAACAAAAACCAGCCAGTGTGGTGCATGCACACACACACACACACACACACACACACACAAATAGGTTTAAGAAGCAAAACCCCTAGTGCTGGCAATTTGGATGAAGACCATGCCTTCTGCCTTTAAGAAGTTGAGAAACAGAAAAGTAAACAATTACAATATAGGAAGACAGGTGGCTGGGTGCGGTGCCTCGGTGGCTCACGCCTATAATCTCAGTGCTTTGGGAGGCTGAGGTGGGAGATCACGAGGTTGGGAGATCTAGGCCATCCTGGCCAACATGGTGAAACCCCATCTCTACTAAAATACAAAAAATTGGCTGGGTGTGGTGGTGCACTTGTAGTCCCAGCTACTCAGGAGGCTGAGGCAGGGGAATGAGGCAAGGGAATCGCTTGAAGCCGGGAGGCAGAGGCTGCAGTGAGCCGAGATGGCGCCACTGCACTCCAGCCTGGCAACAGAGCAAAACTCCATCTCAAAAAAAAAAACCCAAAAAAACAAAAACGAAGACTGGTACTAGGACAGAGGTGATAGAAACACAAAGCAGAAGTAAGCAGAAGGTACAATGCTTGGCATAAAGAAAATATGCAACAAATATTAATTTCCTTCCTAATTTTCATTTCATTTGATTTAGTCATTTAAATTCATTTCACATTTTAAAAGCTACGATTCTTACAGCTGTTCAGAAACTTAACACAGTTTAGTTACTTTTATATTAACTATTTAAAAAAACAACATGCAACCTTCATGAACACAATATCAAATAAACAACTCTCAAATCTGAATAAACTACAGCCACACCAAATTGAGCCGGTGCTTTCTTAGATTTTATTTTTCATTTTATAATGAAAAATACACCTCTAAAGAGCATATGGCCGGGCGTGGTAGTTCACGCCTGTAATCCCAGCACTTCGGGAAGCCGAGGCGGGCGGATCACCTGAGCCTCAGGAGTTGGAGACCAGCCTGGCCAACATGGTGAAATCCTCTCTCTACCAAAAATACAAAAATTAGCCAAGGGTGGTGGCGCCCACCTATAATCCCAGCTACATGGGAGGCTGAGGCAGGAGAATTGCTTATACCTGGAAGGTGGAGGTTACAGTGAGCCAAGATCGCGCCACTGCACTCCAGGCTGGAGACAGAGAGAAACTGTCTCAACAAAAAAATAAAATAAAATAAAATAAAATAAAACAAAACCAAAAAAGCATATGAACTTCAATATGTTTCAAAAAATGACTGTGTTTCACTGCCCAAGGTTCTCAGTGAACTCTCCCAAGATTCTTATCTTGGATACCAATCAAAATGTTTAGGATTTAAACTATTAAAAACGCCCTTGAGTTCCTTGGAGAAAGAAGAGTTTAAAAGGAAAAACAAAAAGACATAGGAGCCAAGAACTCCATTGGCCAATCTAAAACAATCTTAACAACAAAATAACAATACTCATCTGAGTGCAGTGGCTCACGCCTGTAATCCCAGCTACTTGGGAGGCTGAGGCAGGAGAATCACTTGAACCTGGGAGGTGAAGGCTGCAGTGAGCCAAAGTCGCACCACTGCACTCTGGCCGGGGCGACAGAGTAAGACTCTGTCTTAAAAAAAAAAAAAAAAAAAAAAAAACTCTTGGATTACAATCCAAAGAATAAAATAAATATCCATGAGTCCATACTGATAAAAATGAATCAGTAAATAAATAAATGAGGGAGAAGGAACAAATCTTCCTTACAGAACTCAAGTATAACATATGTAGATATACCCCCTGTAGAAAGTAGAGCTGAATTCTCCTCCCCTTGAATGTAGGCTGGACTTAGTTACCCGCATCCAAAGAATAGAGAAGAATAGAGTACAGAAAAGGTAAAAGATAGTAACCTAATTGTGGAGAAGCTCAGATGACATCACTGTGACCAACTGATCAAGGGTAACATCATCAGCAATATGTCATGTTCCTATCATGAACCCCCGGTATGATGTGATAAGAAAGGCATTTCATTCACCTCTGTTATGTTATTCCCCACAGTCTAATCATGAGAAAACCTCAAACTAACCCAATTTGAGGAATATTCTTTTCTTTTCTTTTCTTTTTTTTTTTTTTTTTTGAGAGGGAGTCTCACTCTGTCACCCAGGCTGGAGTGCAGTGGTGCAATCTCGGCTCACTGCAACCTCCACCTCCTGGTTCAATCAATTCTCTTGCCTTAGCCTCCTGAGTAGCTAAGATTACAGGTATGCACCACCACACCTGGCTAATTTTTGTATTTCTAGTACAGATGGGGTTTCACCATGTTGGCCAGGCTGGTCTCGAACTCCTGACCTTGTAATTCGCCCGCCTTGGCCTCCCAAAGTGCTGGGGTTATAGGCATGAGCCACTGTGCCTGGCTAATTTGAGGGATATTCTACAAATACTTGGCCAGTACTCTTCAAAAGTTTCAAGATCATACCAGGCACAGTGGCTCATGCCTGCAATCCTAGCACTCGGGGAGGCTGAGACAGGCAGATCTTGAGGCCAAGAGTTTGAGACCAGCCTGGCCAACGTGCTGAAACCCCATCTCTACTAAAAACACAAAAATTAGCCGGGAGTGGTGGCACACACTTGTAGTCCCAGCTACTAAGAAGGCTGAGGCATGAGAATCACTTGAACCCAGGAGGCGGAGGTTGCGGTAGACAAGATTGCGTCACTGCACTCCAGCTTGGGCAACAGAGCCAGGCCCTGTCGCAAAAAAAAAAAAAAAAAAAAAAAAGCTTTAAGATCATGAAAAAGAAAGAAAGACCAACAAATCATCACAGATTGGGGGAGATCATGATGATGTGATGATGAAATTCAATATGGTATCCTTGATTAGATCCTGGACTAGTAAAAGGACATTCATGGAAGACCTGGTGAAATCCAAATAAAGTCTGTCATTTAGTTAATAGTATTATTCCAATGTTAATTTCTTAGTTAATAGTATTATTCCAATGTTAATTTCTTAGTTTTGACAAATGTTCCATGGTTATGTTAACATTAGGGAGGCTGGGTGAAGGGTATACAGGAACTCTGTACTATTTTTGCAACTTTTCTGTAAACCTAACATTATCCCCCCCAAAAAAAAATTTTTTTTAAATTTTTATTTATTTTTATTTTTTGAGACAGGGTCTGGCTCTGTCCCCCAGGCTAGAGTGCTGTGGTGCAATCTCGGCTCACTGCAACCTCTGCCTCCTGGGTTCAAGCAACTCTCCTGACTCAGCCTCCCGAGTAGCTGGGATTATAGACGTGCACCACCACGTCAGGCTAATTTTTTGTATTTTTAGTAGAGATGGGGTTTCACCATGTTGCCCAGGCTGGTCTCGAACTCTTGAGCTCAAGTGATCCGCCCACCTCAGCCTCCCAAAGTGCTGGGATTACAGACATGAGCCACCGTGCCTGGCCAACAAAAAATTTTTAACATATCATTGATGTTTATAGTTCTAGACAGAAAAATATTTCTGGTACTAACACACTAGGAATGTCCCAATGCTGAAAAGCCCTTCGGTCAAACTCATCTCTAGACCTGAGATGATTCTAGCAGGCCAATCAGGACTACCACCAACAATCTCTGCCCTAGTCACGTCCCTAATCTAGCTTCATAATAAACTGGAAATTATACAGCAGAGCCAACAGAATCTCTTTCCATATGCCAATATCCCCTTCCCCAAAGCAGTACTAAGGAAAGGTAAAAATAAAATTTCAAGTTTTTTTTTTTTTTTGAGACGGAATCTCCTCTGTCGCCCGGGCTAGAGTGTAGTGGTGGGATCTCTGCTCACTGCAACCTCTGCCTCCCGGGCTAGAGTGTAGTGGTGGGATCTCTGCTCACTGCAACCTCTGCCTCCCGGGTTCAAGCGATTATCCTGCTTCAGCCTCCTAAGTAGCTGGGATTACAGGGGTGCACCACCATGCCCGACTAATTTTGTATTTTTTGTAGAGACCGGGTTTCGCCATGTTGGCCAGGCTAGTCTCAAACTCCTGACCTCAGGTGATCCATCCGCCTCGGCCTCCCAAAGTGCCCCAAAGTGTTGTAATCCCAACAAGCAAGAGCCACCATGCCTAGCCAAGTTTCAAGAATTCTCACGAATACTCCCAAATTTGGAAAGAAGCAAACTGAGGGAGTTGGTAGGCAACCTCAAAAAATCTCTCGAAAGTAGTAAGTACTCCTACTTACTACTGCAGGAGCTCAGCAAAGGAATGAAGAGTTGGTAGGGCTATTTTCTAATGTCTCCAGGCTCAGTTTGGGAAATGAGAAGCAGCCCGTAAGAGTGGAATATACCTGGGACTTGTTGGAATGGGATTTGGTATAGGACATTCAATGGGATCTCAGATGAAAGGACAGATTCCAGGTCCCCCAGCAAGGACTGTGTCAGCCCCAGTATGTCATTAGTTTTTGCCAGTGGAAGCAATTTATGCTACAGTTAGGGTAGGATTAAGAGGTAATGGGTTTTCTCCACCTTTTCTTTGCTCATCTGCTGGCTCGATGGAGAAGACTCCTTGGTCCTACAGGATGGTATAGCCATAAAATGAAAGGAGTCGCAGCCTACCAATCACCAGATGAAAGGCTATCTGCTGATCAGGAAAACCTACATTTGGCTGCATCAGTCAATCAGCGGTGAACAGATCTGAAACATGTAGTTTTAAAACTCCAAATCTGCTTGCAGAGGTGGCATCCTGTAACTTCTTAGGGGACAAGTGAGAAAAAAACCCAAAAAACTCCAAAACACAATGATTCCAACCTCTTAATGTTATTCATTGTTTTAAAAAACTTAAAGTAAATTTCAAGAGCCAGAAGCTCTTGTATTAAAATACCTAAATTTTAGTCATTTCTTTCATACTATTTATTTTTTGTGTATTCCAGCTCTTTTTTATACTGCTGAATTTTTTTTTTTTTTTTTGAGACAAGAGTCTCACTCCGTTGCCCAGACTGGAGTGCAGTGGCGTGATCTCGGCTCACTGCAACCTCCACCTCCTGGATTCAAGCAATTCTCTGCCTCAGCCTCCCGAGTGGCTAGGATTGCAGGTGCCCACCACCATCCCAGCTAATTTTTGTATTTTTAGTAGAGATGGGGTTTCAACATCTTGGCCAGGCTGGTTTTGAACTCATGACCTTGTGATCCACCCACCTTGGCCTCCCAAAGTGCTGGGATTAGAGGTGTGAGCCACTGCACTCGGCCACTGCTGAAATTTTTAAACATCTTTTTTTTTTTTTTTTTTTTTTAATACAAACACGGTCTCACATACTTGAACTCCTGTATGTAAGCAATCCTCCTGCTTTGGCCTCCCAAAGCGCTGGGATTATAGGCATGAACCACCACGCCCAGCCTATTACTGAAATTTTAATGATGATGACAACCTCATGACAATCCCAAAGTACTAGTATATCCATTTTACTGATGAGAAAAGCACAGCTAATATGCAGTAAATCTAGTTTCTGAATTCAGGCATTCTTATTCCAGAGCCCATGCTATTAATTCCTATACTATACTGTCTCTATATAAGCATGTAGCATATTAATCTTTTTAAGGGGGGAGTATTAGCAGAGCCACATGGAAGCAGTAGCTGCTAATGTGTAAAGTGACAAGGCCAGGGGCAAACCTGAAAAATCTACTGGCAGCCACAAAAGCTTTATACGAGACATTCAAGTAGCTTAATATTTATCAGGCATATCCTTTCTTTTCTTTTTTTCTTTTTTTTTTTTTTGAGACAGGGTCTCACTCTGTGGCCCAGGCTGGAGTGCAGTGGTGCAATCACAGCTCACGGCAGCCTTGACCTCCCTGGCTCAAGCAATTCTCCCACCTACCTCAGCCTCCCAAGCAGATGGGACCACAGGCACATGTCACCACACCTGGCTATATTACACATATCTGATGTCAGCTTATCTAAAGCAAAACTGCACAGGAGAATCTTAACAATCTGGTTATTAACATTTCAGAGAAAGAGGGAAGAGTAAAATAGGAACAATCACACATATGCGTTACCAGTATGTCCTAGAGGAAACAATACCTTGGGATAAAAAGCATACACTGGTTTAATTTCAGGAGAATCGTTTCCAGAAAACATTTATAATTTAGAGAAATGTATGTGTATGTTTTAAACTAACACAGAATTAGCTCTAAGACAATTTGCCAAAGAGCCATTTGTTTTAAATTCAGAAGAACTGCTGAATATTTAGTGGAAGGTATGCTAAACTGACATCTGCTACAACTCTAATATAATTTTAAATTTCACATTCATTAATGACTAAGACAATGTCTCTGTAAATTAATCCTGCTTAGCTAGTCTGAATATGGTATTCTTATTCACATAAACGTCCAAGATAGTGGTTGCAGCAACATATGGCATCCCATGCATTAAATACATTAAAATTCTCAGGAAAAGCACAATTTTTAAAGTACAGGAATCTGTTACTAAGGAAAAGGGGGAGGACTGGGAGGAAATGACACATACTTTCTCATGCAGTGTGAGATTATGCTGCAGGTTCCAGATATAACATTCAAAGCATCTTTTTAAAAACAAAAACATTTTCCTCAATAACATCCTGAGATGTCCAGTTTTGCATGTAAATCTTGCATCCAAACGTCACCCTTTACGGTAATTCCACAAATGCCCAGAATCTTTCAACAAGAACAATTAACTGCCTTTTTCCTTTCCAGAACAACCAGCTGGTTAACCAAACAGAGAAACCAAATTTCCCTAAGTCACCAGATGTCTTAATTTGGAACAGTTAGAAGCAATTCGGAATAATCTAATTCTTGAATTGGTACTACATGTTTACTATTTCTTCATTTTCTAATTTTGAAAAGACGCTTTTAAGAATTAAGCAAATGCTATCTTTAATAACTGCAAAAAAAATGAGGAAAAACAAAAAGAACCATATCCTGTTACAGAATGATGTTAACATTATCTAAGAGCCAGCTACTTAAATCTTGGATACATTATAGTTAGAAACTGATAAGCTCTAACAACATTAAATCTGCTCTAAAGTTCTTAAGAATTACCCTACTCAAGAATTCAAAAACAGCCGGGCCCAGTGGCTCATGCCTGTAGTCCCAGCACTTTGGCAGGCCGAGGCAGGCAGATCATGAGGACAGGAGTTCAAGACCAGCCTGGCCAACATGGCGAAACCTGTCCCTACTAAAAATACAAAAATTAGCCAGGTGTGGTAGTGTGTGTCTGTACTCCCAGCTACTCAGGCGGCTGAGGCAGGAGAATCACTTGAACCTCAGAGGCAGAGGTTGCAGTGAGCTGAGATGGTGCCACTGCACTCCAGCCTTGGCGACAGAGCAAGACCCTGTCTTTAAAAAAAAAAAAAAAAAGAATACAAAAACAATTCTTGGCCAGGTGCAGTGGCTCACACCTATAATGCTAGCACTTTGGGAGCCTGAGGAGGGTGGATTGTTTGAGCCCAGGAGTTTGAGACCAGCTTAGGCAACATGGCTAAACTCCGTCTCTACAAAATTTAGCTAATTTTTGTATTTTAGAGCTAAATGTACAGGGCGTGGTGGCCTGGTGGTAGTCTCAGCTACTTGAGATGCTGAGGCGGGAGAAGCACCTGAGCCCAGGGAGGTTGCAGCTGCAAGTTGAGCTGTGATTGCGCCACTGCACTCCCGCCTGGGTGACAGTGAGACTCTGTCTCAATACCAAAACCAAACCAAAGAAAAAAAACAATTCTGGAAAGGTTATGACATGACAGGCCTAGAACATAACAAATTCAGCAAAGAACAGTCATGAAGTCCCTTTCTTCATGCAGGACAGGATAGAAGGAGATAGGTGGAAATACAGCCCAATAACTAATTATAATAATAAAAATAGTGAGGAGTGTTATAAAAAATAACAACATAGGGTAAGGCAAGAAAAATGAGGCAGGAAAAGCCATTTCTATTCAATCATTAAAGGAAACTTCCCCCATGAGGTGACATTTGAGCTGAGACCAGGACAAAATGAGGGAGGCAAGGGAGTGGATTACATGGAGCAAGAGCTGCCTAGGCAGAGAGAAACAACAAGTAGGCCAGTGCAGCTAAAGTCAGAGAAAGAAAGAAGGGTGTAGAAAATGAGGCTAAAGAGGTAACTGGAGCCAGAGGAGAGCTCCATCGGTCATGGTAAGAACTTTGAATTTTATTCTCAAGTGAGAAAGAAAGCCACTGTAGGCTGAGAGCAGGTAAGAGACACTGAGAATGGGTTCCTTGGGCTGCTGCCTGGAGAACAGACTAAAGGGCAAGAGTATAAGTAGTTAGTTTAGAGGTTTGTGCAAAGTTCTGAGAAAGAGTTCTAACAGAAGTGGCTGGATGTAGGTCACAAATATGAAAGAATTTTCTGGTAAAACTGCAAGTGGTGTGAGAGAAGGGCAGTCAAAAATGATTCTTGTCTCAAAAAAAAAAAGATTCCTAGGTTTCTGGCTTAAGCAGCAAGGTAAATATGTTGTTGGTATATTATTAATACTTTAATTACAAGCTTTTTTTTTTTTTTTTTTTTGAGACAGAGTTTTGCTCTTGTTGCCCAGGCTGGAGCACAATGGCGCGATCTCGGCTCACTACAACCTCCACCTCCCAGGTACAAGCGATTCTGTCTCAAGCCTCCCAAGGAGCTCGGATTACAGGCATGCACCACCATGTCTGGCTATATATTTTTTGTATTTAGTAGAGATGGGGTTTCACCATGTTAGTCAGGCTGGTTGCAAACTCCTGACCTCAGGTGATCTACCAACCTCAGCCTCCCAAAGTGCTGGGATTATGGGAATGCGCCACTGTGCCTGGCCTAATTACAAGCTTTTAAGATAAGATGATTAACTGGACAATTTGATAATTATCCAGTTGCTTATACAGGCCTTACTGATAAACTGTGGTATGTTAATACAATAGAATTCTCTTTTTTTGTTGTTTTTTTGAGACCAAGTTTTGCATTGTAACCCAGGCTGCAGTGCAGTGGAATGATCTCGGCTCACTGTAACCTCCCAGGTTCAAGCGATACTCCTGCCTCAGCCTCACAAACTGCTGGAGTTACAGGCACCCACCACCACGCCCAGCTAATTTTTGTAGTTTTAGTCGAGACGAGGTTTCACTATGTTGGCCAGGCTGGTCTCAAACCCCTGGCATCAAGTGATCCGCCCACTTCGGCCTCCCAAAATGCTGGTATTGCAGGCATGAGCCACTGCGCCTGGCCTAGAATTCTACATAGCAATAAAAAACATGCAACTGGTACATGCAACAATGTGGATGAATCTCAGAATTGGTTAGATGCCTGACACAAAAAGGTACTACAGGATTTCATTTATACAAAGTTTTAAAAAAGGCAAAACAAATCTATAATGGTAGAAGTAAGAATACTACTTATTTTGGGGGGAGATAGAAACTGAGAAACAGAACAAGAATTCTAGGTGGTGATTATGCTCAGATGCATACATTTAAAAATAAAACCATGGTGCTCGCTTCTGCAGCATATATACTAAAATTGGTACGATACAGATTAGCATGACCCCTGCACAAGAATGACATACCAGTTTGTGAAACATTCCATATTTTTAGAGGGGTGTGTGTGTGTGTTAGAGAGAGACAGGGTCTCACTCTCTGTCACCCAGGCTGGAGTACAATGGCACAATCTTGCCTCACTACAATGTCAGCATCCCAGGATCAAATGATCCTCTGGCCTCAGCCTACCAAGTAGCTGAGACTACAGGTATGTGCCACCATGCCTGGCTAATTTTTGTATTTCTATAAGAGATGGGGTTTTGCCATGTTGCCCAGGCTGGTCTCAAACTCCTGGACTCAAGCAATCTGCCTGCCTCAGCCTCCCAAAGTGCTGGGATTATAAGCAGGAGGCAGTGTGCCTGGCTTGTAGGCGTATTTTAACAAAGAAGAACATTCAGACAACAGGAAAGAATTCTTGGAAATTAAGAATAAGAAAGCAGAAATACAAAATACACAGAAGAGCTAAAAGATATGGTTAAGGAATACTCCCAACTAAAGTAGAAGAAGAAAGAGAAAGAATGAAATCAGAGGATTGATCAATCAATCTAAGTCAAACATCCTAAAAATGAAAAGTCCAGAAAGAAAAATAGAAAAGAAAAAAACAAACAAACAAACAAAAAAAACCTGAGTCTTCAGCAAAAAGGATAGCAAAAGAAAGCCATACCAAGCCACATTATCTTGAAATGTCATAATGCTGGGGATAAAGGAAAGATTCTACAAGTGTCCACGGAGAAAAGGGGTCTCATAAAAAATCTGAAGAATCTTAACGGCATCAGACTTCTCAATAGCAACCCTCGGGGAAAAAAGGAATAATGCCTTGAAAATTCTGAGTCAAAATTATCCCTAACCTGGAGTCTTTTTAGCCAGTCAAGTTAACAATGAAATGTGGGTCTAGGTCAAGTTAACAATGAAATGTGGGTCTAGAACAGAGATATTTTATGTGTGCGTATTTTTAAAAATCATGGAGCGAATGCCTCCCTACTTCTGCCAAGCCTTACGCTGTGGAAAGAGCACCAACGGTCGGCAGGTGGTGGGGAAGAGCATGGAGAGAAACCTCCTGTTGGGGCCTGCTGGGACTGAGTGGAGCAGCAACAAGGAGAAAACTCTCCAGCATCCCAGGCCTGACGCTAAGCACAAGATAGTAACAGCTCATAGCTGAAGGAATTTGAAGTTTTTGGTATATAAATGTTAACTATAGTAACACCAAAACCCAAACCAGGCTAGACTGTTCAAGCCCCAACACTCACAGTCTGATAGAAGCACAGGTATCCATTTCCAAGGCTAAATGCTATTTAGCTTAGTCTCTACTATTCTTCTATACATGATGTACAGAATGCAATTTTAAAGAGACAGAGAAATACCAACAAGTTATCAAGAAATGAGGCAAAAAACAGAAAAAAACCCAGAGAACACTCAGATATATACTATACACCTACTAATAGTGTAAGTACACACTCCCACTGCTTCACTTGACAAGGCTTAAAAGCAAACAAAAAAACTAAAATAATTATGAATTGGTTATTTTTAAGCACCCCTCAAAACAGAAGACAACAAGTATTGGCAAAAATGTAAAGAAACTATAGTACAGCCAAAATGGAAACCAGTATGAAGGTTCCTAAAAAAATTAAAAATAGGCTGGGCACCGTGGCTTACGGCTGTATTCCCAGCACTCTGGGAGGCCAAGGCAGGAGGATCACTTGAGGTCAGGAGTTTGAGATCAGCCTGGCCAACATAGTGAAACCCCATCTCTAGTGAAAATACAAAAATTAGCTGGACATGGTAGCACGTGCCTATAATCCAAGCTACTCAGGAAGCTGAGGCAGGAGAATCACTTGAACCTGGGAGGCGGAGCTTGCAGTGAGCCAAGATCGTGCCACTGCACTCCAGGCTGGGTGACAGAGCGAGACTCCATCTCAAAAAAAAAAAAAAAAAAAAGAAAAAGAAGAAATCAGTATGTCAAAGAGATATCTGTACTCCCAGGTTCACTGCAGCATTTTTTCACAACAGCTAAGATATAGAATCAATCTAAGTGTTCATCAGTTGATGAATAAAGAAAATGTGGTATAAAAATACAAAAATTAGCCGAGCGTGGTGGTGTGCACCTGTCATCCCAGCTACTCGGGTACACATTTGTGTACATACACAATAGAATACTACCTCAGCCTTAAAAAAGAACAAAATCCTGTCATTTGTGAAACAGGGATAAATTTGCAGGACATTATATTATAAACTAAAGCCAGATATAGAAAGCCAAATACCACATGATCTCATCTAGATGTGTGTATATATACAAACGTACATATCTATATGTGAAATCTAAAACAGTCAAACCCATGGAAGCAGACAGTAGATAGGTAGTTAATCAGGGCTGGGGAGGAGGGAGAATCAGGGAGATGTCGATCAAAGGGTATAAAATTTCACTTGGAAAGAGGAGTAAGTTCAAGAGCTCTACTGTATAATATGGTGACTACAGTTAGTAACAATGTACTGTACATTTGAAAATTGCTAAGAGGGGGCAGGCACAGTGGCTCATGCCTGTAATCTCAACACTTTGGGAGGCCAAGGCAGGCGGACTGCTTGAAGTCAGAAGTTTGAGACCAACCTGGCCAATATGGTGAAGCCCCATCTCTACTAAAAATAAAAAATAAAAATAAAAAAATTAGCTGGGCATGGTGGCAAGTACCTGTAGTCTCAGCTACTCAGGAGGCTAAGGCATGAAAATTACTTGAACCTGGGAGGTGGAGGTTGCAGTGAGCTGAGACTGTGCCACTGCACTCCAGCCTGGGTGACACAGCGAGACTCCATCTCAAAAAAAAAAAAAAAAATTGCCAAGAGTTGCTAGGAGAGTAGATTTTCAATGTTCTCACCACACCCAAAAAAATGTATGTAAGGCAGTGGGTATGTTAATTGGCTTGATCTAGTCATTCCGCAATGTATACACATATCAAAACATCTTGCTGTACTCCATAAATATATACAACTTTTATTTGTTAATTAAAAAATACATTTTTTTAAAAAGAATGTGAAGAAACTGGAACCCTTCTATATTGCTGGTGGGAATGTAAAATGTAGCAGCCTCTGTGGAAAACACTTTGGCAGTTTCTCATAAAGCTAAACATATGTTCGTGCAAAAAAACTTATACATAAATTTCATAGTAGCATTATTATTATTGGAGACAGAGTCTCACTCTGTTGCCCAGGCTGGGGTGCAGTGGCACAATCTCGCAATCTCGGCTGGCTACAACCTCTGCCTTTTGCAGCACTTTGGGAGGCTGAGGCAGGTGGATCACCTGAGGTCAGGAGTTCGAGACCAGCCTGACCAACATGGTGAAACCCCATCTCTACTAAAAATACATAAATTAGCTGGGTATGGTGGCAGGCACCTGTAATCCCAGCTACTAGGGAGGCTAAAGCAGGAGAATCGCCTGAACCCAGGAGGTGTAGGTTGCAGTGAGATGAGATCACACGATTGCACTGCAGCCTGAGTGGCAGAGCAAGACTCTGTCTCAAAAAAAAAGAATTACTACAGTCTTCGCATCAAAAACTATGCAAGCCAGAGGACAAAGGAATGATAATTTTAAACACCAAAAGGACAGAAAAACCTACCAACACAAAGCTCTGTACCCAGCAAAAATGCCTTCTGAAAAAGAGTATAAAAGAAAGACTATCAGTCTGGTCCAAAGGCAGTGAGTTATCCCAACTGATTGCTCACAGTCAGTTACAGGTCAAACTCCCTGTTCCACTCTTCCCCTCTTCTCACTACTGCACTTGACTAGTCTTCAAAAAGACAAACAAGAAATACGATCAGAAAAACACAAACTGAGAAGATTCACTGCCAGCAAAACTGTTGCTGTTAAACTGTTATTCAGGCAGAAACAGTATGATAACAAATTGAAATCCGGATTGACATAAAGAAATAAAGAGCACTGGGAATGGTAAACATGAGGGTAAATATAAGACATTTTTTCCTTTTAAATTTTTCCTTGAAAGATAATTGCTGTCTAAAGTAAAAACTAGTAATAACAAACCAAGGGATTTATGACAGGTCAAAGTAAAGTGCACCAGTCAGATGCGGTGGCTCATGCCTGTAATCCCAGCACTTTGGAAGGCCGAGGTGGGTGGATCACCTGAGGTCAGGAGTTCAAGACTAGCCTGGCCAACAAGGTGAAACCACGTCTCTACTAAAAATACAAAAAAAGTAGCCAGGCAGCCGGGCGTGGTGGCTCATGCCTGTAATCCCAGGACTTTGGGAGGCTGAGGCGGGTGGATCACCTGAGGTCAGGAGTTCGAGACCAGCCAGGCCAACATGGTGAAAGCCCTTCTCTACAAAAATACAAAAAAATTAACTGGGCGTGGTGGCACATGCCTATAATCCCAGCTACTTGGGAGGCTGAGACAGGAGAATCGCTTGAACCCAGGGGGTGGAGGTTGCAGTGAGCCGAGACCATGCCATTGCACTCCAGCCTGGGCAACAGAGCGAGACTTCATCTCAAAAAAACAAACAATCAAACAAACAAAAAAACCAAAAGTAGCCAGGCATGGTGGCAGGTGCCTGTAATCCCAGCTACTCGGGAGGCTGAGGCACAAGAATTGCTTGAACCTGGGAGGCAGAGGCTGCAGTGAGCTGAGATTAGCTCACAGCACTCCACCCTGGGCAACAGATCAAGACTCCATCTCTAAATAAATAAGTAAATAAATAAAATGCATGACAATAATAGTGACAGGATGAGAGGAGGGAAGTGGAAGGATAATGTTGTACAATTCTTACACCATAAAATGGTATCACATTATTCGAAGCTAGATTTTAACAAGTCAAAAAGGATATAATGGGCCAGGCACAGTGGCTCACGCTGTAATCCCAGCACTTTGGGTGGCCAAGGTGGGTGGGTCACTTCGACCTAGGAGTTCGAGACCAGCTGGGCAAAATGGCAAAACTCCATCTCTACAAAAAATATAAAAATTAGCCAGGCACAGTGGCAGGTGCCTGTAGTCCCAGCTACTCAGGAGCTTAGGTGGGAGGATAACTTGAGCGTGGGAGACAGAGGTTGCAGTGAACCCAGATCGCCCTATTGCACTCCAGTCTGGGTGACACAGAAAAACCAGGTCTCAAAAAAAAAAAAAAAAAAAATGCATATAGTAAACCCTAGACTAACCACTTCAAACAAACAAACACACAAAATATTAAACAGTAAATTCACAAACCAAAACCAATCATAGAGAAAAAGTACCCAATCAAAAAGAAAAAGATGAAAAAAGAAATAAAGAACTGATGAGAAAAACAGAAAATATAAAAACAACTGGTAAGAAGGTAGATTTAAATCCAACTATACCTGGCCGGGCATGGTGGTTCACGCCTGTAATCCCAGCACTTTGGGAGGCTGAGGTGGGTGGATCACTTGAGGTCAGGAGTCCAAGACCAGCCTGGCCAACGTGGTGAAACCCTGTCTCCACTAAAATTACAAAAATTAGCCGAGTGTGGTGGCATGTGCCTGTCATCTCAGCTACTTGGGAGGTTGGGGCAGGAGAATCTCTTGAACCCAGGAGGCGGAGGTTGCAGTGAGCTGAGCTCACACCACTGCACTCCAGCCTGGGAGACAGAGTGAGACTCTGTCTCAAAAAAAAAAAAAAAAAAAAAAAAAAAATCCAACCACACCAACAATTACATTAAATAAAAATAATATGACACCTTATTTAAAAGACAGAGATTGTCAGGATGGGGGTGGTGGGGAGAGAGAAGCAAGACCCAACTATATGCTATCTGAAAGAAACCCATTTTAAACATAAAGCCATAGATAGGTTAAAAGGAAATGGATAGAAAAAAGATATACCATGCAAATATTAATAAAAAGAAAGCTGCAATGTTTTACTAATATGAGACAAATGAGAAGTCAGAACAGAGAATATTAACTCAAAATGGATCATAGACCTAAATGTAAAAGCAAGAACTACAAAACTTATAAGAGAAAAAAGGGAATCTATGACCTTTGGTTAGGCAAAGATCTCTTAAAACACAAAAAGTACAAACCACAAAAGAAAATTTTGACTTAATTAAAATGTAAAACCTGCTTTTGAACAGTCAAGAAAATGCAAACTACAGGCCAAGCATGGTGGCTCACGCCTATAATCCCAGCACTTTGGGAGGCCTGGGAGGTGGATGGCTTGAGTCCAGGAGTTCAAGATCAGCCTGGGTGACATGGCAAAACCCCATCTCCATCAAAAATACAAAAATTAGCCAGGCATGGTGGCGCATGCCTATAGTCCCAGCTACTCAGGAGGCTGAGATGAAGAGGTCACTTTAGCCCGGGAGGTGGAGCTTGTAGTGAGCCGAGATTGCATCACTGCCACTTCAGCCTGGGTCACAGAGTGAGACCCTGTCAAAAAAAAAAAAACCACAACAAAACAAAAAACAAAAAGAAATATTTAAAAAAAAAAAAAGAAAATGCCAACTACAGACTGGGAGACCATATTTGCAAATCACCATCTGATAAAGTTGCTATATCCAGAATATATAAAGAATTCTTGCAACCAAATTATAAGACAAATAATTCAATTAAAACATGGGAAAATATTTGAACAGACACTTCACCAAAGAAGATATATGAATGACAAATAAGCACGAGGAGCCCAATAATATTAGTCATCAGGGATATGCAAATTATATTAATAATTACCTATTATTACACATTTGCTAAAATGCCTACAATTAAAAAGAACTAACAATACCAAGTTCTGGCAAAAATGCAAAAGCAACAGGAACTTTCATACACTGATGGTAAAATGTTACAGCCACTTTGGAAACTGGTTTGGCAGTTTGTTTAAAAGTTAAATACATACTTACCCAGCAAGCCCACTTTTAGGTATTTACTCAAGAGAAATGACAACTTATGTCCGTACAAACACCTGTACACGTGTTCATCACTATTTTATTTATAATAGCCAAATACCTAGAAAAAAACAGAAATACGGGTAAGCTTAAGCACAAAAAAATAAACAACAAAGACTCTCCCTCCCCGAGAAATATCTGTCATCTGCTGAAGGGAAAAACAAATTGTGGCATACATATATAATGGAATCTGACTCTGCAAGAAAAAAGGAACTAGAGATATATGTAACATAAAAGCGTATATATTGTATGATTCCATTTAAATAACATTCTGGAAAAAGCAAAATTATAGGAACTGGTTGTTAGGGGCTGAGGTTGTGGGGAGGCCATTGATTATTAAGGGGCACAAGGAAACTTTTTGGGTGATGAAAATATTCTGTATCTTAATCAGGGTGCTGGTTACACAACTGTGTATTCATCAAACTACATACTTACAATTCATCAAACTACATACTTACATGTCAATTCATCAAACTACATACTTACAAAGTTTAAAAAGGTAAATTTTATGGAATGTAAATTACACTTTAACAAACCTGATCTCCCATGCCCAAAGGCAAACAAAACATAAAAAGTCATAGGCAAAACTAATGTATGATGATGGAAATTAGAATGGTGGTTATCTTTAGTGGGAATGACTGGGAAGGGGCATCCAAGAGGTTTCTTGGGTGCTGGTACCGATTTGAGTGTTGGTGGCACAGATGTCTTCTGTTTGTAAAAGTTCACTGAGCTCTACCCTAGATTTGTAGACCTTACAGTAGTTATATTTTAATAAATAAGTACAAATAAATAATTAGTGCTATTTTAACTGCTCATTGTAGAAAATGTGGAAAATCACATTTTAAACACAAAGAAGCAAAACATACAATTTTGGAGTAGAAGAGGACTTTTTTTTTTTTTTTGAGACAGTCTAGCTCTGTCACCAGGCTCGAGAGCAGCAGCGTGATCTCAGCTCACTGCAACCTCTGCCTCCCGGGTTCAAGCGATTCTCCTTCCTCAGCCTCCCAAGTAGCTGGGATTACAGGCATGCACTGCCACACCCAGCTAATTTTTGTATCTTTAGTAGAGATGGGGTTTCACCATGTTGGCCAGGATGGTCTCAATCTCCTGACCTCGTGATCCGCCCACCTTGGCCTCCCAAAGTGCTAGGATCACAGGTGTGAGCCACCACACCCACCCATGAAGGTAAAAAGTGAGAGACCTGATTAGACAAAAACATAACTAAAATAAGGTAAAACGTATTAAAAATATAGTTAAAATTGAAATTGGAAGAAAATTTTCATAACACACTATCAAAGGTTAATACCCTTACTATGCAAGAAATTTATCCAAACAAAAAATAATAGCTAAAAGAAGCAGTAAGTCATAAAAGGGAAAATTCTAATGAACAAGAAACGTAAAAAGATGTTCAACCTCAGCCGGGCGTGGTGCCTAATGCCTGTAATCCCAGCGCTTTGGGAGGCCAAGGTGGGCAGAACACGATCACATGAGCTCAAGAGTTTGAGACCAGCCTGGCCAACATGGCAAAATCCCATCTCTACTAAAAATACAAAAATGAGCTAGGTGTGGTGGTGCACGCCTGTAATCCCAGCTGCTTAGGAGGCTGAGAGGCATGAAAATGGCTTGAGCCCGGGAGGCAGAGGTTGCAGTGAGCCAAGATCACACCACTGCATTCCAGCCTGGGCTACAGAGTGAGACTGTCTCAAAAAAAAAAAAAAAAAAAAAAAAAAAAAAAAAAGTTCCGTCTTACTAACAGTTGAGGAAATAAGATGCATTTTCACCTATCAGGTTGGCAAAAATTAAAAACACTGATAACATCAAGGCTGATGGGGTGTCAGGAAATGGGCATCTGTAAACATTCTAGGTTGGGCACAGTGGCTCACACCTGTAATCCCAGCACTTTGGGAGGCCAAGGCAGGAGGATCACTTTGAGACCAGGAGTCTGAGACCAGCCTGGGTATCACAAAGAGAACCCGTCCTTACAAAAAAAATACAAAAATTAGCTCGGTGTAATGGCGTATACCTGTAGTCCCAGCCACCCAAGAAACTGAGGTCAGAGGATCACTTGAGGCTAGGAGTTCCAGGCTGCAGTGAGCAATGACTGTGTCAACGCACTCTAGCTTAGGTGACAGAATAAGACTTTGTCTCTAAACACACACACACACACACACACACACACTCTCTCTCTCTCTCTCTCTCTCTCTCTCTCTCCTCTCTAAATGTTAAACTTTTTGACAAGTATTCTGGTACTATATAATAAAACTAGAAGTATGTGTCTCCTTGAATCCAACAATCTCCCATAAGCATCTATCCAAAATTAAATATATGCGTATGTAAGGAAGGATATTTATTAAAGAATTGTAATAACAAAAAAACCTAACAGCCTGAATATCCATTAATTGGGAAGTGGTCAAATTAGAGTATTGCCACATAAAACAACATTAAGTAGCTTTTATAAAAAAATTAAAGTCCATAGTTTACCTTAGGGTTCACTTTTTGTTTTGTACAGTTCTATAGGTTTTGACAAATACATGTAATGAATCCATCATTATATAACTGTTTCACCACCCTAAAAATCCTGTGTTCTGCCTATTCATCCCTCTGCTCATCCTGAACCTTTATCAACCATTTATCTTTTTACTCTCTCTCTAGTTTTGCCTTTTCCAGAATGTCAAATGGTTAGAATCATAAAGCAAGTGGCTTTTTCTGGTTTCCTTCACGAAGGAATAAACACATGGAGTTCCTCTATGTCTTTCAGTGTCTTAAAAGCTCATTTCTTCTTATAAGTGAGTATCACTGAATTAAATTTCACTGTATGAAAAAAAAAAAATTCAGCTGGGTATGGTGGTACATGCCTGCAGTCCCAGCTACCAGAAAGGTGAGGTAGGAGGATCGCTTGAGCCCAGGAGGTCGAGTAGAGAAAGTTATTTCAATACTTGACTGGAAATTTTAGTAACTTTTTTGATTAAATTTCTCTAATAGGCTGAGCACAGTGGCTCACGCCTGTAAGCCCAGCACCTTGGGAGGCTGAAGTGGGAGGCTCCCTTGAGCCCAGGAGTTTGAGACCAGGCCAGGCAACATAGCGAGATTCCATTCTCTACAAAAAGTTTAAAAATCAGCCGAACGTGGTGGTGTGCACCTGCAATCTCAGCTACTTGGGGGAGCTGAAGAGGGAGGATTGCTTAAGCCTGGGAGGTCGAGGCTATGCGATCAATCAGGTGAACCATGATCACTCCAGTCCAGGCAACAGAGCAAGACCTTGTCTCAAAAAAAATCTAAAATAGTTTAAAAACTTAGTTTCTTTTTTAGAATTTATAACTGTACTCATAAAATATCTGATGAGAATTTTCGCTGACCAAAGAAATGCTGTAATTTTGTTCTAACAGTTTTACTGAGTTGACTGTTATTCTTAGGCTGCAACATTCATTCATCATTTCAACTCAGCTATAAAGAAATATATAACAAGAAAATTGGCAAGCTCTATGAAGAAAAATAAACCAGAATTTAAGGTATGTAACGTGATGATAATAGATGAGATGGGGTCAAGATCTTTTAGATAAGATGGCTAGGACAGACCCTAGAGATGTAACATTTGGGGAGACAACCTAATTTAAAAAGTGAGCAATGCAAATCTCTGGAGAAGTAGCTGTGATCCTAGCAATTTGATGTCAACCTTAAGAAAAAGAAAAAAATAATAATAAAGGCCACTGGCCGGGTGCGGTGGCTCACGCCTGTGATCCCAACACTTTGGGAGGCCAAGGCAGGACTGCCTCAGCCTAGGAGTTTGAGACCAGCCTGGGCAACATGGTGAAACCCTATCCCTATCAAAAGTACAAAAAATTAGCCAGGCATGGTGACGTGCATGCCTGTGGTCCCAGCAACTTGGGAGGCTAAGGTGGGAGGATTGCTTGAGTCTGGGGGCACCTATACTCCAGCAGCCTGGGTGACAATGTGAGACCCTGTCTCAAAAAAAAAACAAAAAACAAAAAACGATGTTTGCCTGTAGTAAGGACTTTACACAAACTCTTATTAGTCAAAGTTTGAAATACCAACTCTCCATCCCTGGTGATGTCCTAAAATGTTCTTCCCTTCATCACTTTCTTGGGTTGCCTTCTCCTTGAATCCCACTGCAACCCAAGCTTAGTAGAATGTTTAATAATTAAACATCAGTGTTAGGCACTCTTCTAGGTGCTAGAGGGACAGTGATAACTAGAACTTGATTCTGCCCTCAAAGCATTAGTGGATTTAAGCAGAACATTTGTCCCTTTCCATTTTCAAATATTAATTTTGCATATACCAGATCAAGTCTTTAGTATAATCACTTCCAGATCTTTAACTCCAAACTTCATCTCTTTATTCTCTTTCTGAAGCTCTTGTATTCTTAAATGCTTGCTACATGTGCTGCCAGAACTTAAAATTCAGATTATCCAAAATTTACTTCATTAGTTTCTCTCTTCAACCCATGCTCCCAATTTCCATGAATGATAGCAAAGTCTGACAATCAGTGGTTCTTCCTTTCTCCCTCAGGAACAGTTTACTTTCTTGACTTAGCGTTCAGGATCTTCCACAGTCCACAATGTCTGTTACTCATGTCTGGTCACTGAACATTTTCATATGCTGACTATGAGGACAGACAAGCATGAAAAGTACTGGAAGCAAGGGAAGAAGAGAAAGTTTAGTATTGCTGATCATAATGTGTGATGTTGGATGGGAAAGGAGACGACATTGAAGCAAGCAGCAGGGCAGGTCTTAGAGTTGTCTATCTTGTATACCCAACTAAAACGTCAAACTTTATTTTTTTTATTTCTTCTCACAGAACCAATTCGGTAAGAAAGGAGTTAGAACATTCAGTGTGTTACAGGGAATGACTAAAGCAGTATCTTATTTTTACCTACAGCAGCTACGTTAAACTATTTGAATAAATAAATGAATTGGAAGGGGTCGGTAGCAAAAATATTACATATTCAGAGTCATAAACACATTTTTTTTTCTTGAGATGGAGTCTCGCCTTGTCACCCAGGCTGGAGTGCAATGGCGTGATCTTGGCTCACTGCAACTGCTGCCTCCCAGGTTCAAGCGATTTTCCTGTCTCAACCTCCCAAGTAGCTGGGACTATAGGCATATGCCACCATGCCCGGCTAATTTTTGTATTTTTGGTAGAGACGGGGTTTCCCCATGTTGGCCAGGCTGGTCTCGAACTCCTGACATCAGGTGGTCCACCTGCCTCGGCCTCCCAAAGTGCTGGGATTACAGGCGTGAGCCACTGCACCCAACCCAGAGTCACATATTAAATTGCTCACATTTACAATGTAGAAGATGGATTTAAATAGGGAGAGGTAAGGCTGAAGGTTGGGAGACCATAGAGGCCATTAAAAAGTCCAGACAAGGGGCTGGGCGCGGTAGCTCACGCCTGTAATCACAGCACTTTGGGAGGCCAAGGCGGGAGGATCACCTGAGGTCAGGAGTTCGAGACCAGCCTGGCCAACATGGTGAAACCCCGTCTCTACTAAAAATTACAAAAATTAGCCGGGATGGTGGCCCACGCCTGTAATCCCAACTACTCGGGACGCTGAGGCAGGAGAATTGCTTGAGCCCAGGAGGTGGAGGTTGCAGTGAGCCAAGATTGTGTCATTGCACTCCAGCCTGGCCGACAGGGCGAGACTCTGTCTCACAAAAAAAAAAAAAAGTCCAGACAAGGATACGGAGTGCTTGCTTTGGCAGCACACATACTAAAATCAGAAGGCCACAGAGATGAGCATGGCCCTTGCACACGGATGACATGAAAATTCATGAAGTATTCCATATTTTTAAATGTATTGTCCTTTTTTTTTTTTTTTGTGAGACACAGTCTTGCACTGTTGTCCAGGATGCAGTGTAGTGGCACAAACACAGCTCATTGCAGTCTCAATCCTCCCACCCCAGCCTCCTGAGTACCTGGGACTACAGGTGATGCCACCATGCCCCAGCTAATTTTTTAATATTTTTTTTGTAGACACAAGGTCTCACTATGTTGCCAGACCTGGTCTTAAAAAATCCTCTGGCCTTAGCCTCCCAAGTGCTGGGATTATAGGTGGGAACCACTGGGCCCAGCCTGTACTGTCTATTTCAAAATAGATAGGAGAGGACTGTTGCATGTTCTCACCACAAAGTGATCAACATGTGAGATGACGGAGACACTAATTAACTTGATTTGATCATTACACGAAGTATACGTATATCAAAACATCACACTATATCCCAGAAATATGTACATTATGTGTCAACTAAAAATCAAACTAAAAGAGATAATGGAGTTCCCAACAGTAGGAATGGAGAAAAAAGGCGAATTTGAGAAATATTTTTCTTTTCTTTCTTTTTGCTTCTATTCACTGTGAATACTGTATTATAGTTTGACTATTTATTTATTTATTTGCACAGAGTCTTAACTCTGTGGCCCAGGCTGGAGTGCAGTGGTGCAACTGCCACTCACTGCAGGCTCAATCTCCCAGGCTCAAGCAATCGTGCCACCTCAGCCTTCCAAGTAGCTGAAAATACAGGTGCACACAACCACGCCTGGCCAATTAAAAAAAAAAATTTTTTTTTAATTTTTAGTAGAGATGAGGTCTTGCTATGTTGCTCAGGCTGTTCCTGAACTCCTGAGCTCAAGTGATTCTCTTGCCTCAACCTCCCAGTCTCTTGTACCTGGGATTACAAATGTGAGCCACCACACCTGGCCAGAGAAATATTCAGCAAGTTAACATTAGTGAAGCTTGGCACTGACTCGATTTGGAAGCACGGGGGAGGAACAGGTGCAGAAGGAATCCAGGCTGATTCTTGCATTGGATGACCAAGCGGAGTTGAGTCAGAAAGTAAATCCAGGCCAGGTGCGGTGGTTCACGCCTGTAATCCCAGCACTTTGGGAGGCCTAGGCAGGCAGATCACCTGAGGCCAGGAGTTTGAGACCAGCCTGGCCAACCTGGCGAAAACCCGTCTCTACTAAAAACAGAAAAATTAGCCGGGCGTGATGGGACACGCCTGTAATCCCAGCTACTTGGGAGGCTAAGACAGGAGAATTGCTTGAACCTGGGAGGTGAAGGCTGCAGTGAGCCGACAGTGCACCACTGCACTCCAGCCTGAGCAACAGAGGGAGACTCTGCCTCAAAAAAACAAACAAACAAAAAAAAAACTAAAAACAAAAAAAAGTAAATCCAAAAATCAAGAAAATGGGGGGAAAAAAAACAAAGAAATGCCCTTAGTTTTACTCATATAAGCCTGAGGGACTTCTGGGGATGGCCAAGGACAAACATTTGTATACATCAGTCTACAACTCAGAGGGAAAGTACGGGATTCTGTTATCAGACTATAGGAAGTAGCAGCACTTAAAAACTAGGAAAGTAGGCCGGGCGTGATGGCTCCTGCCCCTTATCCCAGCACCTTGGGAGGCTGAGGTGGATGGATCATCTGAGGCCAGGAGTTCAAGACCAGCCTGGCCAACATGGTGAAACCCGTCTCTACTTAAAAAAATACAAAAATTAGCCAGGCATGGTGGCGCAAACCTGTAGTCTCAGCTACTAGGGAGGCTAAGGCACGAGAATCAATTGAACCCGGGAGGTGGAGGTTGCAGTGAGCCGTGATCACACCACTGCACTCCAGCATGGATGATAGAGCAAGACTCCGTCTCAAACAAACAAAAACCCAAACTAGGAAACTGGATGAATTATACAGATGAATTATACAGAATGATAGCAGATGAATTATACAGAATGATGGCAAGCAGCAGGCCAAGCACCCTATAATAGAGAAAAATGAAAAAAGAATGGGAAGAAAACCAGAAAAGTAGCCAAATGACAGCTAATATTAACTGATCATTACCATTCTCGGTTACCATGTCAGCCTCTGCACATGAATTGCTTCAATGAACCCTCCCAATAATCCTAAAAGATAGTCCTTTTATTACAGTGTTTTAGATGAGGAAGCTGAGACAGGTATTGCATGATAGCTGAGAATGGGTATAGAGTCAGACTGCCAGAGCACAAATCCTGGCTTTACTAACTATATGTTTCAGTTTCCTGTAGTTTAAACAGGAGATAGCAATATCAATGCCATAGGGTTTCATAAATTAATTACCATGTTAAATGGTGCCTGGCACAAAAGCAGCACTCATATACCACTAGGTGGGAGTATAGAGAATGTTAAAGAAATGCAATATGTAATGTCAAATGATAACCTGCAGAATAAACTAGTATTTGACAGGATTTCCACCCCTTTTATGTATAAATATGTGTGTAAGTATATATATATATTTATGTATGTATATAGACTAGATGCTTCTAAGGTGAATTCACAATACAAATGTTCCCCTAAAAATGCTACCCTAATTCATCAAGCAGAAAGACACTTTAACATATTAATGATTTTTAAAATTTCCACTGTTAATTGGTAGATGAAATAAGATTAAGCCAGAATGAGGCTTTTCCTGACACTGGATAGTTTATAATCATGTAAACATATCTCTCAGACAATAAAGCAATATTTTATAAATATTTATTGACAGCTACAGACTTTGTTTTGCATTTTGAGGTTGATTCACTATTTAATTTTCCAAATTAGGAGACCATTCAAAAGGACTACGTTGAAATAGAAATCAAAACACATCCCTAAATGTAAATATTTATAGCTTGTATAATATTCATGTAAAGATATAGCAGAACTAGTTCTTTTAACCACTTTGGTGTTATAATGAGGGAAGATCAGAATCTACTAAGTTCTAAACTCATTTCCTCTCTACTGAACACAGTAAAAGACCCTGATATCAGAGAAATAACAAACAAAAGGCATAATTATTGAACTATCCAGAAAAAAACGGATATTAAGAGGATAAAAAGTTCACATGTGCTTTGTAGATCAGATGTGAAGGATAAAAAGAACTGAAAATCATGTACGGTCAGTTGCAACTTCACTAAACATAAGAATTAGACTTAAGCTATCAAACCGTTTTAAAAGTTTCCTTCCTGGCCCTTGGCATTGATTACTACTGCCATCTAGCAGGAGGTCCAAAAATTAAAATTACGAGAACTGTAAAAAATCATCAGGACATAATTCCAATCTCCAAATAGAAAGATGTTTACCATATTAATAATTACTTAAATTTCAGGCCGGGCACAGTGGCTCACACCTATAAACCCAACACTTTGGGAGGCCGAGGCAGGTGTATCACTTCAGTCCAGGAGTTCGAGACCAGCTTGGCCAACATGGCGAAACCCTGTCTCTACTAAAAACACAAAAACTGGCCAGGTGTGGTGGCTCACACTTGTAATCCCAGCACTTTGGGAGCCCAAGGCGGGTGGATCACCTGATGTCAGGAGCTCGTTACCAGCCTGACCAACATGGTGAAACCCCTTCTCTACTAAAAATACAAAAATTAGCTGGGCCTGGTGGTGGGTGCCTGTAATCCCAGCTACTCTGAGGGATGAGACAGGGAGAACTACTTGAACCAGGAGGCAGAGGTTGCAGAGAGCCAAGATCGTGCCACTGCACTCCAGCCTGGGCGACAGAGCGAGACTCCCTCTCAAAAAAAAAAAAAGAGAAGTGAAGGGAGAAATATTCAGGGAAATAGATAGCTTAAAGAAAAAACAAGGCTGAGCACAGTGGCTCACGCCTGTAATCCCAACACTTTCGGAGGCTGAGGCAGGCAGATCACCTAAGATCAGGAGTTTGAGACCAGCCTGGTCAATATGGTGAAACCCCATCTCTACTAAAAATACAAAATTAGCCAGGCATGGTGGCACATGCCTATAATCCCAGCTACTTGGGAAGGCTGAGGCAGGAGAATCGCTTGAACCCAGGAGGCGGAGGTTGCGGTGAGCCAAGATCGCACCATTGCACTGCAGTCTGGGCAACAAAAGCGAAACTACATCTCAAAAAAAAAAAAAAAAAATTAGCTGGGCATGGTGGTGCGTGCCTGTAGTCCCAGCTACTTCGAAGGCTGAGGCAGGAGAATCGCTTGAACCTAGAGGCAGAGGTTGCAGTGAGCTGAGATTGTGCCACTACACTCTGTCTCCAAAAAAAAAAAAAATGGATTCACAGCAGAATTCTACCAGACATTCAAAGAATTGGTACCAATCCTTTTGACACTATTCCACAAGATAACAAAGGAACTCTCCCTAATTCATTCTATGAAGCCAGCATCACCCTAATACCAAAACCAGGAAAGGACATAACCAAAAAACAAAACTATAGACCAATATCCTTGATGAACATAAATGCTAAGATCCTTAACAAAATACTAGCTAACTGAATCCAACAACATATCAAGAAGATAATCCTCCATGATCAAGTAGGTTTCATACCAGGAATGCAGGGATGGTTTAACATACACAAGTCAATAAATGTGATGTACCACATAAACAGAATTAACAACAAAAATCACATGATCATCTCAATAGATACAGAAAAAGCATTTGACAAAATCCAGCATCCCTTTATGATTAAAACTCTCAGCAAAATCAGCATATAAGGGACATACCTTAATGTAATAAAAACCATCTATGACAAACCACAGCCAACATAATACTGAATGGGGAAAAGCTGAAAGCATTCCCTCTGAGAACTGGAACAAGACAAGGATGCCCACTCTCACCACTCCTCCTCAATGTACTACTGGAAGTCCTAGCCAGAGGAATTAGACAACAGAAAGAAATAAAGGGCATCCAAATCAATAAAGAGGAAGTCAAACTGTCACTGTTTGCTGAAGACATGGTCAATTACCTTGAAAACTGTAAGGACTCCTCCAGAAAGCTCCTAGAACTGATAAAAGAATCCAGCAAAACTTTTGGATACAAGATTAATGTACACAAATCAGTAGCTCTTCTATACATCAACAGCGACCAAGCAGAGAATCAAATCAAGAACTCAACCCCTTTTACAATAGCTGCAAAAACAAACAAACAAACAAAACTTAGGAATATACCTAACAGGCTGGGTAGTGGCTCAAGCCTATAATCCCAGCACTTTGGAAGGCCGGGGCAGGTGGATCACTTGAGGTCAGGAGTTCGAGACCAGCCTGGCCAACATGGTGAAACCCCATCTCTATCAAAAATACAAAAAAATCAGTCAGGCGTGGTAGTGCACACCTGTAGTCCCAGCTACTTGGGAGGCTCAGGCAGGAGAACTGCTCAAACTCGGGAGGTGGAGGTTGCAGTGAGCCAGAGCAAGGCTCTATCTCAAAAAAGAAAGAAGAAAAAAAGAATATACCTAACAAAGGAGTCAAAAGACCTCTACAAGGAAAACTACAAAACACTGCTGAAAGAAATCATAGACAACACAAATGGAAACACATCCCATGTTCATGGACGGGTAGAATCAGTATTGTGAAAATGACCATGCTGCCAAAAGCAATGTGCAAATTCAATGCAATCCCCATCAAAATACCACGATCATTCTTCACAGAACTAGAAAAAACAATCCTAAAATTCATATGGAACCAAAAAGGAGCCCGCATAGCCAAAGCATGACTAAGCAAAAATAACAAATCTGGAGGCATCACACTAACTGATTTCAAACTATACCATAAGGCCATAGTCACCAAAACAGCATGGTACTGGTATAAAAATAGGCACACAGACCAATGGAACAGAATAGAGAACCCAGAAATAAACCCAAATACTTACAGCCAACTGATCTTCGACAAAGCAAACAAAAACATAAAGTGGGGAAAGGACACCCTTTTCAACAAATGGTGCTGGGATAATTGGCTAGCCACATGGAGGAAAAATGAAACTGGATCCTCATCTCTCACCTTATACAAAAATAAACTCAAGATGGATTAAGGACTTAAACCTAAGACCTGAAACTAACAATTCTAGAAGACAACATTGGAAAAACCCTTCTAGACATTGGCTTAGGCAAGGATTTCATGACCAAGAACCCAAAAGCAAATGCAATAAAAACAAAGATAAATAGCTGGGACATAATTAAACTAAAGAGCTTTTGCACAGCAAAAGGAATTGTCAACAGAGTCAATAGACAACAACAGAGTGGGAGAAAATCTTCACAATCTATACATCTGACAAAGGACTAATATCCAGCATCTACAACGAACTCAAATCAGTAAGAAAAAAAACAAACAAGCCCATCACAATGTGGGCTAAGGACATGAAGAGACAATTCTCAAAAGAAGATATACAAATGGCCAACAAACCTATGAAAAAATGCTCAACATCACTAATGATCAGGGAAATGCAAATCGAAACCACAATGTGATACCACCACACTCCTGCAAGAATGGCCATAAGTGAAGAATAAAAAAACAAGAGATGCTGGCGTGGATGTGGTAAACAGGGAACACTTCCGCACTGCTGGTGGGAATGTAAACTAGTGCAACCACTATGGAAAACAGTGTGGAGATTCCTTAAAGAATTAAAAAGCAGAACTAACATTTGATCCAGCAATCCCACTACTGGGTTATCTACCCAGAGGAAAAGTCATTATTTGAAAAAGATACTTGCACACGCATGTTTATAGCAGCACAATTCACAACTGCATAATCGTGGAACCAATCCAAATGCCCATCAATCAACAAGTGGATAAAGACACTGTGGTGGGTGTGTGTGTGTGTATATATATGTGTGTGTATATATATGTGTATATATATAATGGAATACTACACAGCCATAAAAAGAAATGAATTAACAGCATTTGCCATGACCTGGATGAGACTGGAGACTATTATTCTAAGTGAAGTAACTCAGGAATAGAAAACCAAACATCATATATTCTCACTGATATGTGGGAGCTAAGCTATGAGGACACAAAGGCATAAGAATGATACAATGGACTTTGGGGACTTGGCCGGGGGAGGGGGGGCAAGGGATTAAAAGACTACAAATATGGTGTAGTGTATACTACTCAGGTGATACGTGCACCAAAATCTCACAAATCATCACTAAAGAACTTACTCATATAACCAAATACCACCTGTACCCCAATAACTTACGGAAAAATTTTTTTTTTTTCAAAACAGCCTCGCTCTGTTACCCAGGCTGGAGTGCAGTGGCACGATCTTGGCTCACTGCAACCTCCGCCTCCCAGGTTCAAGTGATCCTCCTGCTTCAGCCCCCCAGTAGCTGGGACTACAGGCACGCACCATCATCCCCGGCTAATTTTTGTATTTTTAGTAGAGACAGGGTTTTGCCATGTTAGCCAGGCTGGTCTCAAACTCCTGACCTCAGGTAATCCACCCGCCTCGGCCTCCCAAAGTGCTGGGATTACAGGCATGAGCCACCGTTCTTGGCCAAAAAGTAAGTTTTAAAAAAAAGTCACTGCCCCCCCAAAAAAGAAAATTACAAGAAGCTACATTAGCTGGGCACTGGGTTGCATGCCCATAGTCCCAGCTAGGAGGCTTACGTGGGAACATCAGTTGAGCCCAAGAGTTTGAGTCCACCATAGGCAACATAGTGAGAACCCTATCTCTAAAAATAAATTTAAAAGTAAAACAATAATGAAACTACAGAATAAACAGTCTTTTCTCTAGAACAGCAATGCTTAAATATAATTCAAAACAGCATCAACCATGAACATATAAAACTGAATGCAAAAGTCACATAAAATTTTAAATTATAAGATTAGAATTCAAAGAAATTTTACTCTTCTAAAGCATTAATTCAGGCTTTGTTTCCAAATATCACAGGAATATTCATTTACCTTTGCTATTAAAGATATTCCAGTGGAAAAATTGGCGAAGCTCCAACCTGTGGTGACTTAGGTTATTTTCACAGTAATAAGAAAGTCTAACTCAGCAACCATTTACTGTGAATTTGTTTTTCTCTTATAGTCCCTGTGAGACTTTATGGGATAGGATGTTTTACTCTTCTTTATACCTTCCTGTGGTAGGCTGAACACTGGCCCTCAAAGATACAAAGGTCTTAATTCCTGGAATCTATGACTGTTTCATTATATGACAAAAGGGACTTTACAAAGTATGTTGAGATGGAGAGAGTATCCTTGTTTATCTGGGGGGGTCCTTAATATAATCACAAATGTCCTCATAAGAGAGGCAGAGGGAGATGTGACTACAGATGAGAAAGTGGTATGATGATAGCATGATGTCCTGTGCAGAAAAGAGCCACAAGCCAAGGAAGACAGGCAGCCACTACAAGCTGAAAAAGGTAAGGAAATGGATTTTCTTCTCACAGCCTCCAGAAGGAATTGGGCCTGCAACACTTTGACTTTAGTCCAGTGAAACTGATTTCATACTTCTGACCTCCAGAACTAAAAGACAATAAATGAGGCTGAGCATGGTGGCTCATGCCAGTAATGCCAGAACTTTGGGAGGCCAAGGTGGGAGGACTGCTTGAGCCCAGGAGTTTGAGACCCACCTGGGCAACATAGCGAGACCTCATCTCTACCAAAAAAAAAAAAAAAAAAAAGGAAGAGGTGACTCTCTTGAGTACATCTGCACTCCCCTTTCTTAAGTGTGTACTTTTCACCAAAGGAAAAAAAAAAAAGAAAGAAACAAAGGCAGAAAGAATAAATGTGTGTTATTCGAAGTCACTAAATCTGTTGTAATTTGTTACAGTAGCTATATGAACAAAATACACCCTTTTGACAGTTTGGCGATAATCTGTACATAATCTGCCCTAAAATATTGAACAGAATTAACATAAAGACCATTCCAGTTCAGATTTATCAAAATTCTCTTGTATTTTCTACCAAGTAAATGAAAATATCTTAAACACATGGAAATCACTGAAAATGTAGTTCTTTAAAGCACATAGGGAAAAAGTAAAAAAGCAGTAGCATCTTCAGTCGTATTTGCAGCTCATAGTGTCAGTTGCAGAAAAAGTAGTCATGACTTTAGTACAAAAGTACAACTCAAAAACTTCACGGGTTTGGCACAGTGGCTCGTGTGTAATCCCTGCCACTTGGGAGGCTGAGGCAGGAGGATCACTTGAGCTCAGAAGTTCGAGGCTGCAGTGAGCTAAGACTGTGCCACCGCACTCCCGTCTGGAAAAACACCCTGTATTTACAAAGTGAGAGAAAAGAACCCAAAAAGTAGTTACATGGGCTTGATCTTACTTTTGCTTTACAATAGCTACAACAATCTAAGGTAAGAATACAAACCAGGTAAGTAACATAGCTGCATTCACAGGAAAGTATTCCTGAATACTGAACAAGGAGATAAGCAGTCCATAGACGTTTCAGAGGATTTCTCACTTAAATGGTACTTGACTGCAAGTTACCACTGTTTTACTCGGCCATAGGTTGCAGTGCAGTCCAGGCTCCACAAGAAAGAATTTGAAAAGCAGAAACAGTCACGTGGCTTTCATCGGTAACATATTTTGTATCTATTAAATTATTTAATCCTCAGAACTCTAAGTAGTCAAGTTTGGTATTTATTTCAATTATACAGGTGAAAAAGCTGATGCTGACTTGTCCAGTCAAAGGTCAGTAACTGGTGCCTACTGCGATGTCTTTCCTCTAGATCATTTTACCTTGGTAACAATCGATTAATTCACTTCTAGGTGTGTTTTATTGACTTTTTTTTTTCTCTTTTTTGAGACGTTGTCTCACTCTGTCGCCCAGGCTGGAGTACAGTAGCACGATCTTGGCTCACTGCAACCTCTGCCTCCCGGGTTCAAGCGATTCTCCTGCCTCAGCCTCCCGAGTAGCTGGGACTACAGGCGCCCGCCACATTTTTGCATTCGTAGTAGAGACGGGGGTTTCACCATGTTGACCAGGCTGGTCTCGAACTCCTGACCTCGTGATCCGCCCGCCTCGGCCTCCCAAAGTGCTGGGATTACTGGCGTGAGCCACCGCGCCCAGGCTTTTATTGACTTTAAATAATTTCAAATTAATAAAGAAAACGGCCGGGCACGGTGGCTCACGCCTGTAATCCCAGCACTTTGGGAGGCAGAGGCGAGTGGATCACCTGAAGTCAGGAGTTCGAGACCGGCCTGACCAGTATGGTGAAATCCCGTCTCTACTAAAAATACAAAAATTAGCCGGGCGTGGTGCCAGGCGCCTATAATCCCGGCTACTCGGGAGGCTGAGGCTGGAGAATCGCTTGAACCCGGGGGGCGGAGGTTGCAGTAAGCCGAGATCGCCCCACTGCACTCCAGCCTGCGCGACAGCCTGAGACTCCATCTCAAAAAAAAAAAAAAAAAAGAAAAAGAAAAAGAAAAACAAAAAAGAAAACAGGAGCAACATTTTACAAATTATACCATCTTTTAATTTTACATCCATGGAAGCTGAATGCCACAATTTGTCAGAGACAAGCTAAAGAAAACACAAGAATGAGTAATGTCTAACACTGCTTCGCGTGAAAATGAGAACACTCACAGTACCTACCTCTTTAGATAGCCATGTGGTTTAAATGATATAATAGACCAGTTGCTGGTATCATACCACATCCCATACTACGGGTCGTCTCTTCCCAAGTGAAAATCTGCTTTCTGGCCTACAAAAGGATTATACTAAACCCTTTTAGTGGTGGGGAGAGTATCCGTGGAGAGGAAAGAGCAGGAGGAAACAGGTCTTTCCCTGAAAATGAGCAAGGGCGTTTGGCTTTTATTGAAAAACGCCCCAGAGGAAGTACTGGGAACTGCACCGGCAACAGCAGCCTGACCCGCAGAAGTTTCTTTGGCCAGGGCCAGCACAGGTTTGACCTGGTGGCTCCGACGGCGGAGCGAGACTGCCAACACGTGCACACTCCGTCCAGACCTCCCACTTCCCTCCGCGCTCCCGCGATAGCTGTCCAGCAACTCTAGCTTTCTAGACTCAACCACGGCGTCGCCGCTCGTCGAGAGGGCTGCCCATCCCGGGGACCCGCCCAGCCTGGCCCAGCAAAATGTACCTTAGTAGCCTCAACCTGTACCGGAGAAAACGCAGGCTGCGCGGCGGCTTAGAGCGGTCAAGTGGAACCCCGCCTCGACCTCTCTGATTGGGTAATGCGCACAAGAAAATCAAGAGGATTGGTCGGCTGCAGAGAGGCGGCCCGTAACGCGACGCGAAAGAAGTGGGGCATAGCGGCCCGGGGAATTCTTGCTAGCTTCCGATTGGACGAAAGCAGAACGCCTGCCCCTTCGTAGACCCAGCGTACGTACAACGCTCACACCACCACGCCGTACGCTGCGTTAGCGGAAGTTTAATGGCCCCATTGGTGGGATGCGTGGCCAATAAAGGGCAAGAATAAGGCGGATTCCGCCTTCCTCGTGGCTGACTGGATGCATCCGCTGGTACTGATTTACGTGAGTTTCAGCATTTAGACGTTCCGAGTTTCCACCGAGCCAGAGTTGGGTAGAGAGTTATTAAGATGACTAGGAGACTAATGCGGGGAGAAATAATTTAGTAGTTAGACTCAGGCCCTGAAACTACCACTCGTGTTCAGAAAGTCTACGTAATACCTTATTGTTTTCACGCGAAGAAACCAGCCCTTCAGGCCGGGCTGAATGTGGTTTAGGGATTCTCTGGCTGTCATTGGGTGAAAAAGCGATCAGTTTGAAGGTAGCTCCGCCTGGGCTCTAGGGAACTCTGGGATTTGTAGTCCGGAACTTTCGAGTCCTGTAGCTTTAAATGTGGTTGTTGCTACTGAGTTCTTTCATGTTGTTAATAACACCCATTGACATTTATTGTGGTTTGTTGGACTTTTTATCCTTTCGTTTATCAGCAGCATTAAAGACAACATTTAAGAAATGTGTAAACACTGCATGTATGTTCGTAAACAATAAATGTTAGTGTTTCCAACAATTTACTGCTGTGCCTAGCTGTATACTATATGTTCATGCTTACTGTACTAAGTAGATACTAAAATTATTTGTTTCTAAAACTTTTGCTGTTACAACAAAACAGTCTGATTTTCATATTAGTGTCCATTTACGATTATTTGAACCCTACATTTAGCAATTATGTGTACTGTGATGGCATAGGTAGCAGCTGCTTACATGAATCAAGTGTTGTTATGACATGAAGCAGAACTGGCTGCTATCTTCACAGGAAAATAGGGCTATGCTTAAAATGTCAAGCAAGACCACCATCAGGAGGAATACACATTGTATATTATTAAAGACTGTATTATAGTGTCTATTTTCAGCCTTTATTAAAACAGTTTTAGGACAGGCTTTTCCTGAGTCTATAGAATCCTGAACTCTTCTGTGAGCTAATTTAGCGGTATTTCATTTTTGTGTCTAGCAAAAGTAAAACCATTAATAAATACCAAAAACTTGCTGAGTAGACTTTTCGCTTTCGAAAAATTTTAATATTTTTTTCCTATTTTACATGTAATACAAACTTTCGACTGTAGAAGAAAAAAACATGATTTCGGATGTATGTAATACTTCTACACTTCTAGATTAAAATTAAGTACACTTTACAGAATTAAAGCTAAGCAAAAACTGCGTTCATTACTGATGCTTGTAATTATTGCATTTTTGTTTAAAATATCGAATTATTTTTGTCATTTTTGTATCTTATTTCTAAATGATTAGAGAAGGTTTCAGGTTGTTTGTAAAGGAAACATTACCGATTTAGCTCTTTGTTTTGTTTTGTTTTGGAGACAGGGTCTCGCTCTGTCATCCAGGCTGGAGTGCACTGGCAGGAGGTGGGATCATGGTTCACTGCAGCCTCGACGTCCTGGGCTCAAGTGAGCCTGCCACCTCAGCCTCCTGAATTGCTGAGACTACTGGCACACGCCACCAAGCCCAGATTTTTTTTTTTTTTTTTTTTTTTTGAGATGGAGTCTCGCTCTGTCGCCCAGGCTGGAGTGCAGTGGCGCGATCTCAGCTCACTACAACCTCCGCCTCCCGGGTTCAAGAGATTCTCCTGCCTCAGCCTCCCAAGTAGCTGGGACTACAGGCACATGCCACCATGCCCGGCTAATCTTTTGTATTTTTAGTAGAGACGGGGTTTCACTGTGTTAGCCAGGATGGTCTCAAACTCCTGAGCTTGTGATCCACCTGCCTCGGCCTCCCAAAGTGCTAGGATTACAGGCGTGAGCCACTGCGCCCGGCCATATTTTTTGTGTAGACAGAGATTCGCTATGTTGCCCAGGCTGGTCTCGAACTCCTGAGTTCAAACGAGGCTCCTGCCTCGGCTTCCCAAAGTGCTGGGATTACAAGCTTATGCTCGTTTTTATTCCCAATAAATGAAGAGCGAAATTGGGTGTAAATCATCGATATATTTATCCTTGTAATATTCTATGTGATGTAGTAGGTGAAACATATGGATGGGTGAAGATGACTCTGGCAAAAATGCAGAATTATATTTTTAATGCTTTTCATTAGCTAGCATTTTAATGGTATTTTCCTTTTGCCTCTTATTTTAAATCAGTAGTTCATTTAACATGTTAATTAAATGTCATATAACTAAGAATAAACACCATTAAAAACTGAATCAAGGCTACTGTGGTTAGCGCTGTTTAGCTGAATGATAGATCAGCTGAGTGACTAAACTGTGGCCACATTTGGCTGATTTAAATTCTAAGTGTTCTCTCAGCACTTTTGGAAGCTTCTAAAATGTTTCATTTGTTTATTTTTGAGACAGAGTCTCCCTCTGTCACCCAGGCTGGAGTGCAGTGGCACAATCTCGGCTTATTGCAACCTCCACCTCCCAGGTTCAAGCAATTCTCATGCTTCAGCCTCCCGAATAGCAGGGATTACAGGCGCGTGCCACCACACCCAGCTAATTTTTTCTATTTTCAGCAGACACTGGGTTTTGCTATGTTGGCCAGGCTGGTCTTGAGCTCCTGGCCTCAAGAGATCCACCTGTCTTGGCCTCCCAAAGTGCTGGGATTACAGGTGTGAACCACTGAGCCGGCCAAAATGTTCTATTTTAAAGAAAAAAATTATTATTTTGAGAATTTAAAAAACATATTTAAACAGGCACCATTACTACCTTTAACAGTGTGAACCTGTGAATCATCTTTGTACTCTGTTGGGAAATAGTTTAAGAAGTGAACTCAGGCTGGGTATGGTAGTGCACACCTGTAATCCCAGCAGTTTGGGAGGCTGAAATGGGAGGATTGCTTCAGCCCAGGAGACAGAGGTTACAATGAATCATCATCTCAACACTGCACTCCAGCCTGGATGACAGAGTGAGACCCTGTCTAAAACAAAACTAAACAAAAAAAAGAACCAAGTAAACTCAAAGTGAGATGAATGAAACGACTCTTGAGATGCAGGAAGAGAATATTAGAACCCTTATTTGTATGTCCTTTTTATTCTCAACATTTTTCTTTACATTTCTGTGTTTTTAAATTTTTTACATATAACAATATAAGCTTTTTTAAAAATCTTTTTTTGTTTGTTTGTTTTTTGTTTTGTTTTGAGACAGAGTTTCGCTGTTGTTGCCAAGGCTGGAGTGCAGTGGTGTGATCTGGCTCACCACAACCTCTGCCTCCCGGATTCAAGCGATTCTCCTGCCTCAGCCTCCCCAGTAGCTGGGATTACAGGCATTCACCACTATGCCTGGCTAATTGTATTTTGAGTAGAGATGGAGTTTCTCTATGTTGGTCAGGCTGGTCTCGAAGTCCCGATCTCAGGTGAGCCACCATGCCTGGCCCTTTTTTTTTTTCTTTAATAGGGGCAGGGTCTCACTATGTTGGCCAGGCTGGTCTCAAACTCCTGGCCTCAAGTGGATCCTTCCACCTCGGCCTCCAAAGAGCCAAGATTACAGACATGAGCCACTAAGCCTGGCCATTTTTGCAATGTATATGTAAAAATATATATGTATTGAGTAAGTGGTAAAATTTTTTTGAGAAATATGTGATCAAAACCATATTTGGAGTTGGGACATGACAACTGCAATTTGAAGATCTTGTGGGGAGAGAAGTCAAAGAAAAAAACACAAATGTTTTAGTTAGTATCTAATATGAAAGAATGGTATTGGCCAGTTAGCTCAGGTGGTTAGAACTGTGAAAAGAAAATAATCTCAGGACCCCAAAATCACTAAGCCAAAAGGAAAAGTCAAGCTGGGAACTGTGTCGGGCAAACCTGCCTCCCATTCTATTCCTCAATGAGATAGCTGCAAGGATAAAACAACTGCTTACCTCCTTCATCACAATTTGCCACAAGGAAATTCCTTGTGGACTTCCTCCCTACTTCAAGTTATTCCACCTTTCCAGACTGAACCAATGTACATTACATATATTAATTGATGTCTCGTCTCCCTAAAATGTATACAACCCAGCTGTGCCCTGAACACCTTGGGCACATGTCCTCAGGACCTCTGGAGGCTGCCGTGGGCACATCCTTGACCTTGGCAAAGTAAACTTCCTAAATTGATGAGGCTTGTCTCAGATACTCTTTGGTTTGCAGAATGTATTGCTGATATGAAGGAAAACTTGAGTTCTTATATCTAAAGTAGAAAAAAAAATAGGCTGAATGCTATTCTTTAATTTGTCACTTAAGAGCTACTTAGAAAAAAAAAAAAAACTTTTTATCTGAAGAATGCAAGCCCTGGCCGGGCATGATGGCTCACGCCTGTAATCCCAGCACTTTGGGAGGCCGAGGTGGGTGGATCATGAGGTCAGCAGTTCGAGACCAGCCTGACCAACATGGTGAAATCCTGTCTGTACTAAAAATACAAAAATTAGCCAGGTGTGGTGGCGGGTGCCTGTATTCCCAGCTACTGGGGAGGCTGAGGCAGGAGAATCGCTTGAACTTGGGAGGCAGAGGTTGCAGTAAGCCAAGACTGTGCCATTGCACTCCAGCCTGGGCAACAGAGTGAGACTCTGTCTCAAAAGAAAAAAAAAAATAAAAACAGAATGCAAGCCCCTTTAAATTATCAGGCCCAGGGAGGCATTTGCAATGTAACAGCATTCTTGTCTCACTCTCTGTTGAACTAAATAATTACTCTTGAAGCCATTTGTTATATAGTCTCTAGACTGACGCCAAGTAGCCATACAATGCCATGCATCCTGTAGTTCAACAGTGTATAGCCAATCACTAGCCAATGTTATTTCTGTAAACCAATGAGAATTCCTAATGAACAAGTTTTTAAATTGTCCCTTCTCCTGATTCATCCTATTTTCTTCAAAAACTTGAGCCTCTCTCTGTTTTGTTCTCTGGAGCACTCAAGGCAACTTGGAAGTGTCCTGAAATGCAATCCTCAAGCTTAGCCCCCTCAAAAGTTACTTTTGCCTCAACTTCTTCCTTTTAGGTTGATACTACCATGAAAAAAAATGTAAAGAAATGGTTTTAAATTGCAGCGTTAAGGGTTTAAGTCATTAAGAAACGATTTACCATTAAAAATTATATACACCCACACATACACTCATATATATTGTTAAAATATGCCATGAAGTCCAAATTATACACAATACTTAAATAAGTAACTAATGAGCTGGGTGCAGTGGTGCACCCTTGTAATCCCAGCTACTTGGGAAGCTGAAGCAAGAGGATCACTTGAGCCCAGAAGTTCAAGACCAGCCTGAGCAATATAGCAAGACCCTCTCTTAAAAAAAAAAAATTGTATGTCATACTACTTGCAAGTTCTCACGCCCAGTCACTGTATCAGGGCTCCATCAGGAAAATAAAATCAATAGGAGACATATATTAAGGGTTTTTTTGGCAAGGAGTTGACATACAGTTGTGGCAGCTCCCTAGGTAAGTGTAAAATCGGCAGAGCAAGCCATCAGGAAAGGCAGGCTGGAACTCAGGCATGAGCTGAAGCTGCAGTCTAAAGCAGAATTTTGGCTGGACGCGGTTGCTCATGCCTGTAATCCCAGCACTTTGGGAGGCTGAGGCAGGAGCATTACTTGATCCCAGGAGTTCAAGGCTGCAGTGAGTTAACGATCACATCACTCCATCCTGGGCAACAGTGAGACTCCATCTCAAAAAAAAAGAGAAGGAACAGCAACTCAGAGCAGCCTAAGCTATGTGAAGTATGCAAAACTTGTTAGGCTTACAGAGACATGACTTTTGAGACCTCAGTCATCCCCCACCCACACCAACCCACACTGTAACTGCCCAGTGGATTCACCTTCCCCACTGCCTAGACAGAGCTGATTTATCAAGACAGGGGAATTGCATGGAGAAAGAGTAATTCACATAGAACCGGCTGTGTGGGAGACAAGTATTATTACTCAAATCAGTATCCTTGAGCTTCATCAGAGTTTTTAAAGACAATTTGACAAGTAGGGACTTGGGAAGGGGGAAGTACTGATTGGTCAGGTTGGGGATGGAATCATAGGGGGTCGAAGTGAGTTTTTCTTGCTGTCTTCTGTTCCTGGGTGGGATGGCAGAACTGGTTGAGCCAGATTACTGATCTGGGTCTGGGTGGTGTCAGCTGATCCACCGAGTGCAGGGTCTGCAAAATATCTCAAGCACTGATCTTAGGTTTTACAAAAGTGATGTTATCTCCAGGAGCAATTTGAGGAGGTTCAGAGGAGCCAGAGGTTGCATGGTTGCATGACCCGTAAACTAATTTCTAATCTCTTTTTTTTGAGACGGAGTTTTGCTCTTGTTGCCCAGGCTGGAGTACAATGGCACGATTTCAGCTCTCCGCAACCTCCGGCTCCCGGGTTCAAGCGATTCTCCTGCCTCGGCCTCCTGAGTAGTTGGGATTACAGGTGCCCACCACCAAGCCCAGCTAATTTTGTATTTTTAGTAGAGAGGGGGTTTGTCCATGTTTGTCAGGCTGGTCTCGAACTCCCAAACTCAGGTGATCCGCCCACCTTGGCCTCCCAAAGTGCTGATATTACAGGTGTGAGCCACCTTGCCCGGCCCTGTAATTTCTAATCTCATAGCTAATTTGTTAGTCCTGCAAAGGCAGACTGGTCCCCAGGCAAGAAGGGGGTCTTTATGGGAAAGGGCTGTTATCAGTTTATCAGTTTATTTTATTTGATTTTTTGAGACAGAGTCTTTCTCTGTCACTCAGGCTAGAGTGCAGTGGTGTGATCTTGGCTCACTGCAATGTCCACCTCCTGGGTTCAGGTGATTCTCCTGCCTCAGCCTCCTGAGCAGCTGGCATTACAGGTGCCTGCCACCATGCCCAGATAATTTTTGTATTTTTAGTAGAGACAGGGTTTCACCATGTTGGCCAGGCTAGTCTTGAACTCCTGACCTCAAATAATCTGCCTGCCTCATCCTTCCAAAGTGCTGGGATTACAGGCGTGAGCCACCGCGCCTGGCCATGTCATCAATTTTGTTTCATAGTCAAACCATGAACTGAATTCCTTCCCAAAGTTAGCTTGGCCTACGCGCAGGAACGAACAAGGACAGCTTAAAGGCTAGAAGCAAGATGGAGTCAATTAGGTCTGATTTATTTCACTGTCATAATTTCCTCAGGTATAATTTCATCAGTTGTAATTTTGCAAAGGCTGTTTCAATACCCAGGGGCAACTGTTTAAAGACATTTTATTCTGTCCGGGTGTGGCGGCTTACGCCTATGATCCCAGCACTCTGGGAGGCAAGGCACATGGATCACTTGAGGCCAGGAGTTCTGAGACCAGCCTGACCAACATGGTAAAACCCCATCTCTACTAAAAATACAAAAATTAGCCGTTCCTGTAATCCCAGCTACTCGGGCGGCTGAGGCAGGAGAATCCGCTTGAACCAAGGAGGCGGAGCTTGCAGTGAGTCAAGATCGCACCACTGCACTCCAGCCTGGGCAACAGAGTGAGGCTCTGTCATCGCGACGCTCTGTCACAGCGATGACAGAGTGAGGCTTGACACAGCGATATATGTATATATACATGTATATATGTATATATATCATATGTACATATGTGTATCATATGTATACATATATATGATAAAGACATTTTATTCTTTCTTTCCCTGTAGTTGCCAGACTAGCTGATAAATTACCTAAAATGTTGTTAAAGTTGCAGAGTAGGAGCCTCACCCATTATCTTCATGTTCCTGGAATTTGTTATACAAGGAACAGTGTATTGCCAATCAATAGCTTATGTTATTTGAATGAACCAATATAAGAACTGCCCCACTTTTTAAAACCCACCTGAATATATGCTGCTAATCAGAGCATATATTCAAGGCAACTTGAATCTGTCTCTCCCAGGTTGCAGTCCTCAAATTCGACCTAAATAAACTCTACTTATATTAATTTTTGCCTCACTTTCTTTAGGTTGACAGTCTTATATTTGTGGGAGTGAGTCAGTATAAGCATACAAGATGTACAAACTAATCCTATTTTCCCCTCTTTTTTTTTGTTTGTTGTTGTGGCAGGGTCTTGCTCCATAGCTCAGTCTGGAATGCAGTGGTCCAATCTTGGCTCAGTATTCCCCCTCTGTTAAAATACATTTAAAAGGAACAGCCCTAACCTCACACTCCATTCCAGCCTGGCTCTCTAACTTTCTGCCTCATTCCACTGGCTAGTCCTTAAGACCCTGACCTAATACTCTCTTTTTGAAGTCTCTGGCTCCAATCTTAAGCACCATATTCTTTTGCCCAAATCTGGAATCCCAGGGCCTCTTGAAGGTTTCCCAATACATGTAAGGCCCACTCCTAGGCATGCATGCCTGCCTCTACTACGTAAGGAGTACTTCTGGAAGCCACCAGCTCTAGAGTTTCTGAAAATGTCAACAAGACTGCCTTTGAAACCAGAGGGTGGGTGGTGGTGAGAACATCCTGTGAAGGGTGCCAGCTGGTTTATACCAGTCAGTGTGCCAAACTGCTCTTCTAAAGATAAGAGGTGGTGCTGTTTTAATTCCTTCAGTTTTAAGATGCACTTTACTATTACCCTTTTTAGTTTAGAAAGAAGAAAGTTGACGAAGAGGCAGGGCTAGCTCTGAAACCGATAATTATGTTAATCAAAAATCCCACCCACCTCCAGAAAACCTTTTCACAGAGCTGCCAAAAGTGGTGAATTGATTGGTTTAAGCAGTATGTTCTCTTCATGCCACTTTCTTTTTTTTCTTTTTTTTTTCTTCCTGCCACTTTCAAGCTAAAAGAGTGAACAAATAGTAAAATAGCTACACTAAATGGAGTTAAGAGGAGAAAAAAGGAAGGCCAGACTATCTGACAAACCAGTGTCTGGGTCTTCTATTTAAGAATTAGAGGCCAGAATTCCAGCACTTTAGGAGGCCAAGGTGGGTGGATCACCTGAGGTCAGGAGTTCAAGGCCAGCCTGGCCAACATGGTAAAAGCCTGTCTCTACTAAAAATACAAAACTTAGCCTGGCATGGTGGCAGGCACCTGTAATCCTAGCTACTTGGGAGGCTGAGGCAGGAGAATCACTTGAACCCTGGAGGCAGAGGTTGCAGTGAGCCAAGATTGCGTCATTGCACTCCAGCCTGGGCAACAAGAGAGAGACTCCGTCTCAAAAAAATAAATAAAAAATAAGAATTAGGACCATACTTTTATTTTATTTTATTATTTTTTAGACAGGAACCACTCAGACTGCATCCTTTCTTACTCTCCTGCAGGAAGAGAATGATCATGAAGGGCAAATGGCAGTGAAGCAAGAAGAGCTGGCTTCAGGCTCAGAAGAGAATGCTGTGCCTCTTCCTCATGGTTTGCGGTGCCCTGCATGTTCAGAGAAACTTCTCTAGTAATGAATGAACTATAGAAATGATCCCTGAAAATATGGTCTTGATACTTTATTTTTGTGGTGGTTTTTTTTGTTTTGTTCTGTTTTTGATGGAATTTTGCTCTTGTTGCCCAGGCTGGAGTGCAATGGCACGATCTCCACTCACTGCAACCTCCACCTCCCGGGTTCAAGCAATTCTCCTGCCTCAGCCTCCCAAGTAGCTGGGATTATAGGCATGTGCCACCATGTCCAGCTAATTTTGTATTTTTAGTAGAGACGGTTTCTCCGTGTTGGTCAGGCTGGTCTAGAACTCCCTACCTCAGGTGATCCACCCGCCTCGGCCTCCCAAAGTGCTGGGATTACAGGGGTGAGCCACTGCGCCAGGTCAGGGCCAAAAGGAGCAGCTTGGGATCCTTATTCTGTGAAAAGAAGTTCACTTCTTTCTTAATTCAGATTTTGTGCTGGGCAAGGTGGGTCACGCCTTTAATCCCAACACTTTGAGAGGCCAAGGTGGGCAGATCACTTGAGGTCAGGAGTTCGAGATCAGCCTGGCCAACATGGTGAAAACCCGTCTCTACTAAAAATACAAAAATTAGCTGGGCATGGTGGTGCACACCTGTAGTCCCAGCCACTCAGGAGGCTGAGGCACAGGAATCCCTTGAACCCAGGAGGCAGAGGTTGCAGTGAGCTGAGATTGTGCCACTGCACCCCAGCCTGGGCGACAGAGCAAGACTCCGTCTCAGACAAAAAAAAAAAAATACAAAAAAAAAAAAAAACAAAGATTTTTAAATACCTATTTGCCAATTCATATGTAGTTGATTTGGAGCATGTACTACAAGATTGGTTCTAAATATATATAAATTAAGAGCTGAGAAAGTTATTGCTAAGCTAAATTCAACCAATTACACTGTTTTTTTCTGCTCTCTCCTTGCACCTATTTTATTCTAATTCTGTTTGTCAGGCTACTTACTTTTATAATCTTTTTTAGTGTGGAAACAGTAGAAAAAAGGTAGAGAAAAATGATATCATGAACACTTGTTTTTAATTTGAAAATTTTTTTTTAAATAGAGACGAGGTCTCACTATGTTGCTCAGGTTGATCTCAAACTCTTGAGCTCAAGCGATCCTCCCTCTTTGGCCACCCAAGGTGGCGGGATTACAGATATGAGCCATCACAGCAGGCCCAAAGCAGATGTTTTAATAAGCACTATTACTCAAAGCTAGATATGTGATTTTGAGCAAGGTATTTTATTTTCCTCTAAACTCCAAATTACTCATCAAGTGACAATGTCTCTTGTTCAGGGGTTTTATGAAAATTAAGTAACAATAAAAGTAAGATAGCACAGTGTAGGCATTCAGGAATTATAAGTTGAAGTTCCAACTCTTCCTCTACCTATACCCCTTACTTTGTGAGATTACAGGAAGGATGACAAAAAAGGATATGTTGGGTTTTTTTTTGTTTTTTGTTTTTTGTTTTGAGACAGAGTTTCACTCTTGTTGCCCAGGCTGGAGTACAATGGTGTGATCTCAGCTCACTGCACCCTCCACCTCCCAGGTTCAAGTGATTCTCCTGTCTCAGCCTCCCGAGTAGCTGGGATTACAGGTGCATGCCACCACACACAGCTAATTTTTGTATTTTTAGTAGAGTTTCATCATATTGGTCAGACTGGTCTCGAACTCCTGACCTCAGGTGATTCACCTGCCTCAGCCTCCCAAAGTGCTGGGATTACAGGAATGAGCCACCACGCCTGGCCTTTGTTGTTTTTTTGAGACAGAGTCTCCCTTTGTTGCCCAGGCTGGATGGAGTGCAGTGGCACGATCTCGGCTCCCTGCAACCTCCGCCTCCCAGGTTCAAGTGATTCTCCTACCTCAGCCTCCTGAGTAGCTGGCATTACAGGTGCGCTATCACACCCAGCTCATTTTTGTATTTTTAGTAGAGACGAGGTTTCGCCATGTTGGCCAGGCTGGTCTCATACTCCTGACCTCAAGTGATCCACCCACCTCGGCCTCCCAAAGTGCTGGGATTACAGGTGTGAGTCACCGCGCCCAGCCCCAAAAAGGATATGTTTGCTGAGCCCTTTAATTGTTGAAAATGAACCTTGAAAAAAAGAAAAATTAATGATAGGACTAGGAATGTACACCATCCAGGAGGTAGAATTAAGAAAGTTTAAATGCAATATGTGAAAACTATACGCAGGCTGGGCGCAGTGGCTCACGCCTGTAATCATAACACTTAGGGAGGCCGAGGCTGATGGATCACTTGAGCTCAGGAGTTTGAGACCAGCCCGAGCAACATAGTGAAACCCCATCTCTACAAAAAAAATACAAAAATTAGCAGGGCATGGTGGCTTATGCCTTTACTCCCAGCTACTTGGGGGATGAGGCAGGAGGATTGCTTGAGCCCAGGAGGCGGAGGTTGCAGTGAGCCCAGATCTCTCCACTGCACTCCAGTCTGGGCGACAGAGTCAGATCCTGTCTCAAAACAAAAAAGAAGAAAATTATAGGCAAAGAAATGTAGATTTCTTTTATTTAATATTTAAAAGAGAGTTGTTGTGAAGTTGATATGAATTTATGTGAAATAAGACTACCAAGGCTGGGCGCTTGGCTCATGCCTGTAATCCCAGCACTTTGGGAGGCCAAGGTGGGAGGATCACCTGTGGTCAGGGGTTCGAGACTAGCCTGGCCAACATGGCGAAACCTTGTCTCTACTAAAAATACAAAAATTAACTGGGTGTGGTAGCGCACCTGTAATGCCAGCTACTCAGGAGGCTGAGGCAGAAGAATCGCTTGAAACTGGGCAGTGGAGGTTGCAGTGAACTGAGATTGCACCACTGCACTCCAGCCTGGGCAACAGAGCAAAACTCCATCTCAAAAAAAAAAAAAAAAAAAAAAGACTACCAGACTGATGTGGTATTTTTAGGATTTTTTTTTCTTTTTTTTTTTTTTTTGAGATGGCCCGACCTCTTCTTTTTTATCATATGATCTCTAACTGATGTATGTGACACAATAATACAAAACTATTTGAGCTATAAAAGAAATATGAAAGGCTTCTGTTTTCTTTTGTAGGCCTTCTGGAACTTTTGCCTCAGACTCAAATACCAATGACTCCTAATCATACCAATATCCCTACTCATTGCCTACTTATTTCTGGATTTACATATTATTTGACTCTCTCATCTCATATCCTAGAGAAGTATTTAGTAAGAGTTGGATCTGGCCAGGTAGGGTGGCTAACGCCTGTAATCCTAGCACTTTGGGAGGCTGAGGTGGGTGGATCACCTAAGGACAGGAGTTGGAGAGCAGCCTGGCCAACATGGTGTAACCCCATCTCTACTAAAAATACAAAGATTAGCTGGGTGTGGTGGTGGGCACCTGTAATCCCAGCTACTTGGGAGGCTGAGGCAGGACAATTGCTTGAACCCTGGGGGCGGAGTTTGCAGTGAGCCAAGATCGTGCCACTGCACTCCAGCCTGGGCGACAGAGTGAGACTCCGTCACAAAAAAAAAAAAAAAAAAAAAAAAAGTTGGATTTAATTTTCTAAGCATTAGGTTAAAATTTTTTTGCTAGATAACATGGTGTCCTAAGATAAGCCAAGCATTATAAAGATGGCTCTGATGATTGCCAGGAACGTATTATGTATGCAGTAATAATAACACATTGCAACAAAGCCATGTTTTCTCCCATTTTTAAAAACATGTTTTGATGATGAAGGATATAAAATACAGAGTCACAGTGAAAGCCTGCAGCTTGAGTACGTTTGTAATCAGATGATTACAGATGATTGCTATGAGGCTAATGAAGTGAAATTTACTCCTAGGTTTGAGAGTAGATCATAAAAGGAACATTAAGGAGATTATAGTCTCAATCATGAACATATTCACCTAATTAACATTTTCCTACCTTTGAATTTAAATATCAAAAGTAGATACGTGATAGTTGTTGATTTGTAATACAAAATTTACTACTTTTGATAGTCATTTCTCACTTAAGCTTGTAGCATGTAATAATTTTTTTTCCCACAAATCTTTTCCTACATTAAAAAAATATACATAAAAAACTTGGCTGGGCGTGGTGGCTCTCGCCTGTAATCCCAGCACTTTGGGAGGCCGAGGTGGGCAGATCACTTGAGGTCATGAGTTCGAGACTGGCCTGGCCAACATGGCTAAACCCCATCTCTACTAAAAATACAAAAATTAGCCAGGCGTGGTGCCACATGCCTGTAGTACTAGCTACTCAGAAGGCTGAGGCAGGCTGAGAAGGCTGAGGCAGGCTGCAGTGAGCCAAGATCGTGCCACTGCACTCCAGCCTAGGCAACAGGGCGAGACTCCGTCTTAAGGAAAAAAACAAAAAACTTATTTGGGTTGGGCACAGTGGCTCACGCCTATAATCCCAGCACGTTGGGAGGCCATGGTGGGTGGATCACTTGAGGTCAGGAGTTTGAGACCATCCTGGGCAAAATGGTGAAACCCAGTCTCAACAAAAAATACAAAAAACTAGCTAGGTGTGGTGGCGCTTGCCTGTAGTCCCAGCTACTGGGGAAGCTGAGGCATGATCACTTGAGCCTAGGAGGCAGAAGCTGCAGTGAGCAGAGATTGCAGGATTACACCACTGCACTCCAGCCTGGGCAACAGAGTGAAACTCTGTCTCTAAAACAAACAAACAAACAAAAAAACCTTATTTGACTACTTCTTGAAGCAAAATGCGCAGTGAAAAGAAAACTGTTTCTTTCAAAAAACAAAATCATAAATATATACCTAGTATAAGCGGGATAAATTATACCCTTTGTCCTCAGCCCCTGCGAGAATGCTCAGGGCAGAAGATAAATCTCCCTCTTTCCCCATACAGATGCCTTAACTACCTATTTGATCAGCTAAGATAAGGAAAAGCAAGGATTTCAAAGCCTTGCTGGGTCCTTGAGTATTAGATGATAGCCCTGCAGGTAGAAGACTCTGTAACATGAAACTATCATTATGGTTCTCATTCCTTATGTGCAAGTAGGCCTCTGGGCGTGATTAGGAAATTGGAGGATAAAAAATGAGGAACAGAAACCACTCTGCACAAATAACATAAAGTACTACATTACATGGAATGTGTTTTATTTAGAAAAATATTTCTCTTTAACGTGATTCACTCAAGAGATGTTATTCATCACCTATTATGCGCCAGGTATATTCTGAGTCCTGGAGAGACAACATTTAACAAAGTCCCTGTCCTCATGTAGTTTATTTTCTCGTGGGCAAACAGACAATATCTATTATTTTTATTAAAAACAATGTAAGGTAATTTCAGCCAATGATAAGTATGCTGCCGGGTGAGATATTCAAAATATTTAACACAGGTATGGCCAGCTTGGTGTCACATCTTCATGTTCTCTCTTGTATTTGCTGTCTCCCTTCCTGCCTCACTTCCCTTTCCTGCTCACTCCAACTTCCTTGACATTGAACTTCCCAAAAAAGTGTTAGTATATAAGCTTTAGTTTGTGATTGTGTTCCCATATACTCCCCATCTTACCCCCACATCACCCCCAATTAGAACATAGGCCAACCTTAGCCTTCTTGTGACAAGTGTTATACTTTTAGTTGCTGGATCTTGGGAAGGTCTAGGAGATGCTGGGATAGCAAGATCAGGGGATGTCTTGGGAAACACCACACCATCCTCTAATTCTCCTCCATCCCAGTTCTCTTTCAGTCCCTTTGATTCTCCTGAATGTAAGTGTCCCAAAGTCCACAAAAACTTCTGTGTTCCCTCTTTTAGTGGCTTCACCATCCCAGTCAACCACACTAAAAGACTTAACATCACTTTTGACGCTCAACCTAATCCTCTGCGCTTAGTCACACATTCATAGCACTGTGTGGGGAAGAAAAAGCGTTTTCATGCACTCTTGCTCTCCCTCTGGATAACACCCTAATTCAGCCTGTCATGATTTATTTGGATTTTGCAATAGCTTGAAACCAACTTTGCATGCCTCCATTTTCCACCTCTTCCAGCCCTTTGTATTAATAGCACCAATGTTTTAGTGCCTTAAAATATCCGGCGGATCACTTGATGTCAGGAGTTCAAGACCAGCCTGGCTAACATGGTAAAACCCCGCCTCTACTAAAAATAAAAAAATTAGCTGAGTGTGGTGGCGTGCGCCTGTAGTCCAAGTTACTCAGGAAGCTGAGGCAGGAGAATCGCTTGAACCCGGGAGGCGGAGGTTGCAGTGAGCCGAGATCACGCTAGTGCACTCCAGCCTGGATAACAAAAGTAAGAAGACTCTGTCTCAAAAAATAAATAAATAAATAATAAATAAATAAAAAGACAAAATCCTTAACTCTCCTACAATGAACTTTTGGTTTAAATAGTGGAGTACCATAAGAGCTTCTCACTTCTTTCTCCCATTTTATTTTTTCTTTTCTTTTCTTTTCTTTTTAGATGGAGTCTCACTCAATCACCCAGGCTGGAGTGCAGGGGCATGATCTTGGCTCGCTGCAGCCTCCCTCTCGGATTCAAGCAATTCTTTCACCTCAGCCTCCCGAGTAGTAGAAATAGGGTTTCACTGTGTTGGCCAGGCTGGTCTCGAACTCCTGACCTCAAGTGATCTGCCCAACTCAGCCTCCCAAAGTGCTGGGATTACAGGTGTAAGCCACTGTACCCGGCTTTTCTCCCATTTTCTTATTTATGTATTTATTTTAAATTATTTTTCATTTTTGTGAGATGGAGTCTCGCTCTTTCGCCAGGCTGGAGTGTAGTGGCGCGATCTCAGCTCACTGCAGCCTCCGCCTCCCGGGTTCAAGCAATTCTTCTGCCTCAGCCTCCTGAGTGGCTGGGACTACAGGCAAGTACCACCAGGCACAGCTAATTTTTGTATTTTTAGTAGAGATGCGGTTTTACCATGTTGGCCAGGATGGTCCCGATCTCTTGACCTCGTGATCTGCCTGCCTCGGCCTCCCAAAGTGCTGGGATTACAGGTGTGAGCCATCGCACCCAGCCTTTATTTATTTATTTATTTATTTTTGAGATGGAGTCTCATTCTGTCGCCCAGGCTGGAGTATAATGGTGCAATCTTGGTTCACTGCAACCTCTGCTTCCCAGGTTCAAGCGATTCTCCTGCCTCAGTCTTCTGAGTAGCTGGGATTACAGGTGTCCACCACTATGCCCAGCTAATTTTTGTACTTTTAGTAGAGACAGGATTTCATCATGTTGGCCAGGCTGGTCTCAAACTCCTGACCTTGTGATCTGCCCACCTGGGCTTCCCAAAGTGCTGAGAACACAGGTGTGAGCCACTGCACCCGGCCTTTTCTCCCATTTTCTAAGGTGACCATAAAAAATTTTCTTTTCTTTTTTCTTTTGAGACAGGGTCTTGCTGTGTTGCCCAGGCTGGAGTTCAGTGGCGCAATCTGGGCTCACTGCACACTCCACCTTTGGGGCTCAAGCGATCCTCCCACCTTACCTCTCAAGTAGCTGGGACTACAGGTATGCAACACCACGCCCAGCTATTTTTTCGTATTTTTAGTAGAGGCGGGGTTTCACCATGTTGGCCAGGCTGGTCTCAATCTCCTGACCTCGTGATCCGCCTGCCTTGGCCTCCCAAAGTGCTGGGATTACAGGCGTGAGCCACTGCACCCAGCCTGTATTATGTCTTTTTAAAAATTTAAACATGTATTACCTTGGGAAAAAATTAATATTAATAAGAAGAAACCTTTAGACTGTACTTTCAGGGATCATTTCTGTAATTCGTTACTAGAGAAATTTCTCTGAATGTGTAGAGCAGTTAATTTTTTTTATTATTTTAAATAAAATTAAAAAAAAAAAAACTGGCCAGGTGCAGTGGCTCATGCCTGTAATCCCAGCACTTTGGGAGGCCAAGGCAGGCAGATCACGAGGTCAAGAGATCAAGACCATCCTGGCCAACATGGTGAAACCCCGTCTCTACTAAAAATACAAAAATTAACTGGGCGTGGTGGCTCAGGCCTGTAGTCCCAGCTACTCGGGAGGCTGAAGCAGGAGAATCACCTGAACCCGGGAGGTAGAGGTTGCAGTGAGCCGAGATTGCACCACTGCACTCCAGCCTGGTGACAGAGCGAGACTCCATCTCAAAAAAAAAAAAAAGAAACTTTCTAGCTTCCCTGTTCCCTTTTGCCTACATGACAAGGCTTAAATCGCCACATCGCGCTCTTTTAAATAGGGCCTCAGCCTGCCTTCTGAGCTCATCTGACAGCCTTCTCCCCAGCTTCGCCCATGCCAGTCACACATTTCTTTAAGGAAATATATTGAGCACCTACGGTATGCTAGTGGGTATAGAAACATGAATAAGACATCCTTAGTTCCTCAATGAATTATCTAATGGCAGAAACAGATGCATAAAAAGTAAATACACTTCAGGGGATTCGATGCTGAAATAAAAGCAAAGACAATGGCCTCTTCTATGGAAAGGCAAAAAGCAACACTTTGCCCCAGTTTGTCTGTCATTTCTGGCTCCATGCCCTTGATAATGCTGGTTTGTTTGGTTGAGGTTTTGTGTGTGGGTGGCTGTACAGAAGGACAACATGACATTTTCTCTTACCAGTCCTGCCCTCTCCCGCCCGCAAGAAACAAAGGCTTTTTCTTCCTTGCTCACCAATCAGTTTGTCCATTATGCTGTGATTCTATTTCAGTCAGGATGCGTTATAAGACAGTAATTAAGAAGGCCAGGCCAGGCACAGTGGCTTACGCCTGTAATCCCAGCACTCTGGGAGACTGAGATGGGTGGATCACCTGAGGTCAGGAGTTCGAGACCAACCTGGCCAACATGGTGAAACCCCGTCTCTACTAAGAATACAAAAATTAGCTGGCCGTGGTGGTGGGTGCCTATAATCCCAGCTAGTTGGGAGGCTGAGGCAGGAGAATTGCTTGAACCCGGGAGGTGGAGATTGCAGTGAGCCGAGATTGTGCCACTGCACTCCAGCCTAGGCAATACAGTGAGACTCTGTCTCAAAAAAAAAAAAAAAAAAAAAAAGGTAATTCAAGAATATTTAATGGAGACTTTGGGACCTGAACGGGGGTTAAAGGATGGATAACAGCCAGATGGCAGGAGTGGCCAGTGCAAAAAATTTATCTCTGGGAAAGAGCACATGCATGGGGACTAGTGAAGCAGTCAGCCTGGCTGCAGAGAAGGTGTTGCTAGTTAATGGGAGATAAGGTTGGTACATGGGATAAAGTTATGGGCATGAACACAGGCACAGGTGTTTATATCTGAAGTAAACAGGGACTCTGTAGGCTCTTGAGCAAAAATAACATGATAAAATCAATACTTGAACATTAGTGTGAAAGTTAGCAGGATGCAAAATGAATTCCTGGTGTGCCTCCTTCCCAAACTCTCCACACTGGATTAGCCCCCACACTTGGCATGGAGCTAAATGAAGACTATCCCTCGAAGTTTTAGCAACGAAAGGGAAAAAAGAGTCAATGGCTGCCTATAAAGAGCAGCAGGGTTAAACAAAGATAAATTTGAAAAGAAGAGCAGATTTGGAAGAAAACAGCAATATTCAGTTTTTAATTCACCAAATATTTACTGAGCCTTTAGTACATGCAAAACACTGCTAAGTACTGTGCCGAATATACAGTTCCTCTTTTCAAGGAGAGAGTAATACAGGTACACAGCTCCCTATCATGGAATGCAAGAATGCTGGGAGAATAGGAATGAAGAAGAGAGTATTCTAGACAAGTGGCTCTCAAACTTTTTGGTCTCAGGACCCCTCAATACTCTTAAAAATTATTGAAGGCCTCAAAGAGCTTTTGTTTATGTGGGTTTTGTCTATCTATCAATATTTTCAATATTAGAAATTAAAACAAAAATCTGGCCGGGCGCGGTGGCTCATGCCTGTAATCCCAGCACTTTGGGAGGCCAAGGCAGGCAGATCATGAGGTCAAGAGATCGAGACTATCCTGGCCAACATGGTGAAACCCTGTTTCTACTAAAAATACAAAAATTAGCCGGGCATGGTGGCACGCGCCTATGGTCCCAGCTACTTGGGAGGCTGAGGCAGGAGAATCGCTTGAACCCATGAGGTGGAGGTTGCAGTGAGCCGAGATTGAGCCACTGCACTCCAGCCTGAGCAACAGACCAAGACTCTGACTCAAAAAAAAAAAAAAACCCAAAGTCTAAAAAGATGTATTTACCCATTTTTGAGTAGCGATATTAAACCCATTACATGTTATCATAAACATTTTAAGAAAAATATATTTTCTAAAACAAAGAAAAATAGGTACAACAAAGAGTTATTCTGTTTAATGTATTTGCAGATCTCCTTACTGTCTGGCATATAGAAGAAACCTGGATTCTCATATCTGACTCTGCCTTCAAACTATTGTGATTTTTTTTTTAAGTATTTGAAGCAAACCTGTCCTCATACAGACATGGAGTAGGAAAAGGGAGGAATTTTCAGACCCCTTGAAAGAGTATTAGGGACCCCCAGGAGTCTTTGGTTCACATTTTGAGAACCCCTTTTTTAAACTATAATTAGTTATATAATCCTCCAGTAGGATTTATTTGTCAAAAAAACTCCCTGCATTCCCAACACTAATGAGAGCTAATAGAATGGGAATGACACTTGTCAGTTTTTTTGTTTGTTTTTTTGCCCAGGCTGGAGTGCAATGGCGCGATCTCGGCTCAAGAGATTCTCCTGCCTCAGCCTCACGAGTAGCTGAGATTACAGGCGCATGCCATCACACCCGGCTAATTTTTGTATTTTTTGTAGAGATGGAGTTTCACCGTGTTGCCCAGGCTAGTCTCAAACTCCTGAGCTCAAGTGATCTACCTGCCTCGATCTCCCAAAATGCTGGGATTACAGGTGTGAACCACCGCGCCTGGCCTAAATTGTTTTTTTGTAATCTAAAAAGAGGAAACTAAATTTTACTAATTGTTGTGCCAAACCCCTATTAACCTCTGTAAGGAAGGCACCAGGTTCAAGAGGCCAAAGGAGAGACCCAGAACCAGCAAATAAGACCTGGGGTTTTATTAGGGGATTACATACATGGAAGAGAATCCAGTGGCAGCAGGCTGGAAAGGGGAATTGCCTTAATTAGAGAAATGGTCCAGTGGCAGTGGGATGGACAAGATATCTGTCTTACCTACAATCCAATGGTGGCAGGTTGGACAACATGACCCCCTGCCTATAGTCCGGGGCTGGTGCACTGGACATCACAGCCACATGGCCCAGTGACGACTGGCTGCGCAGAAAAACCACAATCATTTGCAAATAGTATGCAATTAATATAGCATTTTCACCTAACACCCTCCCTCTAACAACCTCCACTTGGCAAGCTGCATCCAACCCAAAACTCAGGGCCTAAATCCCCTGTATGGCCCCTGGTCCACTGTGTTATGGGATCCTTGGGGGTGTTGCTTTTCCAGCCGGAAACCTCTGTGGCCAGTGGCGCCTTTGCCTGAGTTTTGCTCAGGCCCATTGGGCCGAATCAGCCTGTCAGGCTGTGCTCAGCTCATGCTACCTGCCAAGATCCCACACCTTCTGAGATGAGTGGAGTGGAGTGGTGACAGGTGTGTGAGCAAGTGAGCACGGGGTCCAGCCACTGCAAACAGCCAGGCACATCGGCTGCAGTAGGGCAGGCAGCTCCAGGCACCACCACGGGCACTGGCTCCCTGCGAAGCTGCAGCTGAACCAGGTGTACCACAAGTAGCTTCCACAGCTGGCACTGGGGAACGTGGTGCTGCCCAGAAGCTTGGAGATGCCAGGAAATGCAGTGTCAAAGAGTATGTCACAGCCTTGGCTTGGGGAGCTTCTAGGTCTGAGCTCATCAAAGGGCCACAGCTCTTCTCTCCTTGTCTCCTGCAATGTGGCAAGCAAGGGGTGTGTTTCAGCCCTGTTTGTGTTACAGCTCTTTTAGACCCGCCATGCGGCAGGTCCTGAGTTCTCGTCCTGTGTCCAGAAAGAATGAGGTACGTGGACAAGTGGAGGGTGAGCAAGGCGAAGAAGAGCTTTACTGAGCAACAGAACAGCTCAGAGACCCACAGTGGGTAGCTCCTCTTTGAAGGGAGGGTGTCCCATCAAGTGTTCGGCTCTCAGCAGAGAGGAGACCCTGGGGTGGGTAGCTCCTCTCCATAGCTGGTCATCCTGTCATCTCCCTGAGTCTGGCTGAGTCAGGTTTTTATCAGCAAGGAAGTGCTTGCTGATTGGTCCACAGGCAGCCATGGGCGGGCCCAGAAAAAAGCACAAATTCCCACTCTGGTCTGCAGGGCTGGCAGCCTGGTCCCCAGGCTTCACGCCTTCCCCAGCTTGAAGGCGGGGCTTCACCAGGGACCTTCCCCTTTCCACCCAGGAGCCTGCCTGCCTCCTGCCACTGTTCATGGTGCCCAGGCTGCTCTTGCAGAGTGGTGCCTGCAGCCCAGCACTGAGCTGCCCTCAGACCCCACTCAGCCTCCCTCCCATGCTTGTTTGTGCCCAAAGCCCGGAGAGGGTCAAGGCGGCAGGGGGCTGGCATGTCAGCACTGCCCCAAGAATGAGCACACCTGGCTGGATTGCAACAGCACCTTGGCTTGGCCTCAACTTTGCACCAAGATCTGATTGGGCTCCAGGAGTAAGGAGAGGCTAGGCAGCGGGAGCAGGCATTTCCGACCCTGCAGCTGCAGCTTGGGCGGCTGCAGGTGCATCCAGGAGGGTGGGGATCCTGCCTGCTCCATGGAATACACAGCCCCAGCCGCGCCTCCCGGCTGCAGCCAGCATTGTCAGAGAGGCTGCTCCAGATGGGCTGCCACTGCCATGAACAGGGCAGGACAGGGGTTCAGATGTTCATCATTGATAAGGAAAAAATGTCCAGGTTGGCCACTCCCAGATTCCCTAGCTTAGAACACACATTCAGATGCATCTGCCATACAGGGTCATTCTCAGGGTAGGCTTCACTTATTGCTCTCAGGTGTGTTTATGCTACACTAAGATTAGTGTGTAGGTTGACATTTGCATCTTCACCAGTCTGAAGGCCTGATGGTCACATCAGGTAGGGAGTATCAGGGACAAGAGCATGAATTCCCTAAGTGTCACTCTCACTTGTTTGTTCATTTTCAGCTGACACATTGTACAATGGTTAAGTAAAAGATTTCCCAATTATAATATTTAGCCTTAAGTAACTTCAAAAAATGGGTGTTGGTTCCCTGCCCAGATTCTACTTACTGGTCATGGTCCCCATTCCCTACATGCTGTGACTCTTGGCTGCTACCAGTTCATACCTGTATCTTTCTGTGAAGAACTGACCATAAATGATGGATGCTACCTAATCAGGAACATCACACTCTGCCACCACCCTCCTGCACTAACTCCAGGCGGCCCATAGCCCACGACTGAATAATACAGGAATACTAAAGCTTGCTTCCTTGCCTCAAGAAGAGACAAGTCCATGGTGCCATCCACACTCCAGAGCTGCTCATGGGATCAAAATGAAGATAGATTTCAACTGAACCCATGTCTTTGCCTAGCTTCTTCCTCTGTCCTATTCTGTTTCTCTCACTCCCTTACAGGTTTCAGCTGACATCACTCTCTCAAAAGAATCGCTGGCACAGGAATCTTCATCTCAAGTTCTGCTTCTTGAGAACATAGCCTGAAACAAGCGTATGATTTTAAAACAATCATGCAAAGAGGACAAGGATTGAAAAGATCAATAATGAAGATAAAAGCAACAACAACAAAATGGCAGAACTAGTTCTTTTCCTACTTCTGGTATAATTTCTTCTTAGCCAAAATATGTGATAAAAATGACAGTTTAATAAAACCTAACAAGATGTCAGTTAAAAGAGAACTACAAAGAGGACTATTTGAAAAAAAAATTCTATCCACTTTCTTTTTTTTTTTTTTTCGAAATGGAGTCTTGCTCTGTCACCCGGCCTGGGCAACAGAGTGAGACCTTGTCTCAAGAAAATTTTTAAAAAGGCAGTATCTTCTGATATTAAGGAAGATGGGTATTTCTAGTGGAATTTCAATAAAAATTTTTCTATAAATAGGGTATAGGACTAAAAAATGAGTATCCTGATTTTTTACTACTTCTTTGAATCTTGGCATCTTTTTCAATTATGTTTCTCATCTATGATAGATATTAAAACCAATAATTAAGATAAATTGAATGTAAACCCATACCTCCTCAGCAGATCTGTAGAACTTATGTAAAAAAATAAAAATACAAAATAAATAAAACCAGACCTTCAAGCATCTTTATTTCCATGATATTAAACCAAGATTAAAAAAAAAAAATCTAACGGTGGCCGGCACAGTGGCTCACACCTGAAATCTCAGTGCTTGGGAGGTTGAGGCAGGAGGGTCACTTGAGGCCATTGGAGTTCAAGGTTGCAGTGAGCTATGATAATGCCACTGCATTCCAGCCTGGGTGACAGAGTGAGACATTGTTTCTTAAGTAAATAACTTTAATGATTACTATTTATAATTGTAGCAAAATATTTAAAAGTTATTAATAAATAAAGTAGTTGGAGTCTCCCTTACTTGCTGACTATAATAGAGAGTCAAAAGAGAAATGCCACATTGAGCCTTGGCCTTTCACATATTAATTCCACTCAAAACAGAAAGATGACTTAGTGGATGTCATATTCTCACCATTTTACCAAACACGTAAGTCATCAGGATCTATATCCTACAGCAAAAAAAAAATAAAAAAAATAAAAAATCAATAAAAACAGGTAAATCACTCTTGTACTCACAGAGGTGGGGAGAAGACAGCAGCTTCCCCCTTCAAACTTCCAAGAGGGCAGAAGTTTTGACAGATATTCCTAACTTACTAGCTGAAGCAAAAATGTACGAGAAAGAGAATGGGTTCCCTCAAAAACAAGAAAATCCCAAAGGTAGCTGGTTACATATATAATATACAAAAATCAATAGCTTTCCCATAAATAAAAAAAAGGTTAAAAATAAAATGAATACAAGAGCTCTTATATTATTACAAGAAGAAAGATTATATACCCAGGGACAAACCAAAGAAATGTGCAGAGCCTGTATGGAGCCAAATGGAGGCTATTTAAGATGACTTCAGTGTATTTTCCCAGAGTCAGCTCAGTTCTTACTTCAGGGAAGACTGCCCAGACACACCCCACCCCGCCAATTAGATAAAATCACTTATTATAAGCTCACTGTATTACCACATCTCTCTCCTCCTTAGCACTTCACAACTTTACATTTATTTGTGCAATTATTTGCTTGATCTCTATCTCCTCTTCTGGATTTCTTAAGATCCATGATTACAGATACATTACTTTAGTTACATTTATATCTCTAATGCTTAGCAGAGTTCCTGGTGTAATAAGTACTCAATAAATATTTGAGTGAATGAATGAGAGGAAAATATATGCCTGTAATCCCAGCACTTTGGAAGGCTGAGGCAGGAGGATCACCTGAGGTCGAGAGTTTGAGACCAGCCTGACCAACATGGAGAAACCCCGTCTCTACTAAAAATACAAAATTAGCTGGGCATGGTGGTGCATGCCTGTAATTCCAGTGACACGGGGAGGCTGAGGCAGGAGAATCGCTTGAACCCAGGAGGTGGAGGTTGTAGTGAGCCGAGATCATGCCATTGTACTCCAGCCTGGACAACAAAAGCAAAACTCTATCTAAAAAATAGATATATACACACAATATATATTATATATAGTATATTATATATATTATATATAGTATATATAGTATATTATAGTATATTATATATATTGTATATTATATATAGTATATTATATATATTGTATATATAATATATATATTATATACGTATATACACATGCTGTGCTTCATAGACAATATTGTAAAAGTTAAATCTACGTAAATTAATCTGTACATGGATTATAATGACAATCAGAATAGCAACACAGCAACAGCAGTTTGTTTTGTTTTGTTTCTGAGATGGAATCTTGCCTGTGGCCCAGGCTGGAGTGCAATGGCGCAATCTCGGCTCACTGCAACCTCCGCCTCTTGGGTTCAAGCAATTCTCCTGCCTCGGTCTTCCATGTAGCTGGGATTACAGGCGCCCGCCACCATGCCTGGCTACTTTTTTTGTATTTTTAGTAGAGACAGTGTTTCACCATGTTGACCAGGCTGGTTTCGAACTCCTGACCTCAAATGATCCACCCGCCTCAGCCTCCCAAAGTGCTAGGATTACAGACGTGAGCCACCGTGCCTGGCCAACAGCAGCATTTTTTGAAACTTGACAAAATGTTAGTATTAGGATTCATCTAGATTCCAGAGTTGCAAATAGTTGCACAACAATGTGAATGCACTTAATGCCACAAAACAGCATATGTAAAATAGTTAAGATGGTAAATTTTTTTTTTTTTTTTTGGACAGTCTCTCTCTGTCGCCCAACCTGGAGTGCAATGTTGCAATCTCGGCTCACTGTAACCTCCGCCTCCCAGGTTCAAGCGATTCTCCCTGCCTCAGCCTCCCGAGTAGCTGGGATTACAGGCACCCACCACCACGCCTGGCTAATTTTTGTATTTTTAGTAGAGATGGGGTTTCTCCATGTTGACTAGGCTGGTCTTGAACTCTTGACCTCAGGTGATCCACCCGCTTTGGCCTCCCAAAGTGCTGGGATTACAGGCGTGAGCCACCGCGCCTGGCCGAAGATGGTAAATTTTATGCTATATAAATTTTACCACAATAAAAAAATCTGGCTGGCAAAAAAAATTTATCTAGAAACATGAGAATAACCCAAAAAAACACTTAAAGAGAAATAAAAGATGCCTTGTTAGAAATTAAAACATATTATAAAGCTACTTGAAACACTTTGTAGCCAGATAATAAATCAATGAAGCTGAATAAAAAATCCGGAAGTAGATTAATATTTATATGGGAATTTAGTATATAATAAGGATGACACTTCAATTCAATGGGTAAAAGATGGATTATTCAACAAGTTTTGGGGAAACAAGAGCACCATTTTTAAAAGGCTGAATTTGAATTATCAATTTCTTTAGAAAACTGGAGAAACAAGTCCTCTCATATGCCACTAGTGATACTATAAATTGATATAATCCATCTAAAGGGCAATTTGACGATATTGATCAACATAAAAAAATCCACTAAAGCTTTGACTAATCAATTTCACTTCCCACAAATGCATAAAGATGTATATGCAAGGATGTCACTCTGTCGCTGTAACGTTTATTTTTAATGTATTTCTAGAAAGAGAGAGAGACAGGGTCTTGCTCTGTCACCCAGGCTAAAGTACACTGGTGTGATCTCAGCCCACGGCAGCCTTAACATCCTGGGATCAAGCAATCCTCCCACCTTAGCCTCTAAGTAGCTGGGACCACAGGGGTGGCCACCATGCGTGGCTATTTTTTTGAATTTTTTGTAGAGATAGGGTTTCACCATGTTGCCCAGGCTGATCTTGAATTCCTAGGCTCAAGTAATCCGCCTGTCTCGGCCTCCCAAAGTGTTGGGATTACAGGTTTGAGACACTGAACCTGGCCCAGAATCTATATTCTTTGACACATAAGAATTGCACATATTTATGGCGTACAATGTGGTATTTTTATAGTATATAATGCATAATAATCAAGTCAGGGTAATTAGTATATGCATCACCTCAAACCTTTACCATATCTTTATGTTGAGAACATTCAAAGTCCTCTTTTCTAGCAATTTGAAAATATGAATAAATTATTTTTAACTATATTCACTCTACGGTGCTATAGAACACTAGAATTTATTCCTCCTAACTGTAATTTTGTATCTGTTAACCAGCTTCTCTCTATTCCTCTCCTCCCCCTATCCATCCCAGCCTCTAGTTACCACTGTTCCACTCTCTACTTCTATTTGGTCAACTTTTTAGCTCACTGTAACTTTCAAAACCTTGCAATATCACTTTAAAAAACAAAGAAAAAGAAAAGAGTAAAAAAAGAAAGAAAAAACCCTTGCAGTGTCCTAAATATACAAATAGAATACTAGCTAAAATGTCTAACAAGAATACTATAATATGCTGGTTGCGGTGGCTCACGCCTGTAATCCCAACACTTTGGGAGGCCGAGGCGGGCGGATCACCAGGTCAAGCGATCAAGACCATCCTGGCCAACACGGTGAAACCCTGTCTCTACTAAACATACAAAAATTAGCCGGGCGTGGTGGCACATGCCTGTAGTCCCAGCTACTTGGGAGGCTGAGGCAGGAGAATCGCTTGAACCCGGGAGGCAGAGGCTGCAGTGAGCCAAGATTGCGCCACTGCACTCTAGCCTGGCGACACAGCGAGACACTGTCTCAAAAAGAATACAATAATATACAGCTATTAAAATTAGGTAGATCCTTCAGATACATTTCTAAGTGAGAAAAACTACAGAGCCATATACATAGCTCACTTTTATTTAAACTAGCTTTTAAAAGGACATATATGTGTATATGTGTGTATATATATACATGTGTATATGTGTATACACACACACACATATACATGTATGTATATATACATATATATACTTATATAATACATATATATGTCACTTTATGTATTTTTAAAAAGTCTACAGAAGAACTGGTTAACAGTGGTTACCTGGGAGGAGTGAGATTATTTGACTTTGGGGGGGGGGGGGGAATTCTAGTTTTCTTTTTTACCTCTCAGTTCTGTTTTAATTTTATTTAACTATGAGTAAGTTTTATTAATTTATGATAAAGTTTTAAAGTATTAATACATCAAAATGGCCACATAAAACAGCTACATGAAAATGTCATGTACCCATTCAGAAATCTTTGCTGCAGTCCCCCTTTACAAAAAAACTGCCTCTAAACTCTGAGAGCAGGGTCTCTGAACAGAATAAATACCACATAAAAACTTGTTGTTTCAGGTATCAATTGTAAGGAGAGATTAGACTCTCCATTGTCTAAAGAAAATTAAAGTCTAATTACAAAGTTGTAAAGTATTTATGTGTAAATTTAAAAAGACTTCCATCAAAAGGGGCTTCCTTTTTAATACTCAACTAATTAAAAAATAAATCAAATACTTAATCTCAAAGCATTTGGTTAATTTTAATTGATATTTAACTATATATCAATACACTTTAATGTGTAAATTAGTTTTTTTTTCCCCTGGGGAAAACTACTATTCCTCTCTTGTGTGCTTACACATATTACTATTTTTTCCAAAAATAAATGTAGGTTTCATTCTACTGAGAACACTCTTTATAAAAATATCAGATTCCTATTCTAGAAATACCATACAGAGAAATGGGACAATCTTTTTTAAAAAGTGCCAACCTCTATCAACAGAATTTGTATTGAGCATTTATTTGTGAAACATTTATATATTGAGAGCTTTGAAAAAGGCAGGTTATGTAGGTTAAGATCCATCAATATTCCTAATGATGGCTTGGGAGGTAATATTGGAAATACCTATAAAGCATTAGTCATGCCCTCTTTCAAGCAAGAAGAACTGTGGAAGTCTGGCAACAAAAGTTTCCAAGCTGGTAATATGTAATACATTTCAGACTGTTATAGTTTGCACTGGTAATTAATAATTAATACATTTCAGACTGTTATAGTTTGCACTGGTAATAATTAACAATTGGAAAGTCTTCATCCTCTTGCTATTGATTTTAGACCCAGAAAAACATTCTTCACCTCTGCTCAGTCCTTGAGCAGATGAGATTCCTCATGGGAATCTTAAGCTCCAATAGCATGAGAGTTGTGCATTTCTTTCCAGCTGTTCACTTTTATAATTATTATGGCACGAATTAGTGGGGTTTTATTCTGCAAAAAAAAGAAATGTCTTTTTTTTTTTTTTTTTTTTTTTTTGAGACAGAGTTTCGCTCTGTCACCCAGGCTGGAGTGCAGTGGTGTGATCTCGGCTCACTGCAACCTCTGCCTCCTGGGTTCAAGCGATTCTCCTGCCTCAGCCTCCCGAGTAGCTGGGAATACAGGCACACCACCACGCCTGGCTAATTTTTATATTTTTTAGTACAGATGGGGTTTCACCATGTTGGCCAGGCTGGTCTTGAACTCCTGACCTCAAGTGATCTGCCAGCCTCAGCTTCCCAAAGTGCCTCTCTCCTTTTAAACCAAATTATTTGTAAGGAGTATTTTTGAGAAAGGAGAAATTATTGTTTTATATTGGCAGTGCCTCAGTAAAACACTGTCAATTTAAATGTTGATAAACATTTAGATTATTTGGAACGTGGTAGTTTATGCTATTGTACAATTATTAATTACCATTAGTGATGTGTGATTTTTCAGCATTAATTAAAATTTGGATATAGGAAAGAAAAAGAATAATGTGCCTGCCTTTTATTGATGGCAATAAATTTAAAACACATTAGAAAATTAAAAATGAATTACAAATATGTTAAACACATGAATTTAAAACTGAATCATAAACATCAACCATTTCAAAGTTACATGATAATTCTTAAGCATGGGTCATTTAGAGAGTCATACAGTTACAAGACAAATTAAAGAAAGTAAATTTAGGAGAAGGAACTAAGATGTCACTCTTAAGAGTGTAAAAAATGCTTTGAAACTGATGGTGCAGATGTTTATTAAACCAGTACTACGATTTTCATTATAAATAAAATGTTGATTACTAAAGAGCATTTTCAATTTTTATCTTTAAAAAAAAAGAAAAATCAATGATCTTGGCCAGTTATACCAACACAAAATCACACAATTATTGATCTAAATGGTGGGGTCTTAGACCTTCCCTTGCCGATACAATGTTGACAAATGCAAAGCTGGCACTTCCAGCTTCGTGCCCATAGCACAGACTGGTGGAAATTACAAGGACCAAATCAGAGTCAGCAGAGAAGGTAAGGGAGGGCCTTGGGTAGCGAGCACAGGTTCAGCCAAGTCAGCCCTATGACATGTAAATACTGGCTAAATAGCCTGTTTTCTGACCCTGCATTGATATTATACAAAGAGGCTAGATTTTACTTACTTTAGGTTAAGACCTTAAACAGTCACAAGACTGAAAGGGAGAACTCAGCAAGCAGTAGCATGCTTTCTAGGTGAAGGGATCTTTTTAAGGGATCTGATTAGTTTGAAATGCAGTGTAATATGTAATGGAGCAATGTAAGAGATGTACAAATAAACTTCTTTTAAAAAGAGAAGATTTTTACTTATTTATTTTGCAGGGCAGGTGCTGCAAATGGGAAGTGAGCCAAAAATTAAAACTGTTCCTCACAAATATGTCATAAATTATTGTGTACAGTTTTGACATGTTAGGCATTGGCTCTGCATGCCTGAGACTTCTGAGTTCAAGTCATAGAGAGGAGGTCCTCTCACTTGTGGGGATTGCTGATTTCAAAGGGAATTTTTAGATCCTCAACGTGAAAAGATGATATTTTTTCCAGCTCAAATGTTTTTTTAATAGATCACAGCTGGCCAGTCTGGTCCTCAATACCCTTAAAAGACTGTTAGTCTACCCCGACCACTTGAAAGGGTTTAGCATTAGAGAATCTAGGTCAGGCCAACGAAGTGGATTAGTAACTTAATAACTATGTGGTTTATTTAATGAGAAACTGGTGTTACAAGACATTAACTTGCGTGTGCATCTGAATGACCTAGCGGGCTTGTTAAACAAATTGCTTGGTCTTTGGCCCCCACGTTTTTGATTCAGTAAGCCTGAGATGGGGCCCAGGAGTCTGCATTCCTAACAAGTTCCCAGGTGATGCTGATGATGCATATTAAGAATCACTGCTCCAGGTAGTTCAGCTAATTCCCTTGCCATGGTTCCCTAATATCCTTGTTGTTTGACAAATGCGAGATAAAAAGTAGATTAATGACTGGGTGCACTGGCTCATGCCTGTAATCCCAGCACCTTGGGAGGCTGAGACAGGCAGGTCGCTTTAGCCCAGGAGTTCAAGAGCAGCCTGTGCAACATGGTGAAACACTGTCTCCACTAAAAATACAAAAATTAGCTGGCCGTAGTGGCGTGCGTCTGTAATCCCAGCTACTTGGGAGGCTGAGATGGGAGGATGGCTTGAGGTGGAGGCTACAGTGAGCTGAGATTGCATCACTGCACTCCAGTCTGGGCAACAGTGACATCCTATCTCGAATGAATGAATGAATGAATGAATGAATGAATGAATGAATAAGTAGATTAATGGTACTAAAATTTATTACTTAAGATCAGGTGCTACAGTCATTTGGGAGTTACTGTTCACTTTAGGTTTTACCTTCTTCTTGATTCAAACAGTCTGATCTTAGATTCAATGAGAATTAAAAACTGTATATAATAAAATTCGTTCTAGCATGTACTATCTACCTATTTCATAAATCTTAACCTCGGATACGTACTTACCATCTCATTCCCTAATTCCTTTTTCCCTTTATTCGTTACAATCTGACTACTGCCACTACCACATACACCATTGAAATTGTTCTCTTCAAGGTAAACCAGAAACTCATGTAAGATGTCTGCCTTCAGCCTGAATCTCTTTACTAGTGTTTGATATTGTTTATTGATCACTTTGTTCTGAAAACTCTCTTCTCCCTATCAGTGTGGATTTTAGGGACCTTTTCATTGGCTCCGTCGTCTTCTATCTCCTCTCCCCCTTTCCCTAGGCAGACATCATTAACTGATCGTGGCACTCCTAGGGCTTCACAGCATAACCCAGCAGGAAAATGCTCTTAGTTGATTGGTGTTTGTCTGTGAGATGAAACGTGTTGTGAAGGCTCCAAACTATCTCCAGGCCAGGCACTGTGACTCACACCTGTAATCCCAGCACTTTGAGAGGCCAAGTGGGGGGAGATCACCTGAGGTCAGGAGTTTAAGACCAACCTGGCCTACATGGTGAAACCCCATCTCTACTAAAAATACAAAAATTGGCTGGGCCTCGTGGCACATGCCTGTAGCCTCAGCTACCAGGAAGGGAGGCTGAGGCATGAGAATTGCCTGAACCCGGGAGGTGGAAGTTGCAGTGAGCTGAGATTGTGCCACCACATTCCAGCCTGGGTGACAAGAGGGAGACTTCATCTCAGGAAAAAAAAAAAACAAAAATAAACAAGAAGTAGAGGAGAACAGCGAATGGGAGTAGAGCATGTCTGTGTGCTGTTAGGAGTGATTTAGTAGACTGGGAAAAGTTGATGTTTCAGGATAAAGATAACTCCAGGAGAGAAATCCTATATGAACTCCAAGAGATATCATTAATTAAAAAAAATGGGGGGGGGGGGAGTGTGGGGAGGGGACTTGCAGAATACGTACAATATATTTTTAAAAACCTAAACTTTATATAACACAATTATATATTTCAATATATGTAAACATATAAACACACACACACACACAGAATATATACTCCAAACTGGCAACAGTAGTTAATTCTGAGAATACAATTATTATAGTGGGCAAAGGAGGACTTTTTTTCCCAAGTATATAATATATTGCTATTAACTATAGTCATCACGAGTTAAAATAGATCTCTTGCACTTATTCCTCTTGTCTGAAATTTTCTTTCCGCTCATTCATTGATGGACACTTAGGCTACTCTAAGTAATGCTGCAATAAACTTGAGAGTGCAGATATTTCTTTGATATACTGATTTCAAATCCTTAGAATATATATTCAGCAGTGAGATTACCGGATCACATGGTAGTTCTATTCTTAGTTTTTAAATATCTCCACACTGTTTTCCATAATGGTTGTACTAAAAAGAGGATTTTTGCTGTTCTTGCCATTTGAATAATAAAAAAAAACAACCCAGCAATGTATCTATAGATATCTTGTGTAATTTTTTGTAGCAAGTAACTTCTCATTTCCATGAAATAATTTCACTATATAAGAAAACAGCTGACTGACATTCAAGAATAACCTCATGTTTTCTAGCAGAATTTCTTATGAAATTTAAAAAAGACTTTCTGCAATAGGCACTGTTACATTCTAGAAATGTTCTAATAAAGGTACTGATTTTTTTTGTTGTTGTTGTTTGTTTGTTTGTTTTTTGAGACAGAGTCTTGCTCTGTTGCCCAGGCTGGAATGCAGTGGTGTGATCTCGGCTCACCACAACCTCTGTCTCCCAGGTTCAAGCAATTCTCCTGCCTCAGCCTCCTGAGTAGCTGGGATTACAGGTATGTGCCACCACAACCGGCTAATTTCTGTATTTTTAGTAAAGACAGGGTTTCACCATGTTGTTTAGGCTGGTCTCGAACTCCTTACCTCAGGTGATCCACCCACCTCAGCCTCCCAATGTTCTGCTTATTTTTAAAAAACCTTTATGAATAATGTGATTTGCAATTTAAAAATTTATTACAAGGATCTCATTTTCCAAAATATGATTCTGTAAAGTTCATATGAGATTTATGAGGTAGTTTTACATTCTTTTTCCAGTTTCTCTTTTCTTAGTTCTGAATGAGATTTCTAAAGGAGAGATTTTCTTCTCTGTTTCCTTTACATATCCATCTCTGTAGCTGGCAAGATTTGTTGAATGAATTCTAGAATTACTGAGGTCTTTGGGGTCTAATCTGTCCCTCTCCCCCTCCCCCACTTTTTTTTTTTAAACAAAGAACTATCCGTTTAGAGCCACTTCAGCTCAGAACTACTTAGATAGTAGGTTGGATTAGGTTACTTAGGTAAAGTGACCTATTAGTTACTTTAAACCTTGAGATTTAAACAAAAGTTATGACTCTTCTAAAGCAATTACCTCACTTTCTTTGGTGAAACTTGTTAATTTCCTTAGAGGGGTGTATATACAAACTTTTTAGACAGGAAAAGAGGGGAAGGTTGCTTCAGTGACAAGACATGCTCTCCCAACTCTATTCCCTCAGTGAAGGTGCATTAAAATTCTTTTTGTTAAATTCCAGAATCCTAATAGAAACAAAAATACTCCATTTCTTTTTGCACACTTGATCTAACAGAGTTTATTAAATTTTAATAGTGAAAGGGCTCTTAGAGAACATCAAGTCTTACCTCTTCATTTTATCTGTGAGGAAATCATTTATCATTCTGGTGCTAGTACCTAGTTGAAGGAACTTACAATTATAGTTCAAGACAAAACAAAGTCAAAACAAAAATCCTGGTCCTCTGACTTCAGTTAAACACTTTTTTTTTTTGAGACAGGTTTTCACTTCTGTCACCCAGGCTGGAGGGCAGTGGTGTGATCTGGACTCACTGCAACTCTGCCTCCTGGGCGCAAGGGATTCTACTGCCTCAGTATCCCGCGTAGCTGGGACTACAGGCATGTGCCACCATGTCCGGCTAATTTTTGTATTTTTAGTACAGACAGATTTTCACTGTGTCACCCAGGCTGGCCTTGAACTCCTGGATTCAAGCGATCCATCCTCCTTGGCCTTCCAAAGTGTTGGGATTGCAGGTATGAGCCACCACACCCAGCCTCAGGAAAAAAAAAAAAAAAAAAAAGACACAGAATGGGAACATGAAAGTCAGTACAGGTTTGGCACCAGCATCTTCACAAAGAATAGAATTCAACGCAAACATTTTCACAGTAAGTCAATAAAGTGGTACGTCAGGATTTGGGAAATGCCACTGTTTGCAAGCACAAATCTAAAGTCTGTTTTATGACAGACTTGCAAGGGCAAGAATATGGTATAACATATCATGACTTGGAAAAGCTTAAAGCCTCCCAAAGACAGAAATCTGTAATCTTTCCCCCCTACTTAGGAAACTATCTCATGGAAGAGTCACCAAAGTTTTCTTTGAAATGGGAGTTTCAGGTTGATACATAAGGAATGGCTATCTTTACAGATCGGCAATGGCTAGTGACATGTTTGTGAGCCAATTATAAGGTAAATGTAAGTCAGTATGGTCATCATGTCTTTTTTTATAGGTAATAGACAAACTAATGAGGAAGCCATTAGCCTCTCTGGAATAATACCAAATCAGGAAGAAAGTAGGTGGTTATGGGTGTATTGTGGATTACCTTACAGATGCGGAACATATTCAGGGTATCTCTGTGATTCTGTTAGAAAACATTCTTCCTACACCCATGCCACAATCTTCACCAACAGTTGAGATTAGCCAGATGTGTGGTCAGGTCTGATCTCAACGCATAAAGGGAATCTCATGATCTCTTAAGTATGGTGGGATGAGAAATAAGTTCAAGAATACAGTTCCATAGTGAGCAGCAGGTATATTCAAACCTACCCCTAAAGCCCAAAGAATAAGGCTAACAAATCCAATTTCTCAGAAAGAAAATATTTCACAGAGATTTGAAAACATAAGCAGTATCTCGGACAACTGCGAGATGGTGGATCCTCACACCCGTCCTCCAGAAATTATCCTTTAGAAAGCAAGCCTTGGGCCAGGCACGGTGGCTCACGGCTGTAATCCCAGCACTTTGGGAGGCTGAGGTGGGCAGATCACTGGAGGTCAAGAGTTCGAGACCAGCCTGGCCAACATGGTGAAACCCTGTCTCTACTAAAAATACAAAAATTAGCCATGGTGGCACATGCCTGTAATCCCAGCTATTCAAGTAGGCTGAGGCATGAGAATCGCTTGAACCTGGAAGGCGGAGGTTGCAGTGAACCGAAATCATGCCACTGCACTCCACCCTTGGTGACAGAGCAAGACCCTGTCTCAAAAAAAAAAAAAAAAAGAGAAAAGGAAAAAAAGCCTTTAGGATAAAGACATGTGCAGCTGTTACTTTCTTGTGGAAACTTGTGACTACTGGGGAGGTCAGATAAGCATCTTTATGAGGGTTGTTACAGGCATTGTTTAGAGAACTTGCTGCAGAACACTTTGGCATGCAGAGTCAAACATTAGTCATTATGGAGATTTCACTTCAAGATGTTATCACTCTTGCCATGCAACAGGCTATTTTCCTACAAACACCAACTTTATTCCCAGAGCATACCTGCAAATCCTAGATGGAGTATCTTGGAAGCTCGTCTTCCTTGTAGAACACATTGTAAACTCCTGGTCTGTAATAAAAGTAGCTAGGTCTGCAGACTCTTAACCTAATGACGTCAATCCTCATGGCCTGTGCGTAGGTTTCCAGGTAAGTCATTAGTTTGTTATACAACCTTCTTGTGAGGGCTTGGAAGGTGAGGGGAGTATAGCTTCACATCCAAAGTTCTCCTAACTTCCTGGGGACTCCTCTTCTAAATAACAGCAATTATAGCAGTCATGATACCATGTCACCAAAATTCACACCTTTGGGATTTTTCATATAAAATCTAGGATTAATATAAAAATTGCCTTTTTCTCCTCTTAATAAGTAAACATGTAATTGTCTTCTGCTATCAGATTTTAAAAAAAAACCAAACACTTAATAATGAAGTATATATCAAAAAATATTTTTGATTACCTTCACATTAGGTGTAATTTCACTCATGAGCTAAGTGAGTAATAGTGCAGCCCTTCTACTGGCAAAGAAAGACACCACTTCACCACACCTATTGTTTACTGGATATTTTAACAAGCTCTTCAACTTTACTCTTACTACTCCCTTGTAGGTACCCTGATGCTCCAGACAAACTACTATTTGTTTGCCAAACATGTCTAACACATTCCCATCTCCATGCTTTGGTTCATCCAATTTCTTTTTCTTTTTTGAGATGGAGTTTTGCTCTTGTTGCCCAGGCTGCAGTGCAATGGCGTGATCTCGGCTCACTGCAACCTCTGCCTCCTGGGTCCAAGCGATTCTCCTGCCTCAGCCTCCCAACTAGCTGGGACTACAGGCACCCACCACCATGCCCGGCTAATTTTTGTATATTTAGTAGAGACGGGGTTTCACCATGTTAGCCAGGCTGGTCTCAAACTCCTGACCTTGTGATCTGCCCACCTCAGCCTCCCAAAGTGCTGGGATTACAGGAGTGAGCCACCGTGCCCGGCCAAATCAATTTGTTATTTTAAAAATTTACAACCTTTGTTCATGAATACTTTACAAAAGATTTTGAGAATATACTGCTAAGAAGCAAATATTTAAAAATTCTTATTTGTAAAGCTATTTAAAAAATTTTATGGTGACAAATGTTGCAGGATTATTATTCAGTTTTTTTACTTTTAAGATTGTTATCACAGATTTCAACCAGTGTTATTAGTCTGTTCCTGCATTGCTATTAAAAACTACCAGAGGCCAGGCGCGGTGGCTCACACCTGTAATTCCAGCACTTTGGGAGGCTGAGGTGGTTGTATCTGCTGAGGTCAGGAGTTCGGGACCAGCCTGGCCAACGTGGTGAAACCCTGTCTCTACTAAAAATACAAAAATTAGCTGGGAATGGTGGCATGCACCTGTAGTTCCAGCTGTTCAGGAGGCTGAGGCAGGAGATTCACTTGAACTTGGGAGGCAGAGGTTGCAGTGAGCCAAGATCATGCCACTGCACTCCAGCCTGGGTGATGGCAAGACTCTATCTCAAAAGAAAAAAAAAAGAACCTACTGGAGACTGGGTAATTTATTTAAGAATAAAAAAAAAAAGAGGTTTAATTGGCTCATAGTTCTACCAGTGGTACAGAAGGCCTGGCTGGGAAGCCCTCAGGAAACTTACAATCATAGCAGAAGGTAAAGGGGAAGCTGGCACATCTTACATAGCTGGAGCAGGAGGAAGAGAAGGTGAAGGGGGAGGTGCCACACACTTTTAGATAACCAGATCTTTTTTTTTTTTTTTTTTTTTTTTTTTTTTGAGACGGAGTTTCGCTCTTATTGCCCAGGCTGGAGTGCAGTGGTGCAATCTTGGCTCACTGCAATCTCCACCTCCCGGGTTCGAGTGATTCTCCTGCCTCAGCCTCCCGAGTAGCTGGGATTACAGGCATGCGCCACCATGCCCGGCTAATTTTGTATTTTCAGTAGAGACGAGGTTTCACTATGTTGGTCAGGCTGGTCTCAAATTCCTGACCTTAGGTGATCCGCCTACCTTGGCTTCCCAAAGTGCTGGGACTACAGGCGTGAGCCACCATGCCCGGTCAACAACCAGACCTTATGAAAACTCACTATCAGGAGAACAGCCAGAAAGATATCTGCTCCCATGATCCAATCACCTCCCATCAGACTCCTCCTCCAACACTGGGATTACAATTTGACATGAGATTGGGTAGGGACACAAATCCAAACCATATCAACCAAAAATGAGCAAAAATACTGTGCATTAAAATGAGTTTGGTGAATGCTTCCCCTCAAATTAACCCAGATGAAAAAGGAGAAAAACTCTTAAATAGTAGGAAAATTATAATCCATCTTATTGTCACCAACCCCACTGATCCTCTGAATTTGGGCCTGGAGACCTTTGGAGACCAGGGTAGCCTTTCACTTCACTGAAGTAAAAAAAACACTTGATATTTAAGCTCTGAATATATTTAATCTAGATTTTAATTATAAACATCACTTAACATTTTTAAATGTAGTTGGTTTTATGAAAAATTAAAGATCAATTGTAAAAAATAATATTCTCGGGAACATAATTATTTATTACTAGAAACTAAAAGTTATATCCCTGTATATACACAATATTTTCTTTTCAGATTTGATTTCAAGTTTAAAAAAAACAAAATCTTAAAACTAATTTGAGTACAAATCACATTCATACAATGGGGTACTGTAGTAATTACATACAAAACTTTCCTAGAATTAAATTATTAGCCCTTCAATATTTGCATGAAAAGTGACAAAATCCTTACTAAACTGGAAGCATTCATTTACAACCTAAACTTTTAAAACAGGTAGACTATTAAGCAATATTAAAATTTTTAGATCATTAATCTCTTTAAGAATCTGATGAATGCTGTAGAAATTTTCCCCAGAAAAATGCACATATTGAAGCCTAAGGACTGAATAATCGTGTAATTCATTCAACATATCCTAATTGAATGCCTACTGTGTCCCAGGGATCCAGAAGTAAAAAGATGCATAAGGTCTTTTTCCTCATGAAGCTTACGTCATAGGGATAATGACAGAAAATGTAAAAAGTAAATAATACATAATTATAGACTGTGATTGATATGCTTTGCCTTTGTGTCCCCACCCAAATCTCACCTTGAATTGTAATAATCCCCACAAGCAAGGGCAAGACTAGGTAGAGATACTTGAATCATGGGGGCAATTCCCCCATGCTCTTCTCGTGATAGTGAGTGAGATCTCATGAGATCTGATGGTTTTATAAGGGGCTTCCCACTTCGCTCGCCACTCACTCTTACTGCATCCTACCGCCCTGTGAAGAGGTGCCTTCTGCCATGATTTTAAGTTTCCTCAGGCCTCCCCAGCCATGCAGAACTGTGGGTCAATTAAACCTCTTTCCTTTATAAATTACTCAGTCTTGGGCAGTTCTTTATAGCAGCATGAGAATGGACTAATACAGTGGTAGATTTCACTGATAGATACAATAGATTTCAGTTATCCTTTGTCCTAATTTAGGACAAAGGATAAACCTCAACTCTGAGGAATTTTTTAAAAAATCCTTATATAGTAAGCATTTTGTCACTTTTCATGCAAATATTGAGGGGCTAATAATTTATTTCTATTGTGAGAATTTTTTTTTTAAAAAAAGAGAATCCATTTTATATCTCCTAAGAAAATGTCATCATACAAAAAATAAAATATTTAAAATTTATTTAATTTTTAGAAAACAGGAAAAAAATCTTAAAAAACAAAAATATTATCATATCCTGTTGCTTGCTGTACCAGAGAATGAGCTTTCTAGACATCCAAGGAGAATGCAACAAAACTAAAAATGATGAAAGGAAAAAAAAAATACTCTCTTAGGGGCTCTGGAGCAATGAAAGAATCTGGTTTTCATATTTATAGGCAAGAAAGCTTTCACAATCACTAAGGGTTTTTAGCATGCACAGTCAGTACAACAGTTATCAAAGTATATTTTATTCTGCTCATAGACTGCTGCTGTCAGATGTAGAATCCCATATTTGGGAGAGAAAGGAAGCAAGGGAAGGGCAAATTAGGAAAAGCCAGCTAGTTGAGATTTAAGAATTAACATTTCTAGCCTGGCACAGTGGCTCACCTCCAATACCAGCACTTTGGGTGGCTGAGGTGGGAGGACTGCTTCAGCCCAGGAGTTCAAGACCAGTCTAGGCAACATAGTGAGGCCCCATCTCTATAAAAATAGAAAAATTAGCCAGACATGGTGGTACATGCCTGTAGTCTCAGCTACTTGGGAGGTTGAGGCAGGAGGATGGATTAAGCCCAGGAGGTAGAGGCTGTAGTGAGCAGTGATCATGCCATTGCACCCCAGCCTGCATGAGAAAGCAAGACCCTATCTCTAAATAAACAAATAAACACATTTATTTCCTTAAACACTTTTATTTTTTAAAAAGTTTATTTTTCTTTGAATTTTCCCTCCTGTGTGTCTCACAAGGAAGGCTTGCTTCCTTATAAAGAGATCTGGTGGGCTTAAAATGAAGAGCTTTCTAAAAGTCCTTCAAAATTAGCATGTTAAAATTTTTATTGTGCTATGTATAACTTATTATAACCACAACCAGAATTCAAGTGTAAAAGTTTTTTCTTTTTTCTTTGAGATGGAGTCTCACTTTGTCACCCAGACTGGAGTGCAGTGGTGTGATCTCAGCTCACTGCAATCTCCACCTCCTGGGTTAAAGCAATCCTCCCATCTCAGCTTCCCGAGTAGCTGAGACTACAGACATGTGCCACCATGCTCAGCTAATGTTTTTGTCTTTTTTTTTTTAGTAGAGACTGGGTTCACCATGTTAGCCAGGCTGGTCTCAAACTCTTGACCTCAAGTGATCTGCCCGCCTCAGCCTCCCAAAGTGTTGGATTACAGGCGTGAGCCACCGCGACTGGCCAAGTTTTTTCTTTTTAACTTACATATATATTTCAAAAGGAATGGAAGAACTTGATCAAATAACGAGAAAATACCCAGCACAGTAATATCTACTAATTACTTTTTCTCAAACTGCTACCTCTTCCCTTTCTTAAAAAACCTTATCAAACAACAAAAACCCTCTTCAGAAAATCTAATGCAGCTATAAAGTAAAATGTTAAAAACTGATCCTTACTGATGTCCAGATTAAACATTTTACTGGCCGGCTGGGATTACAGGCATGAACCACCACACTTGGCCACGTTAGGTTTTAAATCTAGAATAAACATTCCTTGTTAACGAGAACAAAATTGTTTACCAATAAGAAATCTTTGTCATATAAAATTGTGTGATCATATCTTTCTCCACTCCCACTGCTTCACTTGAGTAGCCTTTAAAAATTTTTGTGATTATATATTTTAAAAAACCACTTTAGTATTTACTTATCTTTATTGAATGCTCTGTTAAAATTTGCCTTTAAGGGAATGAATGACAGGGAGGGTGAGGGAAATTTTGCTTTTAAATTCTATTCATTCCACTGAATTCATTTTTATGTTGTCCCTGAAATATATATTTAATAAACACTACTTGTAAAGAAAGCTACAAAATAAAATAAAAATAATTGTGTCAATCTTGAAGTGGCATTGTTTTATATTAGGTCATATAATTAGTTTCTGGCAGACCTGGTTTTTGCAGTTCACACATCATGGCATTTTAAAATTACAAAATAAAATGTCCATATGTTTTATTCTGCTTGAAAAAGTACCTGTTCCTAGTTTTATGATTAATCCTTGACATTCATGGAAAAGCAGTAAATTACCTACAATACTATTAGTCACATTTTACTGAAACAATTTTGTGCATAAGCTTTTTAAAAGAAATATGAAACTTTTTACTAAAAGTACAATGTTAGAAATAATCATAAATGGAACCAAAGCCAGTTTGTACCTCAAAGAACTTCTTCAATGTCTTCTATTGCCAAAACAGCACTTTGATTTTGGACAAAACGCTTCAGAGGAAATATGTGCTAGAATGAAAATCCAAGACATATTTTTAAAATCTCTACCAGATAAAACAGAAACAATTGCTCGGAAGGCAAACAAAACAAAGCAAAACCTTCTTTAATCTTCAATTTGGCTTTTATTTTAAAATACATTTAGCATAGAACTGTCATAGGACAGAAAATAATAAAACACAAATGGAACATTTTCAAATACCTTTTAAGCTAGACATAAAAATCAACAGGATAGCATAGGCCCAAATTATGGGAAACGGTCCCTAAAATTCAATTCATTAAACATACATTTTGAAAGTAAAGCTCTTTTCACATTTTCCAACGTACCAATATTTTCCTACATGCCTTGGTTTCCTTTTAACTAATAAGTAAAGGGTAAATTTAGTTGCTTTACTTAAAATTACCAGCTTCAGTTTTGGTAAAAATTACCATGCCCCTAAATTCTCAATCAGAATTATAAAAATATGAGCTCAAATAGTTATGGTGCCCAAAATAGAAACATCTGAAGTGATAGTTCTGGATAATCATACAGATATTGCACTAAAATCAGTAATTTCATACCTGGTATTTATTTATATGGAAAGTTAATCTCTTCTTTATGAAAAACTTTCTACAAATACACTTACTATTAACGTAAGTACAACCACACTTCAAAATATAAAGGTAGACAGAAAAAAGAATAGTTTAATACTATACGCAAATTTTCCACTGTGAAAATAATAGAAAGTTGAAAAAATAATAGGATCTAAAATACTGATACTAATTTTAGGTTTTATAATTTACCTTAAATAGCCAATAAATGGGTATTAAAAGTTAACGGTGCTAAATCCAATCCTTTCCAAATTATTTAGAAAAATGCTTTGTTTACATATGAAGTATGTGCATTGTCCCATCTATAAATTTCAACGTTTCCATTCACTGGAAATACCTACCTGCAGTATAAACAATCAAGACAATGTACAAAAAATATGTCCTGCTCCTATAACTTACAATGCACAGAAAAATATCTACAAAAAGGGAAGTATTTATCCATTTAGCTTTCTAATAAATTGGTGAGAAAGTTTAGCCCATTCCACATTTCTTTCTAAATAAAGGCTAAAGAGTTAAGGGTAATTTACTTTTATGCCTGTCACCCTGACATACATTTTTTAAAATATTTGCTTGATTATATGTAACTTAAGATAAAGTTAATGTCTTATTTTTACATCACAGTACACATAGCATTTCTTAATTTAGCAACGGAAAGGCACAATTAGCAAGCAATAAAATTCAGTACCTGAATTATTAAACTGACATCCAGAATAGCTGCAAATAAAGTTCATTCAAAACAGTATACAGAACTTAAAAAAAAATCCAAAAACTAATTTTTCTAAAAATTTGGTCCATTAAAAATGCCTCCCATGTTCAACATCATGGATAACATGAAAGGTAATGGCAGTGTAAAAACAGGCAGTAAATCAATGTATAGTAGCATATGCATTCTGGTCTAGTAATTACGCAATTCAATTAGGAAATGGCTCCCATAGTAAATAAATGTTAAATATATCTGTTAATAACAACATACCTGTATGTAGTTCAAATACACAGGCACAACTGTTTGCATATTATTATTGATTTTATAATACACTCCCATAGTTTAAAAAAACACTTAGGTATATTATTTTATATATAATATATATCAGATATATAATTGCATATTATGTACCTTATATATATTATATATAAGTTGAATCCATAATACAAAACTCTCCAAACATTACATGAACATTCTAAATGGATACTTATCATTTTCTCAGTAACGAAATAGCTCAGCTCACCTAAAACAGTATCTGGATGTGCAATGATAAAATGCACTGACTCTTATGAATTTACTTAAATAATTATTTAAGTTAAATTCCTGCAAAAGCCTAATTCTGACCTGGCTTTACCTGGAATATATTTTTGGGTATCAGTAACTGATACCCTCCTTTCTTATCATAAACAATACTTCTCCATCAAGAGATACCAATAAAGAAAAATATGTAAGGAACAAAAAATGTGATGGAGAAACCAACCATTCCATAGGTAATATACCGATAAGGAAGTTCAACTTCCATGTGCTGTCTTGCTTTTCGAATATCATCACACGGTATATTGAAGATTTTGCAGGCTAAAGGAATGGTGATCTTTTTCATTACATCTCTGATTATTAGTACAAATACCATCCCTATGAGGATCCGCAATATGGCTTTTCCAAACAGAGTCACAGTAATGGGGGGCCCAGCTAAAGGTAATGTATCTAGAGAAGGATCTAATACTAGACCCATGTTATAAGTAACATGAGATCCACATGCAATTCCAGCACCACTTCCTAGTATCTCGGCTGTGTCTCCTCGGGATGTGCTCCAGGTGTCAAGAGTGAAAGAAAAGATCCCCAAAGCTAAATGAAGCCCGATGATGATGAATGGAGCATATTTGTGAGTTTGGTTGAAGTTGTCAATCAGGTCCACAAATGGATAGAAGACAGCTAAGATTAAAATGGTATATAGGAATCCAGCAATAATATCCTAGGAAAAGATAAAAGTATCGTTGTTTAGTATAATACTGAATATTTTTGGCATTTAAAAAATAATTTATATTTGACATTTCAAATGTTGAATATACATAAATTTTTTAAAGTTGTCAAATTCTCAAAGTAAACTTTATTAACTGACCATATAAGAGGCACTAAAAGCTGTATTAATAATAAAAGGATTTATATTTTCATAATTCTACCCTTTTATAAATTAACTACATATATAATATCCACAAATTTACATTCAAATTCTGAACAACAAATTATGCTAAAATTGTGTAGTTTTGATTTCTGGGGAAAAGTACACTTATTATTCAAAGAAATGGTTTTCATTTTCATATGTTTATGTATGTAATTATCTCCATGACCACACAGGATATACATCCTAGGTAATTTTCTTTTCTCATTCATTCATTCATTGAACAAATATTTATGAGTGCCAACCCCTATTTTAGGGGTTGAGGATACATTGCTTTAAAAAATGACAAGAATGTGGCTGGGCAAGGTAGCTCATGTCTGTAATCCCATCCCTTTGGGAGGCTGAGGTGGGTGGTTCACTTGAGGCCAGGAGTTCAAGACCAGCCTGGGTAACATAGTGAATCCCTGTCTCTACTAAAAATGCAAAAATTAGCCAGGTATGGTGGCTCCAGCCTGTGATCCCAGCTACTTGGGGATGGAGGCATGAGAATCGCTTGAACCCAGGAAGTGGAGGTTGCAGTGAGCCAAGATCATGCCATTGCACTCCAGCCCGAGTAACAGAGCAAGACTGTTGATAACCACATAAGAAAGCAGATAAATATTACAATTTCAGATTGTTATGAATCTTATGAAGAAACTAAAACAGGACAACAGAATAGTATGATGAAGGACCCGATTAGAGTACTGATTGATTAAGGAAGCCTGTCTGAGGGTGGTGACAGTTGAGCACAGATCTGATTCTAAAGGGAGCCTATATTTAGAGGCAGAGGAAATGTGTACCAGGTAGAGGGAATATCAAGTGCAAAGGCTTTTGTAGGCTAGGTAAGAGAGTAGATTTTATTTCAAAAGTGATAGGAGCTGGGTGCAGTGGCTCATGCCTATAATCCCAACACTTTGTCGAAACTGCTTGAGCCCAGGAGTTGGAGACCAGGCTGGGCAACACAGGGAGACTTCGTCTCTTAAGAATAAAAAGTGAGGTCAGGTGCAGTGGCTCACACCTGTAATCCCAGCACTTTCAGAGGCCGAGGCGGGTGGATCACCTGAGGTCAAGAGTTCAAGACCAGCCTGGCCAACATGGTGAAACCCTGTCTCTACTAGAAATACAAAAGAAAATTAGCTGTGTGTGGTGGCACACACCGATAATCCCAACTACTTGGGAGGCTGAGACAGGAGAATCGCTTGAACCCGGGAGGCAGAGTTTGGGGTGAGTCAAGATCGCACCATTGCACTCCAGCCTGGGCAACAAGAGTGAAACTCCAACTCAAAAATAAATAAATAAATAAGTACATACATACATACAAAAATTAGCCGGGCATGGTGGTACGCGTTTGTAATCCCAGCTACTCAGGAGGCTGAGGCAGGAGAACTGCCTGAACCCGGGAGGCCGAGGTTGCAGTGAACCGAGATGGCGCCATTGCACTCCAGCCTGGGTGACAGAGCAAGACTCTGTCTCAAAAAAAAAAAAAAAAAAAAAAAAAAAATTTTAAAAGAATTGACAACTGTAACTTGATGATGGATTGAATGTGAGAAACAGCAAGAAGAAAGAGAGGAATCAGAGACGGTTCCTAGTTTTAGGTAGGAGCAATTGTGTAGACTTGATAGAAGATGGTTTACTTGAGGAAACAAAGCTATTAAATAACTTTCTGAATCATTCCTGACAACATACAAAAATGTTCCGTATTTCTACCTTACAACAAAACAAAACCCTATGATCTACTATTACTGAAAAACTTATCAATGTTTATATTCACTGTCTCCACTTCCTCACCTCTGATTTTTCTCTAAACTCACCACTACACTGAAACCACTTTTTTCATGGATACTAGAGGTCTTCAAAAACAACCGTCATTTCTTTTTTTTTTCTTTTTTTTTTTTTTGAGATGGAGTCTCGCTCTGTTGCCCAGGCTGGAATGCAGTGGCGTGATCTCAGCTCTCTGCAACCTCCGCCTCCCAGGTTCACGCCATTCTCCTGCCTCGGCCTCCCGAGTAGCTGGGACTACAGGCGCCCGCCACCATGCCCGACTAATTTTTTGTATTTTTAGTAGAGACGGGGTTTCACCGTGTTAGCCAGGATGGTCTCTATCTCCTGACCTCGTGATCCTCCCGCCTCAGTCTCCCAAAGTGCTGGGATTACAGGCGTGAGCCACTGCATCTGGCCAGGTCATTTCTTAACAATATTCAATACAGTTAAGCAACAGACTAGTTGCTTGATGTTTCTGTCTTAAAATTTTTTATTATATAGGATTTGATACATAGCAAAATACATGTACAGTATATATGAAACTATAAAATTCATATCTATGAAATCACTTCCCAACAAAAGAACTATAATATTACAAGAATTGTCAAATCTACTGTTGTGCTGTTTCTCAACCTATCACTCTGCATTCCTCCCTGGAGGCAATTTGCAAGCATGAATTTTGGCTTCATAAATACCTGGGATTTTTTGTTTGTTTGTTTTGTTTTGTTTGTAGATACCAGGTTTCACCAGGTTGCCCAGACTGGTCTTGAACTCCTGGGCTCAAGTGATCCACCTACCTTGGCCTCCCAAAGAGCTAGGATTACAGGTATCAGCCACCGGGCCTGGCCATAAATACCTATTTTTTCAAATCGTTTTACCACATATCTTCAAGCAAAATATTATCTAGTTTGGCCCGGGGGTGGTGGCTCATGCCTGTAATCCCAGCACTTTGGGAGGCCAAGGTGGGAGGATCACCTGAGGTCAGGAGTTCGAGACCGGCCTGGCCAACATGGTGAAACCCTATCTCTATTAAAAATACAAAATTAGCCGGGTGTGGTGGCACATGCCTGTAATCCCAGCTGCTCTGGAAGCTGAGGCAGGAGAATCGCTTAGAACCCCGGAGGTGGAGGTTGCAGTGAGCTGAAATTACGCCACTGCACTCTAGCCTTGGTGACAGAGCAAGACTCTGTCTCAAAAAAAAAAAAAAAAATTATCTAGTTTTGCTTCTTTCTGAGCTTTGCTAAAATGTTACAGCAGTCTCTTTTGAACTGCTTTTTACACTTAACATTAAGATTCATTCATTATATTATATGTAGTTATCGGTCATTCACTTTCACAATCATGTAATATTCTGCTGCATCATTATACAATTTATTGGTTTTCCCACTTATGGTCATTTAAGCTGTTTTTGGGTTTTGGATTAGTTAATTGATTACGGTTGAACTTGAATGCTTCTCTGTTTTTTGTTTTGTTTTGTTTGTCGCCCAGGCTGGACTTTGGTGGCACAATCTCAGCTCACTGCAACCTCCACCTCAAGTTGTCCTCCCCACTTCAGCCTCCTGAGTAACTGGGACTACAAGCGTGCATCACCATGCCCAGCTAGGCTAAGTTTTGTATTTTTTGTAGACAAGGTTTTGTCATGTTGCCAAGGCTGGTTTCCAACTTCTGAGCTCAAGCAATCCACCTGCCTCAGCCTCCCACAGTGTTGGGATTACAGCTGTGAGCCACTGTGACCGGCTGGGCTATTTCTTTTCTATGCAATAAAAATTGTGTCATGAAATGACAGGGTCCGCAGTTGCAGTGCTTGAAGCCATTGTTCTAAAAGAGATATAACTCCAAATCGGAACACTTTGGAATATAAGAATAGCTGGAGAAGAAGATACAGATAATTATGAAAAAGAATACAGTTGAACATTCAACTATAAAATGGTAGGGAAATAGACTATGTTTTGTTCAACCTCAAATATTTTTTGGATGGATGAATGAATGAATAAACAAATCCTTCACATGAATTTGTTTTGTCTAGCAGAATCTACCAAATTACTTGTAAATGAATATCTTTCCTCTCTTTAAATGATGTACTACATGATAGATATAAGAAAATATTTTATTTATTTATTTATATGAGACTGAGTGTCACTCTGTTCCCCGGGATGGAGTACAGTGGCACCATCTAAGCTCACTGCAGCCTCTACCTCCTGGCTTCAAGCAATTCTCCTGTCTCAGCCTCCCAAGTAGCTGGGGTTACAGGTGTGCGCCACCAACCACACTCAGCTAATTTTTGTATTTTTAGTACAGACAGGGTTTCACCATGTTGGGCAGGCTGGTCTCGAACTCCTGACCTCAGGTAATCTGTCCACCTTGGCCTCCCAAAGTGCTGGGGTTACAGGTGTAAGCCACCATGCCCAGCCATGAAAAACATTTTAAAAATTTTATTTAGATATAAAACATAGTTTGGCTGATAGTCTCCTATTGTACAATAGTAAGTAAATAAAGTTGCTTAAAATTATAATTGTATTCTCTTTATTTAAATAAGTGATTCCTTTTATAACAGGTCAAGGAAAGATATTACACAATCAATTAACAAAATGTTTACGCTCGATCTTAGCCAAAAGGCTGAGAGGTGATCAATTAACAAAATGTTTAGGAAAGTGTCAACTAAGGCAATAAATATCATGTGTGCATTCCAACTCTTAGAAGGACATATAAAGCATTTCATAACTGAGTTTTGTCTATCATTAAGTTTCATTTAATGCCAGATCCCAAAATGAATTTATAGACTATTTCTTCTTGTCTTAGAATTATCTTTCCTACCTATATTTCAGGCAAACTATTATATATTCTTTGAGATTCTCCTCAGGCATCTACCTCCTCCATAAACTTTCTTCTCCTACCCTGTAATAAGAAATTTTCTCTTCTTTGATTCCACTGCATCCTCCACATACCTGCTATGACTGTTTTCCATTCTTTGCTTGTCTGTTTCTCCAGGAAACCAAAAGTTCATAACCCTTGCTGTAGATTAAAATCAAGTGGAGAACTTGATAAAAATACTGATGCCTGGGACAATATTCAGAGATTATGATTGAACTGAAGTGGGGGTAGGGCATCAGTATTTTTTAAAAATCTCCCCAGTGATTCTGATGTACACCCTGGTTGAAAACAATTGCATTACACTGTTTTATTACATACTGCATATTTAGACAATGACTACTCAAAGGCAAAGACTTTACCTTATTTATACATATATTTTCAGTGCATGAAAAATAAGTAAGCAGGAAATAAATGTTTGGTTAGTTAAATTAAGACAGTTAAGGTAATTCTTTAAAAATAAAAATAAAAAACAAAAAGAGAAAGAAAAAAAAAGAAGAAAGGAAGAAAGAAAAAGAGTTAAGGTATTCTTTAGACTCATCACATTGACTACATAATCCTGCCTGACAAGAGCTCTATAAGAGAAGCAGATGATATATAATTTATTGAACCAGGCCTAAGACATTTTTGGAGAATAATAACTTTCCGTACTAAAAACACTGCTTCAATACTTTACAATTATTGTCACATTTAACCATAACAACCAATATGAAACAGCTTGCCTCGAAAAGTCCCATTTTGCTCTTGTCCCCAGGACAGGTATTAAAAGCACCTTTTTCCCTTTCAAAAGTGTGCAAATTTGATGGAAATTTATGGTTACCTTAATCAACCAGTTTTTAAATAATGAAAACTGGAGTAAGGTCACACAGCTGCTTATTTAACCTCTTACATTGAAGGTACTTGACACAGTTGTTATAAAAATTAACATTTTGAGAATCAGAAATTAAATATTGGGAGTGAAGAGAAACTAAATGTTCAACTTCCTTTTTTTTTTTTGGAGACAGGTCTTGCCGTGTCATTCAGCCTGTAGTGTAGTGGCGTGGTCATAGCTCACTGAAGCCTCAACCCCCTGGGCTCAATTGATCCTCCCACCTCAGCTTCCCAAGTAGCTGGGACTACAGGCGCAAGCCACCAGGCCTGGCTAATATTTTGTATTTTTTTGTAGAGACAGGCTTTCCCTATGTTGCTCAGGCTGGTCTTGAACTCCTGGGCTCAAGTGATTCACCCACCTCAGCTTCCCAAAGTGTTGGAATTATAGGCATTATCCACCACATCCAGCCTCAACACTTTTTTTTTGAACAGGATGTCTTCCGAGAAAACTCACTGATACATACTAAAAATTACCAAAGAATTCTGATCAACTGGATTTTATTTCAGTTACTCAAAGATTCCACAAGTGACTCAAACTCTGACCATGCATTTGGATAAGGAGATCTCAAATGATGTGACTGTCAAACCTCTATTCTTCATATTTCTTTTTTTGAGAGAGGATCTCACTGTATGGCCATGGCCTAGGCTGGAGGGGAGATCATGGCTCACCACAGCCTCGACTTCCTGGGCTCAAGCAATCCTCCCACCTCCCAAGTAGCTGGGACCACAGGCACACACCACCACACCTGGCTAACTTCTTGTATTTTTTTTTATAAAGACAGGGTTTTGCCATGTTGCCCAGGTTGATCCAGATATCCTGGGCTCAAGTGATCCACCCGCCTCGGCCTCCCGAAGTGTTGGGATTACAGGCGTAAGCCACTGCACCTGGCCAATTCTTCATATTTCAGAGCCCAAATTGCCAAAATAACTTCACCTTATGAGGTTACATTCCCTTTGTTTGCTATCTTACCCTTACTTCCCTACCTTGTAATTAAAGGCACAAGTCTTGGTAAATACCCATAGGATTTTGGCTACAAAAATAAAAGCTGTTGCTTTACTTTTTATCTTAAATTTCATGAGTGATTTAGAATTTCATGTTATATGCTAAAGTGTATATATTCTAAACTTTGTACTTTTCACATAGAATTTATATCAAGTCAGATGTTTCAGACAAATGACAACTGATAAGCTATTTATATAAAGCCATACATATTTACTCTAAGGTTAAGTGAAATGAAGGGTTAACAGCTCTGAAGTTAGCTTTTTATTAATTATTTTTATTTTTATTTTTAGATAGGATCTTGCTCTGTTGCCCAGGCTGGAGTACAGTGGCAAAATCACAGCTTATTGCAGCCTCAATCTTCCTGGCTCAAGCAATCCTCCCACCTTGACCTCGTGAGTAGCTGGGATTACAGGTACAAGCCACCATGACCAACTTATTTTTTAATTTTTTATAGAGACGAAGTCTCCCTACATTGCCCAGGTTGGTCTTGAACTCCTCCCACCTTGGCCTTGCAAATTGTTGGGATTATAGGCGTGGGCTGCTGTGCCCAGCCAGGTATTTTTTTAAATTATGTATTTTTTCATAATAGATATAAGCATATGTTCAATCCTGTAAAATGTTTCTTTTATAGTACCTTAAAAAGTGAAAAAACTGGCCAGGCACAGTGGCTCATGCCTGTAATCCCAACACATTGAGAGGTCAGGGCGAGTGGATCGCTTGAGCTCAGGAGTTCGAAAGCAGCCTGGGCAACATGGCCAAACCCTGTCTCTTCCAAAAAGAAAAAATAGAAAAATCAGCAGGGCATGGTGGTCCCAACTACTTGGGAGGCTGAAGTGGGAAGATCGCTTGAGTCCAGGAGGCAAAGGTTGCAGTGAGCAGAGATTACGCCACTGCACTCCAGCCTGGGTAACAGAAGGAGACCCTGTCTCAGAAAAGAAAAGAAAAAAAAAAAAGAAAAAATTCATTAAATGTCTTTAAATTGTTATGTTTGATCTCTTTAACATTAAGAATTCTTTAAAATAATAACTTCTCATGTATCAATTGACATAAAAAATCCATTATTTGTTGTCCTCTACTTTTTGTGTATAGCTCCACGAGTATTAAACTTAGATTGTTCCACACCTTGTCTGACCAGGAAAAAAAAACAAAACAAAACTTAGATTGCTACGAAACTAGACAAATCTGCTTCCTTTTCTGTTTGAGTTTTAAATTGTTTATATTTCCCTAGATAGGGTATATTGAACTCCTATCCAATAGAATCAGAAAAAGAAACATTCAAATTTACGACATAACCATGTTGGCTATCATTTTGATATCAATATAATGGATAACATTAAAATGTATAACTAAGTGGTTTTAAGTGTTAGAGCACAAAGTATGCAATAAAGAACATTAATGTTAAAGGTAACAAAGAGCTCAAAGTAGCAAATTTTCTAAAAGGAAATTTAGCAAATAATTTTAGCTATTTATTATTATAAATAACTCTTATACCCCAAAATTTGTTAATTACACATCTAAATGGAATACTCCAGGTTATCGTCAATTTATGGTAGATGATATTAAATACCATACATTTAATGAAGATTTATTAGGTATTAAATTTGAAAATTTTTTTCATTTATACTGATCAAACCTAGAGAGGCTAGTGATTTGCTGAGACTGAAATTCAGGTCTCCCATCTCATAATGGCTTTTTTGTTTTTATTTATTTTATTTTATTTTATTTTTTTTGAGAGGGAGTCTCGCTCTGTCGCCCAGGCTGGAGTGCAGTGGCGCGATCTCTGCTCACTGCAAGCTCCGCCTCCCGGGTTCACACCATTCTCCTGCCTCAGCCTCCCCAGTAGCTGGGACTACAGGCGCCCGCCACCACGCCTGGCTAATTTTTTGTATTTTTAGTAGAGACGGGGTTTCACCGTGTTAGCCAGGATGGTCTCGATCTTCTGACCTCATGATCCGCCCGCCTCTGCCTCCCAAAGTGCTGGGATTACAGGCGTGAGCCACCACGCCCAGCCTTTTGTTTTTATTTTAACTATAATATATTTCAGGTGCCCTGGATCCAGTTTAAATATGACAATGACAACAGTTTCTGACAACAAAATGTATTGTTATAATGCATTGTTTTTGATTATAAAAGCTATGATTAGGGATGACTTTTGAAGTATCTATCTTCTTTCATTAAAATACACATTTAATACATGCTCACTACACAAAAAGTAAAAATTATAGATAAACAATAACAAACAGTTTTTAACCTAACAATAACCATTGTTAAAACTCTTAGTGTTAGGCTGGACATAGTGGCTCACATCTGTAATCCCAGCACCTTGAGAGGTTGAGGTGGAACGATCACTTGAACCAGGAGTTTGATATCAGCCTGGGCAGCATAGCTAGACCCTATCTCTACAAAAAATTTAAAAATTAGCTGGGCATTATAGTACATGTTTGTAGTCCTAGACACCCGGGAGGGTAAGGTGGGAGGATCACTTGGGCCCAGGAGTTTGAGATTGCAGTGAGCTATGTTTGCACCATCACACTCCAGCCTGGGTGACAGAGCAAGACCTTGTCTCTAAAAAGGCAAACAAACAAAAAAGAACAGATGTTGTCCATCCTGGATATTTGACTAACCCAACTAAACATTTCATTTTTAAAAAAGAACAGTATCAGCCAGGCATGGTGGCTCACACCTGTAATCCCAGGACTTTGGGAGGCCGAGGTGGGTGGATCACTTGAGGTCAGGAGTTCGAGACCAGCCTGGCCAACATGATGAAACCCTGTTTCTACTAAAAATACAAAAATTATCAGGGCATGGTGGCATGCACCTGTAATCTCAGCTATTTGGAAGAATCCCTTGAACCTGGGAGGCAGAAGTTGCAGTGAGCTGAGATCACGCCTCTGCACTTCAGCCTGGGTGACAGAGCAAGACTCCATCTCAAAAACAAACAAGCAAGCAAACAAAACCAGTATCTTTGAGATTATATATTCAATGTGATCACATAGATTCTTTTTCTTCCTTGTATGATGATAATGAGTCAAGGGATATTATCTAATATCTTTTTCTCCAAGAAATACCAGGAATTCACTTTTTATCACTAAAGATGCATAACCATTTGGTAGTTTTTTCAGAAGTAGTGATGCTAACTTTTAGGGGTGGAACAGAATAACTCTAAAAAGACACAGAAGATAGAAAACATTTTCTTGTAACAAGTATTTGATTTTGCATAAAAATATGATACTTAATCTGATTACAAAATTAGGAGAGATTAGTCAGAAAGAAGTGTATGTAAATTCACAATTCATATTAAATACAAATAATTATAAAAAGTCAAACACAAATAATTTGTTTATTAAAATAGTGTTTAGGGCTGGGCGCAGTGGCTCACATCTGTAATCCCAGCACTTTGGGAGGCCAAGGCAGGTGGATTACCTGAGGTCAGGAGTCTGAGACCAGCCTGGCCAACATGGTGAAACCCTGTCTCTACTAAAAATACAAAAATTAGCCGGGTGTGATGGTACATGTCTGTAATCCCAGCTACTCAGGAGGTTGAGGCACAAGAATTGCTTGAACCTGGGAGGCAGAAGCTGCAGTGAGCCGAGATTGTGCCACTGCCCTCCAGCTTGGACAACAGAGCAAGACTCTGTCTCAAAAAGAAAAAAAAGTGTTTGGTAGGGACTTCAAAAGGAGAGAGGGAGAGCGGGGGGAGGAAAGGGCTGCAAAACTTCCTGTTGGGTACTATGTTCACCATCTGGGTCACAGGATCAATAGACGTCCAAATCTTGGCATCACACAATATACCTTTGCAAACAAATCTGCTTATGTACCCCTTGAATCTAAAATTAAAATTTAAAAAAACCTAGAAACAATGACCAACCCCAAAATTACAGCACACACTGCCTCCCAACAAAATAAAATAGTGTTTGGGACTTCTGGAAATTTATCTGTGAAGGAGCAGGTGCTGGAAGCAAGAAATTTGAGATAGAAACCAACATTTCTATAACTAAGAAATAAGAGAATGAAATAATATGAGAAAAAAAATTCTAAAAATGGTAACATGTTAAGGACAAGAAAAAAACTGACATGACCCATTAGAAACTAGAATTCCATGAATTCTTCCACCTTTTTTTGTGATCCTTTATCTCCATGATAATACATAATTCATTCATAGATGCCTCATGAGACACCATGTTGGATACTAAAGGTAGAGTTAAAACACACAGTTGCTGTTCTCAAGGAACTTGGAGTCTAGTATACTTGACAGATAAGGAAAAAAGCAATTGCAATTTAGGATAAGTGGGGAAGGGTCACCTCACAAGTCTTGAGAAAGAGAAGATGGGGAAGGTAATAAGGCTTTGAGGGGTTAAGAATATCTATAGTGAGTCTTGAAGAATGAATGGGATAGTTAAGGTAAAGAAAGTGAAAGGGGCATTCCAAGTAAATGTTACAGCATTTGTAAAGTTATGGAGGTAAGAAACCCTTTGCATTGGAGGAAACCTAATAATTCAGTATAGCATCGTATTTGTGTTTTGGAAAGTCTACGAAACAGCTGAATGCTAGTGGAGCAGTGTCAAACTGGAAGTTGGCTACTAATTAAGATGCTATCACAGTAATCTGGTCAAGATATGTTGCAGGCCAGAGCTAAGGGGGTGTCAATAGGGATAGCGAGGAGGGAAAGTGAATGGGTGTGGCTGCAAATAGTACAGGGTCCCTGTGCTGCTGCTTTGGGAACCGAATTGCATTCTCAAAACACAATGTCCACTGTGAGTCCTAACATACTGATGGGAAAGAAAAGAAAAGTAGAGTTTAATATGTAAACACAAATGGCCCCTGGAAAGTTTAAGTTCACATAGTTTCTAGTCACTAGTTCTTCAACAATACTTAGGAGCTCTCCTTGGTTTCTGTAGCCACATTGCTGGTTTTGACTCAGTGATAAGAGAGACACAGAAAAGACTGCAAAGGAAAATAAAAGGGAGACTGGAAGGAGGAAGAAATGTTATCTTGATTATAATACCTGGCTATTGTGATTGCTGGAAACTGTTTCTATGAAATATGTGACTACTACATTAATATTTCATAAACCATCATGTTGATATTTTCGCAAAACAAAGTTAGACGACTTACAATATTTTCTCATTTAGGCTTCAGGTAAGTTTGCAAATGATTAAAAATTATAAAATTTCCTGTCAATGTCATAAAAAATAAAGTATTAAGAAGACAACATTTTCCTTACCAGAATAGAGTGCATTCCCATGTAAATTCTACTTAGGCAAACTAGAGAACACCAGCAGGGAATAAGAATCAGTCCATATATAAGAGGGTACTAAAGGGGAAAAAAAGTAAAATTAGTTAAACAAATTTAAGTTAGATATAAACAAACAAATAAAAGACAAATCAAATCACTATTCTATAAAGTCCACTAAAACAAGAAATTTGTTTTTACTCCCCATTGTATTTCCAGCACCTAACCCTGAGTATGGCACATGGCAGACATTCAAGAAATACTTTTCCACAAATGAACAAATGAATGAAATCTCATGTGTCTAAATTCTTTATTGTGGGAACTGGCTCACTTCTGCTTCTACAATGAAGATTCAATCACTGGCATGGTATAGGAGGAGGAGGACAGGTAAGAGACATACTTTTAATATGGCCACCAAAATGAAAGGGCCTCTGGAATAGTACCTGAATCTGGTCCATGTAAATGTCTTCAGTTGTCTGGGGAGGAGGATTGGCATTATCTCCCTCTCACTTCATCAGTGACTGCTATCTCCAATTTATATTGCTATTCCCCTACCTTGCATTCAGTATTCAACACTTTGTACTTAGTTTTTCACTTCCACCCCATTGACTAAAATTTCAAATGGTCCCCTTACTGAGAAAAATTTCCGTGGAATACTAGGAGCACAAATCATAAAAGGGAAAAAGCATAAACAGAAAGTGCAGACAATTCTTGGTATCAATGGCACTAGTGGAAAAGTTGGCTGTGAATGTCCTGAGATTGGAGGGAAAGAGGAAAGGATGGATGGGCATGGTGGTAAGTTTGTAAAGGGAAGAAGGGAGGGCACATTTGGGGCTGTTTATGCCTGATGACTTCAAATTTCTCAATGAAATTGAAGCCAATGTGGTTAGGGAAGTTGGGTTGAAATAAAGGAGCAAGGGACTTAAGTAAGCTTGTAAGAAGAGTAGAAAATATTTAGTACGAAATTGTTGGTTTTTGGTGGTTTGTTTTGTTCTGTTTTTTTAGAAAGACAGGGTCTCACTATGTTGCTCAGGCTGAAGTACTGAGGCTATTCCCAGGTGTGATAATAGCATACTAACACCTTGAACTCCTGGGCCCAAGTGATCCTCCTGCCTTAGCCTCCTGAGTAGCTGGAACTACAGGCAGAGTTGTTTTTTTTTTTGGTTGTTGTTGTTTTTTTTACATATCTACTACATTTAACATGGTCCCTCACTTTCTCCTTGAAACTCTAAATACCCTCGATAGTCATAGCTTCATACTCTCCTGGTTCACCTTTCACCATTTATTTTTTGCTGCATTTCCCACACAAGAGCGTATCTTCCTCTTTTTGTTCTTTAAACATTAGTATACAGAAGGATTCTGTCCTTAGTAGTTACTGACAGTCTTACCTTTTCCTTTTTTTTGAGACAGGGTCTTACTCTGTCACCAAGGCTGATGTGCGGCAGCATAATCATGGCTCACTGCAGTCTCAACCTCCCAGGCTCAAGCAATCCTCCTGCCTCAGCCTCCCGAGCAGCTAGGACTACAGATGGGTATCTCAAACTCCTGAGTTCAAGCGATCCACACACCTTGGCCTCGCAAAGTGCTAAGATTACAGGTGCAGTGAGCCAATGCACCTGGCCCCCTTTCTTATTTTTTTAACTACTTCTAGACTAGGCATGCTGAAGACCTACCCATTTCCCCGGGTTTAAGAACCATATATCCAACTCTGCACATATTTCCACCTTGAGGTCCCTATGGCAGTAAACCCACTATACCTCAAACCAAACTCATCATCATATCACCCACACTTGTTCCTCCTCTGATATTCCCTATTTCATTTGGAAACACCAAAAACCAAGTAATCCAAATGAGAAACATGAATTATCCTTAATTCTTTCCTTAGCCGTTGTATTCAACAAATAATCAAGTTTTACTAATTTTATATTCTAAATATTCCTTGGGAGAATAATTATATTCTTTTCTGGGAGTATAAGTTCCTATTCTTGCTGGAGGAGGCATTAAACAGTAAACACAAAAGCATGCAAATGATATGATATGTAAATATGTATAAGTTATATAAAATATATAAATCATATAATAAAACCTGATAGGTAACATGGAGAAAATAAAAAGAGAACATGTGTTGAAGAAATAGTAATGCTCATTAATATTCCTTGTGCTCCTCCTACATTTTGGATTCACTTACATTAGGGTCATGCAACTAATTTTGGCCAGTGAGCTGGGGAAAAAAGTGACTTATGCCACTTTCAATCTTCCTTTGAACTCTCTCTTTCCTATAGATGTGACCCTGGGAAACTACATGTTGAGATGCATCACGAGACGGGCAAGCTTCCATCAGCCTAGGTCCTTGAGGGTCAAAGTGGACAAAGCTGTTTGCTAACGCATAATGGATTTGTAACACAAGATTTTTTTTTTTTTGAGATAGGGTCTCGCTCTGTTGCCCAGGCTGGAGTGCAGTGGCATGATCTCGGCTCACTGCAACCTCCACCTCTCAGACTCAAGCGACCCTCCTACCTCAGCCTCCAGAGTAGCTGGGACTAGAGGTGTGCCACCACATCCAGCTGATTTTTTAAAAAATATTTTGCAGAGACAGGGTCTCGCCATGTTGCCCATGACTGGTCTTAAATTCCCGGGCTCAAGCAATTCACCCGCCTTGGCCTCCCACAGTACTGAGATGAGAGGCATGAGCCACCACTCCTGGCCAAGATACAAGATTTTGTTATGTGTTAAGTCATTGCAATTTTGGGATTAAGTCATTGCCACAGTATCAACAAGTCTAACTTAATTAAAACAGATATAAAAATAGGGTCATGAGTTTCAGAGTGTAAATGGGGCAGGTTACAGTATTAAATAGAAGATAGTGTAGGCTTTATTGAGAAGTTGAGATTTGAGGCAAGACGGAATGGAGGTGAGGTGAGTATACTTGCCAAGCAGATTATCTGTGGGAATAGCATATACTAGGCAGGCGAATCAGTGAGCAAAGTTTCTGATCACCAAGTATGACTGGCAAGGAGGCTAGCTGTGGCCATAGCAGAGAGAGCAAGTAGAAGAGGTTAGGGAGGTAATGGGGGGCCAGATCAAGTAGAGCCTGGGAGGCCACCATAAGAAAACTGGCTTCTATTGTGAATCAAATGGGGAGCCACTGCAGGGTTTTGAGTAAAGCTGCTATGTAGAGATTAAATTTTAAGAGAGTAAGGCAAAAACAGGAAGACCAGTTAGAAGGCTGTTGGTATAATCTAGGTAAGAGATAACAGTGGTGTCTGTCTCTACAGCAGGGACTTGACCTTTAAAGTCTTTAAAAACCTTTAAAGTCTAATTTTTAAAAAGCTGTTGACAGCAAAAAAAAAAAAAAAAGAACCAAAAGAAGTAAAAAAAAAAAAAAAGTCAACTTTAAAAAAATCTTTCTGCACTTCCTTCTCTAACTTGGACCCTATAAGGAAGTAGAAATGTACAAAATTACTGATAAGAGTTCTTTATACACAACAAACTGAAGAAAAAATCACCTATAGAGTCTCAGAAGCTAGAGGTGAAGGTAGGACGGGGAAGGGTAGAGATTTTAAATAGGAGCAATGAAACCAAGTATGACTTAACCCACATTTATTCAATTTTACGATGTCCAAGGTGTTTAAAAAGGAGAGATGGAATGTTATCAAGCCAGATGCAGAGGCTAAAGAAGCTATGAGGCTTTCCTTTTCTCTGCTCCATGGCACCTTCAGATTTCACTGGGATGAGGTGACTAAAGAAAACAAAATAAGTCATTTTTATTGACCGACTTTTTTTGGTCATTACTCTCCACCTTTATGATATGTTCTCTAGATTTTTTTATGGAAAAAAAATATTTTGGGGCCAAGCATGGTGGCTCATGCCTGTAATCCCAGCAGCACTTTGGAAGGTCGAGGCAGGCTGATCACTTGAGATCATGAGTTTGAGACCAGCCTGGCCAACAGGATGAAACCTTGTCTCTACTAAAAATACAAAAATTAGCCAGGTGTAGTGGCACGCACCTGTAGTCCAAGCTACTTGGGAGGCTGAGGCATGAGAATCGCTTGAACCTGGGAGGCAGAGGTTGCAGTGAGCCGAGATTGCGCCACTGCACTACAGCCTGGGTGAAGAAGTGAGACTCTGTCTAAAAAAAAATTAAAAAGAAAACATTTTGGGGAACACTTGATCCAGTTCTGACTACATGATGACTTTCATATTTACTCCCCATTGAATAACAGAATTCTGAACTTCTAAGTGTCAAAGTAAAAAAGAATTTCATCAGTAAGCAGACAAAAAAGACTACAGATCTTAATGGCTAAAGGAAATAACAGATAAAGTGATATTTTTTTTTACTGTGCCTAATTTATAAATTAAACTTTATCATAGATACATATGTACAGGAAAAAAACAGTATATATAGCGTTGACTACTATCCACAGTTTCAGGCACCAATGGGGGTCGTGGAACATATCCTCTGCTGATGAGCGGGGCTACTATACCCCCATTCACAGACGAAGTGATCCTAAAGATAGAAAATCCCAAATAATCCATGAAGAAAACATATTAGAATTAATAAATGAATTCAGCAAAGTTGCAGGGTGTAAGATCAACACTCACAAATCAGCTGTGTTTCTACATACCAGCAATAAAAAAAAAACCCTAAAATGAAAGTAAGAAAAATAATTCCACTTTCAGTAGCATCCTAAAGAATAAAATACCCATACCTAGGAATAAACTTAACTAAGGAAGTGAAAGGTTTGTCCATTGAAAACTATAAAACATTACTGAAAGAAATTAAAGACCTAATTAAGGCCAGGCACAGTGGTTCATGCCTATAATCCCAGCACTTTGGGAAGCTGAGGTGGGCGGATCACAAGGTCAAGAGATCAAAACCATCCTGGCCAACATGGTGAAACCCTGTCTCCACTAAAAATACAAAAATTAGCTGGGCGTGGTGGCGCGTGCCTGTAGTCCCAGCTACTTGGGAGGCTGAAGCAAGAGAATTGCTTGAACCCGGGAGGCAGAGGTTGCAGTGAGCTGAGATTGCACCCCGGCACTCCAGCCTGGCAACGGAGCAAGAGAGACTCCATCTCAAAAAAAAAAAAAAAAAAAAAAGACCTAATTAATGAAAAGATATCCCATGTTTATGGATTAGAAGACTTAATACATTAAAACTTAATATGTTAAAATGGCACTATTATCTAAAATGATCTATAGTCAATGTAATCCCTATTTAAGTTTTTTTTTTTTTTTTTTTTTTTGGCGGCAGGTGGGGAGTGGGGTCTCGCTTTATCACCCAGGCTGGAGTGCAATCTAGCAGTGGTTCAATCATAGTTCACCATAGCCTCCAACTCCTGGACTCATGTGATCCTCCCAATGCAGCCTCCCATGTAGCTGGGACTACAGGTGTGCACCACCATACCCTGCTAATTTTTTAATGTTTTATAGAGATGGGGGTCTCGCTATGTTGCCCAGGCTGGTCTCCAACTCCTGGGCTCAAGTGATCCTCCCATTTTAGCCTCCCAAAGCACTGGAATTACAGGCCTAAGCCACCATGCCCAGCCCTTCTGTCAAAGTTCTAATTGCATTTTTGCAGATACTGAAAAGCTGATCCTCAAATTTATATGGAATTGCAAAAGGTCCTGAAGAGCCAAAACAATACTAAAAAAGAAGAACAATGTGGAAGGACTCATATTTTCCAATTTCAAAATTTACTACAGTATTCAAAACAGTGTGGTACTGACATAAGGTCAGACATATAGACCAGTGAAATAGAATCGTGGGCCCCAAACTAAACCCATATACGTATGGTTAACTGATTTTCAATAAGAATGCCAAGACCATTAAATAGGTAAAGAATAGTCTCTTTAACAAATAGTGCTAGGACGTCTGAATACCTACATGCAAAATGATGAAGTTGGACTCCTATCTCATACCATATATACACTCAAAATGGGTCAACAACTTAAATATAGCAGCTAAAAACTTTTAGAAGAAATCATAGGGGCCGGGTGTAGTGACTCACACCTGTAATTCTAGCACTTTGGGAGGCCAAGGCAGAAGGATCGCTTGAGCCCAGGTGTTCAAGACCAGCCTGGACAACACAGTAAGACCCTGTCTCAATAAAGAAAGAAAATCTTTAAAAAAATTTTTAAAAGAAAACACAGGGATAAATCTTTATGACTCTGGATTAGGCAACAGATTCTTAACTATGACACCAAAAGCATGTGTAACAAAAGAAAAACATAGGTAAACTGGAATTTCATCAAAATTTACAAATTGGCCGGGTGTGGCGGCTCAGGCCTGTAATCTCAGCACTTTGGGAAGCCTAGGCAGGAAGATCACTTGAGGTCAGGAATTTGAGACCAGCCTGGCCAACATGGTGAGACCCTGTCTCTATGAAAAATACAAAAAATTAGTCAGGCATGGTGATGTGTGCCTGTAGTCCCAGCTACTTGGGAGGCTGAGGTGGGAGACTCGCTTGAACCCGGGAGGTGGGGGTTGCAGTGAGCCGAGATCGTGCCATTGCACTCCTGCGTGGGTGACAGGGCGAGACTCTGTCTTTAAAAAAAAACAAAAAAACAAAACAAAACACTCATGTACATCAAAGGAAATTATCAAGAAAGTGAAAAGACAGTTTACTAAATGGGAGAAAGTATTTGCAAATGATATATTTAATAAGGATCTAGTATGCAGAATTTGTAAAGAACTCTTACAACTCAAAAACAAAAAGACAACACAATTGAAAAATGGGCAAAGGACCTGAATAGACATTTCTCCAAAGAAGATATACAAATGGCCAAAAAGCACATGAAAATATGCTCGCCTGGCATGGTGGCTCACACTTGTAATCCCAGCACTTTGGGGGGCCGAGGTGGGCAGATTGCTTGAGCCCAGGAGTTTGAGATGAGCCTGGGCAACAAGGCGAAACCCCATCTCTAACAAAAATACAAAAATTAGCCAGGCATGGTGACATGCACTTGTGGTCCCAGGTACTTGGGAGGCTGAGGTAGGTGGATCACTTGAGCCTGGGAGGTAAAGGTTCCCACGAGCCAAGATCATGCCATTGCGTTCTAGCCTGGGTGACAAAGTGAAACCCTGTCTCAAAAAATGGGAAATGAAAATGAAAAATGAAAATCAAAATCACAGTGAGGTACAACTTCATACTCCACTAGGATAGCTATAATAATTAACAGAAAGAAAAAAGACAGGAAAGTAACAAGTATTGGTGAGTATGTGGGGAAATTGGAAGCTTTATACATTGCTGTTGGGATGTAAAATGAAGCAGCTGCTATGAAAAGCAGTTTAGCAGTTCCTCAAAAAGTTAAACACAGAATTACCATACGACCCACACATTTCCAATTTTAACTATATCCCCCAAAGAAATGAAAACCAGTACTCAAATACATTTATACATATGTTCATACCAGTACTATTCACAATAACCAAAAGGCGGGCATAGCCCAAGTGTTCATCAACAGATGAATGGGTAAATTATTTGTGGTATATACAAACAATGGAATAGTAGTCAACACAAAAGGAATGAAGTACTGATGCATGCTACAACATGGATGAACTTAAAAAACATTATGTTAAGTGAATGAAGCCAGACACCCAAGGTCACATATTATACAATTTCATTTATATGAAATATCCAAAATAGGTAAACCTATACAGCCACAACATGGATGGTTGCCAGAAGTCAGGGGGAGAGAGAAACGGGGAGCCAAATGCTTAATGGGAAGAGGGTTCCCTTTTGGGGTGATAAAAGTGTTTTGGAACTAGATAGAAACAACGGTTGTACGACATTGTGAATGTACTAGAGCTGAATTATTCACTTCAAAATTATTAATTTTATGTAAGTTTTACCCCAAGTTAAAAAAAAATAAACCAAAAATAAACATATCCAGAATGTGACCACTTCTACCTCTACCATTATTACCTGCTGTAAGCCACCAGCAATTCTCTCCTGCCTGTATTACTATAATATGTGTCTGGCACATAGTGCGCAGTCAATTAATACTTGTTGAACAAAGTAAACATAAGCCTTCAGCCACCAGCCTTACCATATTATATTCATGAAAACATGTGTCAAACGCCATAGTATCATTCAGTTCCTGGCCTCAAACATGGGCTGTGTTAACCCTTAGTTCTAAGAGCAACTGTGAAATCCACCATAATAAATTGCAATCTGAAAATCCTTTTCAGTAAACTTAAGAAACAGAATCCCAGCACTTTGGGAGGATGAGATGGGTGGATCACCTCAGGTCAGGAGTTTGAGACCAGCCTGGCTAATGTGGCGAAACCTTGTCTCTACTAAAAATACAAAAATTAGCTGGGCCTGGTAGCATGCGCCTGTAGTCCTAGCTACTCGGGAGGCTGAGGTGGGAGAATCACTTGAACATGGAGGCAGAGGTTGCAATGAGTGAGATCATGCCACTGCACTCCAGCCTGGGAGACAGAGTGAGACTCTGTCCCAAAAAAAAAAAAAAAAAAAAACTGACCCATATATAATCATTTAATGTACACATTAAATGAGAAAAATATAATTTAAAACATTCTCAATCTACGGTTTTGACCTATTTGCATCTAATGTCAGTGTTATTACTGTTTCTCTTTTGAACTCTTAAGTTACAAAGAATCAGTTTAGCAACTGAACTCACCATATACACATTATAATTAAAAATATATTTTATATCAAAAACCACAGTAAGGGAAGTGCTATTTGCTACCATACTAGTCGATATAATCTTACGTTAAAAAAACAGGATCTGTGTTCCAGTTCCTATTAAGGAAAGAATCTGTGAAGAAAGAGTAGGGCTACATGTTATAGCTTGTAACACGTCAGAGCTACAGGCAGGCCCCAGCATTCCAGATCATGAGGAAGAAATTCCTGATTGCCTCTCCAGAAACCAATAAATATAGACGTCCAGGCAGTTTCCAAGTCATTAGTACTTCTTCATTATCTACTGATTTTTTTTTTTTTTTTTGAGATGGAGTTTCTCTCTTGTTGCCCAGGCTGGAGTGCAATGGCGCGATCTCGGCTCACCGCAACCTCCGCCTCCCGGGTTCAAGCAATTCTCCTGCTGGTCAGGCTGGTCTTGAACTGCCAACCTCATGTGATCCACCTATCTCGGCCTCCCAAAGTGCTGGGATTACAGGCATGAGCCACTGCACCAAGCCCTTATTAAGTATTTTTTTATGTCTTGGATAATCCACCCTCATCTGCTTCGAGGCTCCAGAAAACTTCTCCAGTGTCTTGTGTGGATTCTGTGCAGATTTTTTTTTTAAATCCCTATTCAAACCTCCAGGGTTGAGAACAAATCTAGTCTGTGGTGACAATAGTTGTATAGCTGCCTCGGCACTCAGGAAAAAGTGAGTGTGGTAGGCTCATTAAGTACAATAATTTTCAAAATGCAAAACGCATTACAATGGCAAACTCAAATTCTGTCTTTCCCACATTAGTAAATTTAGCAATTCTGTAAGAGCTTAGTTTCTATTTTATAAAAAGTCAGAACTAGGGGGACTATCTCTTCCCCCATTCCTCAGTCACAGCAATCTAACTGACCTTTCTCTTGTTTCTGATACATATTTGTGGTATCGTCCTCCACTCTCTCCACTTCTTTTCTATTCCTACCTAACCCAATCTTTCTTTTTTTCTTGGTACTCACTGGCTATAGCAGCAATCCTTTTTTTTTTTTTTTTTTTTTTGAGATGGAGTTTCCCTCTTGTCTCCCAGGCTGGAGTGCAATGCCCCATCTCGGTTTACTGCAACCTCCGCCTCCTGGGTTCAAATGATTCTCCTGCCTCAGCCTCCCAAGTAGCTGGGATTACAGGTGCCCACCACCATGCCCAGCTATTTTTTTTTTTTTTGTATTTTTAGTAGAGATGGGGTTTTGCCATATTGGCCAGGCTTGTCTCGAACTCCTAACCTCAGATGATCTGCTAGCCTCGGCCTCTCAAAGTGCTGGGATTACAGGCATGAGCCACTGTGCCCAGCCAGCAATCCTTTATTTCTGACCGTTAATTTGGCTAGACTTTTTTAAGCCAAAATTCAATTCTAGGCAGACATTAGGAGAAATAAATATGAATTTATTATTTACTGAGAGGTTAGTAATTTTTATTTGACATACAATTTACTACATACCAGGTGCTATTCTAAGAGCTTTTACAAATATTAACCCATGTAATCATCAGAACAACCATATGGCGTAGCTATTCTAATTCACCTCATTTTATAGATGAAACTGCGGCACAGCAGGGTCAAATTTTTGCCCTAAGTCAACCAGCTATCAGGTTATGGATCTGTGATTCAAGCACAGGAAGTCTGATTCCTGAGTCTGAGCTCTTAACTACTACACTATGCTGCCCTTCATATATAAAGTTGTTCAAAGTGTGTTGTTTAATTTCTTTTATCCTTAGGATCAAGTAGAATATCACTCAAATATATTTTAAGTTTTTCTTAGAATGAAGGCTAAATAAAAATTTCATCTAATTAGAGGTAGAAGAGAGCTTAAAGATACTAATTCTGGCTGGGCGTGGTGGGTCACACCTATAATCCCAGTACTTTGGGAGGCCAAGGTGGGTGGATCACCTGAGGTCAGGAGTTCGTGACGAGCTTGGCCAACATAGTGAAACTCCGTCTCTACTAGAAACACAAAATTAGCCGGGTGTGGTGGTGGGGGCCTGTAATCCCAGCTACTCGGGAGGCTGAGGCAGGAGAATCGCTTGAACCCAGGCGGCAGAGGTTGCAGTGAGCTGAAACTATGCCATTGCACTCCAGCCTGGGCAACAAGAGGGAGTCTCTGTCTCAAAAAAAAAAAAAAAACCATTAATTCTATCCCTCTCTCTTTACAGTTAAAGAACAGACCTATGGATGCTAAGTAACATTCAGTATTATACTCTAGTGACCTATTCTAATTCCTTTTCCAATTTATCATTGCTTCTTACTTTATATTTTTATCATTACACAAATGGGTAACAATTTTAAATTTGGCAGGGGTTTCCTGGCTTCTGTTTTCATTTTCATAGAGAATGTTGAGCTGTATCTGTGGCATTTATGTATTTCCTCTAATAAGAATGTTTTTACTGAAATTAAATCTTTAGGTCTTATAGAGTAGAAAGTAAAAATTACAAGTCCTTCACATTATTTTCAAATACATAAAAATGTAAAAATGTACCAAACCCAAAACAGATCACATGACATCCTAGATGTTTTTAATTTCATACCACTATCTAATCTTTTCACTGCACATCCTTGATCACAAGAAAATTTATCTAAACGTTTCCCTCAATTATTCTACCAAACGGCTTTTTTCTTTGTGATATACTTTCTCACTATTATACATAATAAGAATTATTTTGCATATTTTGGCATGTTCCATTTACATTCATTGAAGGTAGTAAATTAAGTCAATAAAATCACTTGCAATTAAAACAATTACAAAAACTGTCTTTAATACAATTTAAATTTTTCAGAGTAACTTAAATATGGAAGGCAGGCACAGGAAAGAATTTCTGTTCAATTCTAGGAATGAATAGTGTACATGTAAACGGATGACAATAATGGCACATTAAAGATAGACATGCCTTGTTCTCATACATTACTAGTGTAATGAAAACTGATACAACCTTTCTGGAAAGCATTTTGTCAATACACAGAAGAGCTCTAAATGTTCATATATATTGACCCAGCAATGCTAGAATTCTATACTAAGGACATAGAAATGTGGGTAAGGATTCATATTTTTAAATGTTTGTCATAAAATTATTGATAACATACAATAATTATAAACCAAATTTATTGGTTATAATGAAGTAGTTAAAAATATGAGTTTATAGAGCTACATAGACCTATCACTATTTACTTCATGCATTATATTGGAACTCCAAACATGTAAATAACAGAAACCAATTTAGATTATTTTAAGAAGAAAAAAAGGAGATGCATTAAAAGGATAGACAGCGTCTCACAGAACCCTAAGGTGGAATGAGGCTAAGCTTGGAGAAGAAACCACAACTATAAACAGAACAGTCACAGGATCATCTTTTCTTTCTATATTTCCGCTTCATTTTTCTTTTTCTACAGACCAGCTTCTCTGCCTTTCAGTCCACATGACAGACAAAGGCTTCTGAATTTACTTCCTCATTGAGAAAACCAGCCCAGACTCTGTACCTGTTCTCAAATCCTAAGGGACGAGATCATGTAAAGAAAATATAGCTTCCCTATAGGTAAGGGAGCTTTTAGAGAGTTATAAACTAGGCAGACACCCCAAAAGCTACTTCTTCAGTTGTAGGACCATGGGATAGGGCTAGCCGCATAATCTCTTTACATCTCAGTTTCCTCATCTATAAATGGGGATACTAAGACCTATAATAATCATAACCCTACAGTATAAAAACTATTTCATAGGAATATTTTTAAAATTTCATTCATTAAGATTGTTTTCTTTCTTTTTTTTTTTTTTTGAGACAGAGTTTCACTCTTGCTGCCCAGGCTGGAGTGCAATGGCGCGATCTTGGCTCACTGCAACCTCTGCCTCCCGGGTTCAAGCGATTCTCCTGCCTCAGCCTCCCAAGTAGCTGGGATTACAGGCGTCCACCACCACGCCCAGCTAATTTTTTGTAATTTTAGTAGAGACGGGATTTCCACATGTTGGCCAGGTTGGTCTTGAACTCCTGACCTCAGGTGATCCGCCCACCTCGGTCTCCCAAAGTGCTGGGATTACAGGCGTGAGCCACTGCACCTGGCCATTAAGATTGTTTTCTAGGGATTTATATTGGTGGGAAAATTCTTTACATAATGTATTACTCAGGGTTCTCCAGAGAAACAGAACCAATAGGATATGTATATCTACATATACAAAGAAAAGTTTATTTTAAGGATTGGTCATGCAGTTGTAGGGGCTGGCAAGTCCAAAATCTGCAGGGCAGGCCGACAGGCTGAAGACCCAGGGAAGAGTTAATGTGTAGCTCAAGTCTGAAACCATTCTGTTGGCAGAATTCACTCTTCTTTGGGGGAGGTCAGTCTTCTCTTAAGGCCTTCATTTAATTGGATAAGACCTACTCACATTATGGAGGATAATCTGCTTTACTCAAAGTCCACTGATTTAAATGTTAAACTTGTCTAAAAACTACTTTCAGAAAAACATCTAGATGTTTTGATCATTTTTGATCAAAAGCTGAGTACTTTTGCTGGCCATGGTGGTCAAGGCCTGTAATCCCAGGAAGGCCAAGGTGGGCAGATCACTTGAGGTCAGGAGTTCCAGACCAGCCTGGCCAACATGGCAAAACCACATCTCTACTAAAAATATAAAACTTAGCTAGGCGTGGTGGTAGGCACCTGTAATCCCAGCTACTGGGGAGGCTGAGGCAGGAGAATCGCTTGAACCTGGGAGGCGGAGGTTGCAGCGAGCCAAGATCGCACCACTGCACTCCAGCCTGGGCAACAGAGCAAGACTCCATCTCAAAAAAAAAAAAAAAAAATCTGAGTACCTTTACTCAAATAAACTGATACATAAAATTAATAATCACATATAATATTAAATAAAAAGAATAAACTCCACATATAATATGGTCCCAACTATTTTCAAATTGTAAGGAAATAAAAAATTAACATTAGCTTTTTCTTTTTTTAATTTATTTTCTAAGTCTTCTATAAATTTCAGTACTTATCTTGCTTGTTCTCTTAGCAGAATAACAATGTTAACTACTTTTCTTTTCTAGAAACACCCTCTCTCTTACTTTCACTTCTGGCTTCCCTCTGTACTACATTCATTTTATGATACTGTCCAATCTACACCCCTCTCTTCTGAAAACTTCCCCCACTTGGACCCAGCAGTGTGGCCCTGGAGACATGCTCATCCCCTGTGATCCTGCTCCCTTGACCACAGCTACTTGGATCAGGAATGAACACTTGGCACTAGGGAAGCAAAACCATTGGCTGTGCTGAGCCAGTCAGATTCTTTTTTCTAAAAGTAGCTGCAAATAAAGTCAGAAAGAGAGTCTCTACTGTGTGCTTGAATTTATAAAAATAAAACTATGAGTGAGGCAGACATGTGCGTATGAAAACAGAACATTTTTAATTTTTTTGTATTTTTTACTTATTTTTTGTTTGTTTTTTTGAGGGAGGGTCTTGCTCTGTTGCCCAGGCTGGAGTACAATGGCACCGTTACAGTTCACTGCAGCCTCAACCACCTGGACTCAAGTGATCCTCCTGAGTAGCTGGGACTATAATCCCAGCTACTTGGGAGGCTGAGGCAGGAGAATTGCTTGAGTCTGTGAGGTGGAGGTTGCAGTGAGCCGAGATCGTGCCATTGTACTCCAGCCTGGGCAACAAGAGCAAAACTCTGTCTCAAAAAAAAAAAAAAAAAAAAAATGGCATTTCACCATGTTGCCCAAGCTGGTTTCGAGCTCCTGGGCTCAAGCAATCCACCATTCTCAGCCTCCCAAAGTTCTGGGATTACAGACCTGCACCACTGTGCCCAGCAGACCCTCTCTTCTTCTGTGTGTACTCATTTTGCACCTATATGCTGATGACAAGAAACTGGTCCTGATCTTCATGTATAGAACCATCTCCTGGACAGCTCCAGATGACTTATAGACACTTCAAACTCGAAATACCTAAAACTGAAGTCATCTCCATGCCGTTGCCACTTTCCCCAAATCTGACCCACTTTCATTATTTGCTATTTCTATAAACCAAACTACTACTTCTCAGCTTGCCAAGCAGGAAACCTCAGAACAATACTTTTTTTCCTTCTTACTGATATATCCAATTAGTCACCATGTTTTGTCAATTCTACCTCTTAATATCTATCAAATTCACCCATTTCTCTCTACTGCCATTGACACTAAGTCAGGGACTGGCAAAGCTTTTTGTAAAGAGCCTGATAGCAACTATTTAGGCTCTGTGGCCTAAACGGTCTATGTCAGAACTGGTGTCAGTCATAATCCCAAAAGATACAATCCTGAATGTTGAAATCCCAAAAGATCAAAATCTCTAAAGTCTAAAATCTCTAATATCTAAAATCCTGAAAATTAAAAACCCAAAATATTAAAATCCTGGAATTTGAAAGCCAAAATCTAGGGAAGAAATTTAGCACATTTTTGGTTGTATGTGGGATAGCCATATCATGTTAGGTGAAGTATTTTCTTGCTATTGTCTTTACATGGAAATTATATACAGTTCATACATATGGGTGTGAAGTTGACAAGGTTTGAATTTGTGGACTTAATTTTAGGTGTCAGCTTGACTGGATTAAGAAATACCTAGAAATCTGGTAAAGCATCATTTTGGGTGTGTCTGTGAGCATGTTTCCAGAGGAGATTAGTGTATGAGTCAGAGTGGACTAGATGGGAAAGATCTGCCCTCAATGTTGGCATGCACCATCTAATCTGCAGGAGGCCCAGACAGAACATATCCAGAAGGTTAACTGGATTCTTTGGGAGATGGGACAGACTTTTCTTCTGCTGCCTTGGATGTTAGAACTCCAGGCTCACCAGCCTTGGGATTCCAGCACATACTTACACCAGCAACCACCCAGATCCTGAGGCTTTCAGCCTTGGACTGGGAGTTACACCATCAACTTCCCTGGTTCACAAGGTAAAAATGTAGAAACTTAATAAACGAAGTGATGTACATCTGCATTTGTGAAAGATAAAATTTCTTGAGATCTTGACTCTTTGGGTGACTGCACATGTGGTAGCTGGCCCATGTGGTTTTTGATGGATCTCATCAAAAGGCTCAGATTGTCTATCATGGTATTTCAGATGACCACAGTTAATAAAGTGGAGTGCACACAATTACCAGCCATAGTGATAAATGTTTGTACTTCACTTTTTTAACTCTTTATTTTTTTTAATTTTCATTTTTTACTAATGGAGTCTCGTTCTATCTCCCAGGCTAAGACACAGTGGCATGATTATAGTTCGCTGCAGCCTCCAACTCCTGGGCTCAAGTGATCCTCCCACCTCAGCTTCCCAAGTATCTGGGACTACAAGTACATACCACCACACCTGGCTAATGTTTAAATTTTGTGTAGAGAAAGGGTCTTGATTTGTTGCCCAGGCTGGTCTCGAACTCCTGGCCTCAAGTGATCCTCCTGCTTTGGCTTTCCAAAGTGCTGGGATTACAGGCATGTGCCACCATGCCCAGCCTTGACCTCCTTCTATTTTTATTTATTTTTTTTTTTTTGAGACAGGGTCTCACTGAGTTGCCCAAGCTGGAGTATAGTGATGTGGTTACAGCTCACTGCAGCCTCAGGTGATTTTTCCCCACCTTAGCCTCCAGAGTAGCTGGGACCACAGGCACACACCACCACGCCTGGCTAACTTTCTATATTTTTTATAGTGATGGAATTTCACCATGGTGCCCAGGCTGGTATCCTGAGCTGAAGAGATCCTCCTGCCTCAGCCTCCTAAAGTGCTGGGATTACAGGCATGAGCCACTGCTCCCAGCCGACCTTTTTTTTTTTTTTTTTTGAGATGGAGTGTTGCTCTTGTTGCTCATGCTGTGATTTTGGCTCACTGCAACCGCTGCCTCCCGAGTTCAAGTGATTCTCCGCCTCAGCCTACCAAGTAGTTGGGATTACAGGCGCCTGCCACCACGCCCAGCTAATTGTTTGTATTTTTAGTAGAGACAGGGTTTCACCACGTTGGCCAGGCTGGTCTCGAACTCCTGACCTCAGGTGATCCACCCACCTCAGCTTCCCAAAGTGCTGGGATTACAGGCATAATCCACCGCACCCAGCCAATGACCTTATGAATACAGTTCATCTGCTCATAACTGTTGTACCTGTGCAACTGTCATTAGTATACCTGAGTATGCTTATAAAAATATGTATGTTATTATTGTCTATTTTATTGTTTAAAGTGACTTATGAAGCATTCTGTTGTGTGTTTGTATGTTGTTCGAATAAAACCCCCTTTTTTTTGAGCCGGAGTTTCACTCTTGTGAAACTCAGATCCATGAGAAAAGGGAAACAAATGAGCCCTGTGATTGCATTATCCTGCTGCTAGAGGCAGTTTCCAGGCTGTAGCACAGGAGGAAGAATCAAAACTGAGTCCAGCAGTTTCCCTGAGTTAAGGGGAGAAAGACTAGTATCCTCAGAAGCCAAAGAGGCTGTAATTTGCAGGACAGAGTATTGGAGAGACAAATCTCAGAGACTGAGCCCTGGAGATATGTAGAGGGAACTCATGAAGTTGCTGGCTGAGTACTAATCTGTGCATGCATGGGGAGAAATCCACCAGACTGTAGAAAAAACCACTGTGGAGAGGAGCAGGCCAAACAATTCCCAAAGCTCATATAAGCTTGCAATTGCTTTCCCATCAAGCAGTGAAGAGGGAATTGGGTAGAATGGTTAGAAGGTTATCATGTAAGTAGTGAAGCTAAATTAGCCTTAACCTACGATTATTCTGGACCATCCTATCAAACCTAGAAGGATTTAAACTGACAAGTAATTTAACTGCACACCAGAACAAACTCCAAGACTATGTAAAGAAATACAACAAAATCCAAAACTGTAAAAATTACCAAGCAAGGAATTAGGAAAATATGATCTATAATCAGGAGAAATAATAGAAACACACAAAGATGACAAAGATGATGGAATTAGAAGATAAATACCTTAAGATTGCTATAAAACATCTTATAAATTGGCTGGGCAAGGTACTGTAATCCCAGCACTTTGGGAAACGGGGGTGAGAGGATAGTATGAGCCCAGGAGTTCAAGACCAGCCTGGCCAACATGGTGAAACCCCATCTCTACTAAAAATACAAAAATTACCTGGGTGTGGTGGCGAGCGCCTGTAATCCCAGGTACTTGGGAGGCTGAGGCAGGAGAATCGCTTGAATCCGGGGGGTGGAGGTTGCAGTGAGCCAATATCACACCTCTGCACTCTAGCCTGGGCAACAGAGCAAGACTCAGTCTCAAAAAAACAAACAAAAAAATTAAAAATATAAAATTAAAAAATTTAAAAAATTAGCCAGGCATGGTGGCACACACCTGCAGTCCTAGCTACTCTGGATGCTGAGGCAGGAGGTTCCCTTAAACCCAAGAGTTCGAGGCTCTTGGGTTTAAGATCTCACAATTGCACCCCAGCCTGGGTGACAGTGAGTCTCTGTACCCAATAATACTTTTTTTTTTTTTGAGATAGAGTCTCACGCTGTCACCCAGGCTGGAGTGCAGTGGCACAATCTCAGCTTACAGCAACCTCTGCCTCCTGGGTTCAAGCAATTCTCCTGCCTCAGCCTCCCAAGTAGCTGGGATTACAGGCGCCCACCAACATGCCAGCTAATTTTTGTATTTTTAGTAGAGAGGAGGTTTCTGCATGTTGGCCAGGCTGGTCTCAAACTCCTGACCTCAGCTGATCCACCTGCCTTGGCCTCCCAAAGTGCTGGGATTACAGGCATGAACCACCGTGCCCAGGACCCAACTGTAATTTTTAAAAATCTTCTGAACTTACTCAAGAATACAGAAATATAATGAGCTGAGAAATTGAAGATTTTTTAAAAGACCCAAATGCAATTTCTAGATATAAACTACACAGAATCTGAAATTATACCCTATCCTACTTGATAAAATTACCAGAAAATTAGAGATTGCAAAAGAACAGGTAAGTGAACTTAAAGCCATAGCAACAGAAACTGTAAAAAAGGAAGCAGGGAAAGCAAAAATGCTTAAAAAAAAAAAAAAGAATAGAGCTTCAGGGACCTGTGAATGAACAGTTTAAAACACATGAAATTGGAATTTCTCTTTTTTTTTTTTTTTGAGACGGAGTCTCACTCTGTCGCTCACGCTGGAGTGCTGTGGCATGATATCCGTTATCGGCTCACTGCAAGCTCCACCACCCAGGTTCACGCCATTCTCCTGCCTCAACCTCCCGAGTAGCTGGGACTACAGGCACCCACCATCATGCCCGGCTAATTTTTTTGCATTTTTAGTAGAGCTGGGGTTTCACCATGTTAGCCAGAATGGTCTCAATCTCCTGACCTCGTGATCCGCCAGCCTCGGCCTCCCAAAGTGCTGGGATTACAGGCATGAGCCACCACACCCGTACTGAAATTGGAATTTCCAAAGAACCGAATGGAAGTGGGGAAGGGAGAGGAAAAAAATTCTAAAAATAATGCTGAAGATCTTCCAAATATAACGAAAACTACAAACCCATGGATTCAAGCTCAATGACCTCAAAGCAGAAGAAATACAAAGAAAAAGCATGTTAAGGCACATCATTTTTAAATTGCTCAACACTAGAGAAAAAGAGAAAATTTTAAAACCAGCCAGAATAAAAAATACATATTAAGTACTGGGGATCACAAATAAGAATTTCAGCAGATATTTTGTCAAAAACTATGCAAGCCAGAAGGCAATGGTACAACATAGTACTAAAAGTGCCAAAAGTAGCCGGGCACAGTGGTTTACAACTGTAATCCCAACACTTTAGGAGGCTGAGGCAGGCAGATTACTTGAGGTTAGGAGTTTGAGACCTGCCTGGCCAACACAGTGAAACCCTATCTCTACTAAAATTACAAAAAAATTAGCCAGGCATGTTGGTGCTCGCCTGCAGTCCCAGCTACTTGGGAGGCTGAGGCAGGAGAACTGCTTGAACCCAGGAGGTGGAGGTTGCAGTGAGCCAAGATTGGGCCACTGTATGCCATCCTGGGGAACAGCGCAAGACTCCATCTCAAAAAAAAAAAAAAGAAGTGCCAAGAGAAAAAACAAAACTATCAACCTAGAATTCTGAATTCTGTATCTTTATTTTTGGATTCTGTACCTCATGAAAATATTTTTCCAAAATTAATTCAATATATTTTTCAAATAAAAGAGCTAAGGAAATGTTATCACCAGCAGATCTATAGTAGAAAAAATGTGAAAAGAGGCTCTTTAGGTAGGAGAAAAATTATACCAGTTCCAAAACCATATTGGGACATTCTATATCATACATTGGAACATTATACAAAAATAATAACGATGAATTGTGAGCCTTAGGACATATATGGATATAAATGCATGACAAAGAGAGGGCAGGGATAAGTGGAAATATACTGTTGCAAGGTTCTGATGCTATACTTGAACTAATGTAATATTATTTTAAGGTGAAGCAACCACTAAAAAAAGATACAGTTTTTAAAAATCAACATGTGCCCTATAAATATATGCCTACTAGGTACCCATAGCAATAAAAAAATTAAAAATCTGTAAAGATCAGTAAGTAAAATACCAATAATCTAAGTGAAAAAAAATAAAAGAAATGCTTTGAATAGACAGCTCACAGAAAAGGAAACATAAGTGGTCAATAAACCTATGGAAAGTTCTTCAACTTTACTGATAAGACTAATTCAAATTAAATACAATGTTAAAATTACTTTGTCATCTGTAAAATTAGGATAGTAAAAATTCATATATATGTATATACATATATATATATATATATATATATATATATATATATATTTTTTTTTTTTTTTTTTTTTTTTTTTTTTGACATGGAGTTTAGCTCCTGTCATCCAAGCTGGAGTGCAGTGGCATGATCTTGGCTCACTGCAACGTATGCCTCCCAGGTTCAAGCGATTCTCCTGCCTCAGCTCCCGAGTAGCTGGGATTACAGGTGCTTGTCACCACACCCGGCTAATTTTTGTATTTTTAGTAGAGACAGGGCTTCTCCATGTCTGACCTCGGCTGATCCGCCCACCTCAGCCTCCCAAAGTGCTATGATTACAGGTGTGAGCCACCACGCCTGGCCACATAAAAATTATTTTTTTTTAATTTAAGAAAAATTATTTTGAGGAATATCAATAAATTTGATAACATACTGCAACACTGAAAGCATAGGAAACCAGATACTCTCATACATTTCCAGGATGAATGTAAATTAGTACAATCTTTATGACAGGCAATTTTACGTTATCTGTTAAAATTTAAATGCCTATATTCTTTGACATAGTAATGTGTTCCAGTAAACAGTCACTGTGTCATTACACTAGCAAACAATTGGAAAACTAAAGGTATTGGAATATTTCTTGAGGGGAGCGCTGGGAAAATAAATAAATAAATGTATAGAAATAGTCAACTTATTAAATTATGTCATATTAATATATTGGAACAGCATGCAAATGTGAAAAAAATTAGATAGCATTTTCTCTCTCCTTCTGTTTGCCTCTCTCCCTCTCTCTCTCTATATATATATAGAATTAATTTATGTAAGGCATTTTTAAAAATCATAGACACATAATTAGTATTCATTAATTGTTGGACTTAAAAAAAAAAAGAAGGCCAGGCACGGTGGCTCATGCCTGTAATCCCAGAACTTTGGGAGGCAGAGGCGGGCGGATCACCAAAGGTCAAGAATTCGAGACCAGCCTGTCCAATACGGTGAAACCCCATCTCTACTGAAAATACAAAAAAAAAAAAAAAATTAGCTGGACATGGTGGTAGGTGCCGGTAATCCCAGCTACTCGGGAGGCTGGGGCAGGAGAATTGCTTGAACCCAGGAGGGGGAGGTTGCAGTGAGCAAAGATGGCACCACTGCACTCCAGCCGGGCGACAGAGGGAGCCTGCATCTCACAAAAAAAAAAAAAAAAACATGCTGGGCATGGTGGCTCATGCCTGTAATCCCAGCACTTTGGTAAGCTGAGGCAGGAGGATCATTTGAGCCCAGGAGATTGAGACCAACCTTGGCAACATGGTGAAACCTATGTAAAAACAAAAATGGTAAGAAAAAAAGAAGAAATAGAAAAAAAGGAAGGAAGGATGGGAAGGAAAGAGAAAAAGGAAAAGAAGGATGGATGGATGGAAGGAAGGAAGAAAGAGACGGAGGGAGGGGAAGGAAGGTCTTTGCAATATATTACTAAGTGATAAAAGCAAGATCCAGAACAGTACAGTATATTACCTTGTGTATGAATAATAAACTATATAGGCCGGGTGCGGTGGCTCATGCCTGTAATCCCAGCACTTTGGGAGGTCGAGGCGGGTGGATCACCTGAGGTCAAGAGTTCAAGACCAGCCTGGCCAACATGCTGAAACCCCATTTCTACTAAAAATTAAAAAAATTAGCCGGGCGTGATGGTGGACGCCTGTAATCCCAGCTAGTTAGGAGGCTGAGGCAGGAGAATCACTTGAACCTGGGAGCCGGAGGTTGCGGTGAGCCAAGGTCGCACCATTGCACTGCACTCCAGCCTGGGCAACAAGAGCAAAACTCCGTCTCAAAACAAACAAACAACTATATAAATGTATGTCTGCAAAAGTAGAGACTACCTCTGGGAAGCTAAACAAGAGATGTCTAACACTGAATCCTTCAGAAAAAAAGACCCTAGAAGCTGTGGGACAGAGAAAGAAATGTACTCTTCTTTTCATGTTTCTTTTTTTGAGACAGAGTCTTGTTCTGTCAGCAGGGTTCAAGCAACCTCTGCCTCCCAGGTTAAAGCAATTCTCCTGTCTCAGCCTCCCAAGTAGTTGGGACTACAGGCACCTGCCACCACACCCAGCTAATTTTTGTATTTTTAATAGACACGGGGTTTCACCATATTGGTCAGGCTGGTCTTGAACTCCTGACCTCAGGCGATCCGTTCGTCTCGGCCTTCAAAAGTGCTGGGATTACAGGCGTGAGCCACAGCACCCAGCCTAATTTCTGTATTTTTAGTAGAGACAGGCATGGTGGTGGGTGAGCCAAGATCGTGCCACTGCACTCCAGGCTGGGCAACAGAGCAAGACGCCATCTCAAAAAAAATACAAAATTAGCCGGGTGTGGTGGCACACACCTGTCATCCCAGCTACCCAGGAGGCTGAGGTAGAAGAATCACTTGAACACAGGAGGCGGAGGTTGTAGTGAGCCACGATCATGCCACTGCACTCCAGCCTGGTGACAAGAACAAGACTTCGTATCCAGAAAAAAAAAAAAGGAATTAGTAATAAGGACTTATAAACTCAGGAAAACGTGAATTTCAAACACAAGTATCGTGCTCCATAAAAAAGAGGCAAGCCAATTCAATTTTTTAATAAACTGTGTTTCTTTCCAGAATTACCATAGTGATCAATTTTTCTTGGATCTTGCAGCCTCCTCTGGTCTTTACTGTGACCTACTTTTGTAACTCTTACTTTTTGCCTTTCTTCCATTTATCTTTTCATGACCTCACAGATATCTTCTTCTATTATTTACAGTAAACAACATTTTGACAGAATATTCTTATGTGTCTTTCTTTTCCAAAGCTCTTACTATGTTTATCAAATTTTTTATTTATATTAGGTGACAAATCAGCATTTGATTTCAGTCAACATCTTCATACATGTTTAAAACACAAATATTTGTGGATGTTGCATATGTATGTACATACACAAACACAAATTATCTTCTCAAGGTATATAAAAGCTATTCTCATATTTTAAGAATACAATCATATATTTCAAAAATAATATTACTGCAAGCATACCTTAAAAATCACACACAAAGTGTGATTTAAAATGAATTTTCTATATAAGCTGCTGAGTCAGTCTGAGCCCCTGACACTTACTGGCTAGGTTACTTTGCTTAAGTTACATAATATAACCTCCCTGTACCTCAGTTTCCTCATCTGTAAACCCATGCTAGTAATAGGAACATTGGGGTATTATAGAAGAGTAAATGAGATAAAAGACATTTCAAACAATGTCTGATTCATAGTAAGTGCTTAAAAATATATATTAACAGCTGGGCGCAGTGGCTCATGCCTGTAATCCCAACACTTTAGGAGTCCAAGGTGGGCAGATCACAAGGTCAGGAGTTAGAGGCTAGCCTGACCAACATGGTGAAACCCTGTCTCTATTGAAAAAAAAAAAAAAAAAAAATTAGCCGGGCGTGGTGGGGCGTGCCTGTAATCCCAGCTACTCAGGAGGCTGAAGTAGGAGAACTACTTGAACCCAGGAGGCAGAGGTTGCAGTGAGCCAATATCGCACCACTGCACTCCAGCCTGGGCAACAGAGTGAGACTCCATCTCAAAAAATAAAAAATAAAAAATAAAAATATTAACAATGCTATAACATTATTATTATAAAATATAATTATTATAATAAAAAGTAGTAAAAGCACACAAAATGAAAGACTAGTTGGCAATGAGTTGTCTATAAAGTAAGTGCTACAGCTAATTTTTAGCAGGGCAAGGTGGCTGACGCCTGTAATACCAGCACTTTGGGAGGCCGAGGTGGGAGGATCACTTGAGCTCAGGAGTTCAAGACCAGCCTAAGCAACATGGCAAAACCCCGTCTCTATAACAAACAAACAAACAAACAAAATTAGCTGGTGGTAGTGTGTGCCTGTGGTCCCAGCTACTTGGGAGGCTGAGGTGGGAGGATCACTTAAGCCTGGGAGGTCGAGGCTGCAGTGAGCCGGAATCGTGCCACTGTACTCCAGTCTGAGCGACAGAGTAAGACCCTGTCTCAAAAAAAAAAAAAAAAAATTAATCTAAAACCTTCTAATTAAATAAAGTATACAGTTAAAACTGATTACATTCCATATTATTTAAAAATTAAATTAATTCAAGTCAAACAGAGCTTTAAAAATTAAGAAATTTTATTTTTGAAAAGAACATGCAAACATAAATGGAAAAGGAACGTCATATTGTTTATCTTATTCTTCAAAGGACTATTTATTGTCTTTATATCAGATGCTCCTTATTTCTTAATTTTTTTTCCAATTCAGGCTACAAAAAATTCCAATGAATAATATGAGAGCAATAACCATTATCCTAGGCAATGGATCTCAAGTTATTTAATCCTTGGGAAAAGGTCATAACATTTTCTATCCTCCATCACCATAAAATTTATATACAAAACTCTTTAAGTAATTACTTGGAGCTATACTATTCCAATCTCTCCTTTGTCTTATAACGTACCTTAAAAAAATTCAGGCAGGGTGCAGTGACTCACGTCTGTAATCCCAGCACTTTGGGAGGCTGAGGGGAGTGGATCACGAGGTCAAGAGATCGAGACCATCCTGGCCAACATGGTGAAACCCCGTCTCTACTAAAAATACAAACATTAGCCGGGGGTGGTGGTGTGCGCCTGTAGTCCCAGCTACTGAGGAGGCTGAGGCAGGAGAATCGCTTGAACCGGGGAGGCAGAGTTTGCAGTGAGACAAGATCACACCACCACACTCCAGCCTGGGTGACAAAGAGAGATTTCGTCTCAAAAAAAAAAAAAATTCAAAGACTGGAATTTCAAAGAAGCTGAGACAGCAATCTTGAAGAAATACAACTAACTCCTCACTCATCTAATGGGTCAGAATCTCTGGGAAACTTACCCTGGGAAATGTAGAAATCTGCATTTTTAAACAACCCCGAGTTTGTACGCTGTCTTTTTTTTTTGAGATAGGGTCTTGCCCTGTCATCTAGGCTGAAGTGCAGTGGTGCAATCACACCTCACTGCAGCCTCAACCTCCCAGGCTCAAGTGATGCTCCCACCTCAGCCTCCCTAGTAGCTAGAACTACAGGCATGCGCCACCATGCCCAGCTGATTTTTGATTTTTTTTTGCAGAGACAGGGTCTCGCTATATTGCCCAGGCTGGTCTCCAACTCCTGGGCTCAAGGGATCCTTCCGCCTCAGCCTCCCAAAGTGCTAGGTGTACAGGGATGAACCACTACACCTGGCCATATACTGTCATTTTAAGTGTAAGTGAGGAATAATGAAACAGAAAGGATTAATTTAAAATGCTCTGGGTGGTGAATCTTGAGCAAATTTCAATGAGGGCAGAAACATTAAGTAGTAGGTAGTAGTGAAGTAGTAAAGCCAAGACAAAGGAATGGTATAGAACTCAGTTTCAAGAGATGTTTCAGCACGCCAGGCATATATAAGTAACCATACCTGTCCCAAATAAGCAGCTGAGGCACAGCAGATAGGCAAGACTGCCAACCAAAACTTATTAGAAAAACACCAGGCTTTCATTATTTAATTCTTCCCCCAGTTTCTAGGGGAAAGGCTTTCTATATAAGCCTCCAATGCAGTACAATACTAATTCACAGAGTAGAGGACCCAAACAGCTGAAGCAAAGGAAGGTACTTTTGTTTTCAATAGATAACAAGGATCTTTAAAAAAAAAAAAAAAAAAAAAAAAAGGAAAAGGAAAAGGAGGCCAGGCGCGGTGGCTCACGCCTGTAATGCCAGCACTCTGGGAGGCCAGTGGTGGGGAGGCCGATGAGCGGGGGGCGGCTAATTTTTTGTATTTTTTAGTAGAGACGGGGTTTCACTGTGTTAGCCAGGATGGTCTCAATCTCCTGATTGAGATCAGGAGATTGCAGAGAGCCGAGATTGCGCCACAGCACTCCAGCCTGGGCAACAGAGCGAGACTCCGTCTTAAAAAAAAAAAAGGAAAAGCTGGCACTTGGGAGGCCAAGGAGGGAGGATAACTTGAGCCCAGGAGTTCGAGACCAGCCTAGGCAATATAGTGAGACCCCGACTCTTAGGGAAAAAAAAAAGGAAAAAGGTTAAAAAGCCATCTTGTTTTTTGTACTGGATTATTAGTCAAACATTTATAAACACAGAACTTTCATATAAAGGAGGCTTAGGCCAGGCGCAGTGGCTCACGCCTGTAATCCCAGCACTTTGGGAGGCCGAGATGGGTGGATCCCCTGAGGTCAGGAGTTCAAGACCAGCTTGGCCAAAACAGTGAAACCACATCTCTACTAAAAATCCTTAAAAAATTAGCTGGTGTGGTGGTAGGCGCCTGTAATCCCAGCTACTCGGGAGGCTGAGGCAGAGAATTGCTTGAACCTGGGAGGCAGAGGTTGCAGTGAGCCGAGACTGCACCACTGCACTCCAGCCTGGGCAACAGAGCGAGACTCCGTCAGGAGGCTTTCTTTCAGAACAACTAACCGAAAAATCATGCAAATTTAGAGTGAAAAAATGTAAAATAAGAAATTTAAAGCATTACAAGATTAATTTTAATGTAACTGGTCAGTTTGCACATCTGTAAAATGACAGTTTGAAACTAAGTGATTTCTAACATCCGGTCTACTTCAAAGTCTAAAATTCTATGATACGCAAATTTCTTAAACTTTGAGTTAAATATACTAGGTTGTTTAAAAACTAAATCTAAGCTTATTCTGATAATTCAAATAACCCTGAAATGTTAGAATATCAATATCCCATAAACGATTCAGCAGTACTGTTTTCAGACTTCCAGTTAGTATGTGTCCAGAACAAATAAAGAGCAAAAATAGCTATTTTCTCTTACTTTGACTGCTAATACTAATAGCATACAAAATAGCTACTCACTGAGAAGGCATCATAAAAGGCTCTATTGTTACAGAATCCTAAAAGTCTCACGAAAATAAGAGAAACATCATCAGCTAACATCACCAGGCCAAACACAGCTCATTGAAAATCTTAAATTCTGAAATATTTAGATTAAATGAAAACTTCGAGATATTTATCTGTTACGCAAAACAGGTAGCACTGCTTCACAATCTGAACATCACCGTATAGCTCCTTTGGTTAAACAGAAAAAAACTTCCCATGGTACTCTTTCCTCCTAATTCTGCCATTCTTACTATGCACAATGCGTATTTTCCATGTACTGTAAGAGAGATGCACTACACAGAAGTATCCATGGGGACGAAATTTTATCTACACTGAAATTTAATGTGGGATAAGTAAGCTTATCATAATGGAGTTTTACACAGAATGTGTATTTCTCAATGTAAAATGATTTTGTGAAGTAAAGGGGGAAAAAATAGAGGAAGTTTGTTTCCTTAGAATCTCCACAATTACGCACTTTATTCTTAAAATAAGGGACTGGTCTGCAGGATTAACAAATCTTACAGTTCAAAGACAGATAAACATTGGAAGGCCAAAAGAAGTAAGCAAAATAAAAACGATTACCATTAAAAACTCTTCCCTTGGCAGTTTTCAGAGAGGGTTAAAAAAAAAAAAAATTTTCCTGATTGTCAGGCTGACCCTGCTGTCATATTTGCCATTTTTATAAACCCACTAGTTTGATCAAGAGCCCTATCTTTAAGAATAACTTTTAAACCATGCATTTTTAGAGTTAATGAGGCAATAACACTATAGTATTACAGTTGTAGCTCAACAACTGTTAGATACTACAGATTAGTGATCCAGAAGATAATCAAACTTTATCAGCAAAGTAGCAACCACACCCCTTAAAAACAGAACTCACCCTGTGCTCCATTAACTTCCATAAAGGGAACTTCGATGAAAATCGATTACTTCATTGCTTGGAACTAGCATGTTTGTTTTGGAATTACACTAACGTTTTGTAAACACTGTCTCACGGTAAAGCTAATGACTTTACCTCTTTCTGAAACAGTTTTAGGGAAGAAGGCACCATATATTACGGTGAAACTGGGTCTTAGTTTACATAGCGATTATTTAAAAAATTCACTTCCACTGTGCATTACAAGAATTAAAGCCGTTTAAAAAACTCAACCAAAGCCCAATGACAATGTATTACTCTAGGAAAAGTGTGTCCTTTGGGTTCTAAGGCATTAAATTGGAATTTAATATTAAAATAGAATTCAACGGCTAAGTATCCAGTTTCCCCCAATCACTTAATTTTTCAAAACCCAGAAAGGGCCTGTTTGCGAGTATTGTGAAAACCTGTGGAAAGAGAGGCTTTGGAGGGGAACGGTCGAATTAAAATAAATGCAGAGAGCAAAGAGAACTCCGAGTTCTTTGAACTCCCCCAGGCTGAACAGGACGAGAAGGAACCCTACCTGCCAGCGGCCATAGGTGAGGAGGACCATAGAAATGGGGATGGCGGTGCCGGACATGGCATGGGTGGAGGGCATGCTGTACTCAGAGTTGTAGAAGACCTCCAACTTGACCACGGGCGGCGAGGCGGGCCTCGGCCAGCGGATGATGTCCTTGGTGCACTGGCCCAGGTACATGACCAGCACCCAGATGACCACGAGCCTCCGGCCCACCAGAGGGTCCAGGTTCCAGATCCAGAAGGGGAAGAACAGGATGTAGAAGAGTTCGTTGCCCAGCTCCGTGCCGAAGCAGAACAGGCAGTAGAGCGGCCAGTTGCTCACGCGGGCCAGCTGGCCCTCCTCGCCCGTCAGCGAGTTGCGGCGCAGAGCGCCCGCGCGCCGCGGCGAGGCCGGGCCCAGCTCGGCCGCCAGCCCGTTCCGCACGCCGTTGGGGGCGCCGCCGCCGTCCGGCTTGGCCGGGCACTGATTGCGGTCGCTCCCGGGAGGCTGGGGGCCTCCAGGCGCCCCTGGCTGCCGCCCTCGCAGTCGAGGGTCTCCGGCGAGAGGCGCCTCCGCTTTCTCATCCTCCCTCCGGTCTGCTGAGCGGCGCGGCGGCGCTTCCACCCCGCACAGCCGCTGGAAACGGGCCACTTTCTGCGGGTCCTGCAGACGGCCAACCAGCTGGGCCAGGCGCTGCCTCAGCGACATGATAACGGAACCCCCGGGAAGGCGGGCCGGCCTCCGGCGCAGCCCCGAACTGTCCCCGCGCTCCTGGCCAGCGGCAGCGGAACCGGCACAGCGCTCTACCCTCCGGAGTCTGCCGGGTGACGGCGCCACAGGCCGCGCGCCCCCGCCCCGCGCGCGCCGCGCCCCGCCCCGCCCAGCCCCGCCCCCACCCGGGCTCCCTGAGGGGCCGGGCCGCGCGGGTCCGCCCTGAGCGCATCCGGCCGTGGCTTGGCGCTGAGGATCGGCGGGCGGCCGCTTTGAGGTCCCGGGTAATATCCACCAGCAGGCGTCGCGGCGTACGTCTGGTGGGACGCGGCGTGTCCCCCTGCTCCACCTTCAGCCCTTCTTCTCCGCGGGCTAGTGTCGCCGGATTCCCTCAGCCAGAAGTTGACTTAAAGAGGCCACGATCCCGGTGCCAGCTTGCGCAATGCCTGTGACCAAGCAGCCGGGCATCCTGCTGGCACAGAACCAAATGGTGAATGATCAATGAAGGCGAAGCAACTACCATGAGTTCGGAATCATTCGACTCAAGTAATTAACAAGTAATTACAGAGCTGTCCCAGGCGACTGATGTTCGGAAAACCATGTGCCAATTGACCAGTGGTGACAAGACTACATGTAGATCCCAAGACAGGGCCAGGTGATATTAACAGGTGTGGTCTGCAAAAGAAAAGCCAGCCACCTACAAATTCAAAATACTGTGTCATTTATCAAATATTTTGGTATATGTTAAGGGAGCACAGGTGTTCTTAAGTGTAAAATTTCCTTTTCCTAGATTCTAATACCTAGAGGGCTTGCACAGAATAAATGTAGAGAATGAATGCAGTGTATAGATTTTTGAGTTTGGTAACGTTAATTTAGACGCTTAACTTCCGTGTCTCACAAGTTACCAACTTGACTTCTAGCTAGAGCAGTTTATAAGGTCTCTGAACTCCTCAGGTCAGGTGAATGTCTTTTATATATACCTAGAGAGAGAGAGATGAGACAGGGTCTCGCTATATTGCCCAGGCTGGTCTCCAACTCCTGGGCTGAAGTGATTCTCCTGCCTTGGCCTCTCAAAGTGCTGTGTTTACAGGCGTGAGCCACCACACCCGCCATGATCAGGTGAATGTCTGTAATTAAAGAATGTGAACTACTTCCAAGAAACAGGCTTGAAATTGTCCCATGCCCTTAAAACAGTAGAAATACTTTCCTTCAGGCGTGGTAGTTCATGCCTATAATCTCAGCACTTTGGGAGGTCGAGGAGGGAGGATGGCTTGAGTCCAGGAGTTTGACAACAGCCTGGGCAACATAGGGAGATCCCACCTCTACAAAAAATGAACAAAATTAGCCGGGCAGGGCTGGGCACAGTGGCTCACGCCTGTAACCCCAACACTTTGGGAGGCCAAGGCGGGCGGATCACCTGAGGTCGGGAGTTCAAGACCGGCCTGACCCACATGGAGAAACCCCGTCTCCACTAAAAATACAAAATTAGCCGGGCGGGGTGGTGCATGCCTGTAATCCCAGCTACTCGGAGGCTGAGGCAGGAGAATTGCTTGAACCAGGGAGGCAGAGGTTGCGGTGAGCCGAGATCGCGCCATTGCACTCCAGCCTGGGCAACAAGAGTGAAACTCTGTCTCAAAAAAAAAAAAAGAAAATTAACCGGGCATGGTGGCCCACACCTGTAGTCCCAGATAACTGGGGGACTGAGGCGGGAGGATTATTTAAGCCCGGGAGGTCAAGGCTGCGGTGAGCCCTGATTGTGCCATTGCAATTCCAGCCTGGGTAACAGAGTAAGACCCTATCTTAAAAAAAAAAAAAAAAAAAAAATTTCATTTCGCAGGGACAGGTACTCTCCTCCTCCCACTCCACTTGCTAGGCTGTGGCCATAGAAAGAGGAATAAATCATCACCCATGCTCTCAAGTTGTTCACAGTTTAGGGGAGATAAAGAAAGACAGGACTACTTCTAGAGTATAGAGAAGATGGCAAGTGTAAAACAGACATAAACAGCATGCCTCAGAAAGGAGGACAAGTTTGACTAGGAACAGGAAGAAAGGTGTTAGGAGGTGATCCTGTAGAGCTGGATTGTTTTACAGAGCAAAATATGAATAGGTGAAGAAGCCCATTTTAGGAAGAGAAAGTGAAGGAAGATAGGGATATGCAAAAATGTATTTGGTAAACAATAGTCCATAGAGACCAGGTGCAGTGGCTCACTCCTTTGATCCCAGCACTTTGGGAAGCTGAGGTGGGAGGATCACTTGAGGTCAGTAGTTTGACACCAGCCTAGGCAACATGGCAAGACCCTGACTCTACAAAAATATTTTCTAAAAAATTAGGTGGGGGGCTGGTGCAGTGGCTCATGCCTGTAATCCCAGCACTTTGGGAGGCCAAGGCTGGTGGATCACTTGAGGTCAGGAGTTTGAGACCAGCCTGGCCAACATGGTGAAACCCCATCTCTACTGAAAATACAAAAATTAGCCAGGCATGGTGGCAGGTGCCTGTAATCCCAGCTACACGGGAGGCTGAGGCAGGAGAATGGCTTGAACCTGGGAGGTGGCAGTTGCAGTGAGCCAACATTGTGCCTCTGCACTCCAGCCTGGGCAATAGAGCTAGACTCAGACTAAAAATAAAGAAAAATAAAAAAATTAGCTGAGTGTGATGGCACATGCCTGTAGCCCTAGCTACTTTTAAGGCTGAGGTGGGAGGATTGCTTGAGCCCAGGAGTTAGAGGTTACGGGGTGCTACGATTGTACCACTGCACTCCAGCCTGAGCAGCAGAGTAAGACCTTGTCTCAAACAGTAAAAATTAAAAAATGAAAAAAAAAACCAAAAAACAATAGCATATAGCATAGAGTAGCAAGGGTGATTGGAAATGGGATTACAAAGGGAGGATAGGATTAGGTTGTAAATCCTTGAATACCAAAGGGATTTAATTTTGTAGGCAGTGGGAGCCATGGAAGGCTTTTAGGCTAGGGAGTGACACCATCAGAACTGTGTTTTAGAAAGATAACTGGGAAAGAAATCAAAGACGATTGTCAGAGGTCAGAGAGTGAAGGCTAGGTAAATAATTAGAAGATTATTGCAGTCATCAGGTGAGAAACAATGACAGCCTGAACTAGGACCTTGGTTCTGGGGGATTGGAAGCGGGGGATAGATTTGAATGAAATTTTGGAACTAGGAAAAAATTAAAATGTTTCATTTGAATTCATAGGACTGCAGGCAAATATTAGTCTGTTCCTGGTTAGAACAAACTTGTGTCTAATTTCTTTTTTTTTTTTTCTTTTTTGAGACGGAGCCTTGCTCTGTCACCAGGCTGGAGCATGGTGGTGTGATCTCAGCTCACTGCAACCTCTGCCTCCTGGGTTCAAGCGATTCTCCTGCCTCAGCCTCCTGAGTAGCTGGGACTACAGATGCCTGCCACCACACCCAGCTAATTTTTTGTATTTTTAGTACAGACAGGGTTTCACTGTGTTAGCCAGGATGGTCTCAATCTCTTGACCTCGTGATCCGCCTGCCTTGGCCTCCCAAAGTGCTGGGATTACAGGCATGAGCCACCGAGCCTGGCCAACCCTTGTATCTAATATTGAAGCATTAGCAATGTAGTGAAGGAGAGAAAACATGAGAAAAAGATACAAATATATTCAAAGAAGGTGTAAAGCCAGGTATACTAAACAGCTCTGGAAAAATGAGACATAAAGTAATCACTCTGTGGAGTAAGCAGAGAGGTGGCATTGGATTCTCTATGAATGGTTCTGTGAAACAGATGATTCGTTGGCATTTGAAGACAAGGAGCATCTTGGTTTATAGAGAGAAGGGGAGAACAGCATCAGGCTGAGGGATTGTGTATGTGCTTTTCTGTCAAAATAATTTGATTACAAGGGAATTATTCAGATTCATCTGAGGAATTTCCTGGTCTAGGGTCTGTTTATCCCAGAGATGGCAGAGGAAGAGGAAAGTATGTAAAACAAAGTAGAGGTGATCATTAGATCCCATGGCTGCATTATGAGTCCTTTAGCGCTGGTATATTTTGTCAGAATGCAATATCCCCTTTAACAGTAATGGGAACAAAGGTGATGGAGAAATGGAAATTTGACCTATAACTGCACTAAACAGGAAAAATAATACAAGCTGACAAAACTTGAAGGAGCTGACACTGGTGCAATAAATCATTGTTAATGAGAGGGACAAGGTCTTACCTACATACCAAAGAGCCATGGTATAAAGAATAGTAGTTTTGGTGGTTTCTACCCACATTCCCTCTGAAATTTTCCTAATAGAATATCTTAAAATTTAATAGAAATTTAACTATAGGCCAGGCACAGTGGGTCATGCCTGTAATCCCAAAATTTTGGGAGGCCAAGGCAGGAGGATTGCTTGAGGCCAGGAGGTCAAGACCAGCCTGGGCAATGTGGTGAGACCCTGCCTCTAAGAAAAAGAAAAAAGTAAAAAGAAAACAAAAAAATTTAACTATATTAAAAGATTCAAATATAAACATTCTATGGCAAGTATTTTTATCACAAAGCATACAATTTTAATTTTTTAAATTTTTGTTTATTTTCTGCATTCTCTCAGAATGTGAATAAACATTTTTTTGAAGAAAAAATATTGCTGCCAAGTAGGGATATACTACCTGGGTATGATTCAGTGTCTTTCCTGCAAAGCCAAATAAAGATATCGTGTGATATGAGAACTGTATCATATCCATGCTTCATAATTAACATGTTGATTTTCTTATATCCTTCTCTGTACTTGACTTTATTTTTATTTTTATTTTTATTTGAGATGGAGTCTTGCTCTTTCGCCCAGGCTGGAGTGCAGTGGCGTGATCTCGGCTCACTGCAACCTCTACCTCCTGGGTTCAAGCAATTCTCCTGCCTCAGCCTCCCGAGTAGCTGGGATTACAGGCATGTGCCACCACGCCTGGCTAATTTTTGTATTTTTAGCAGAGACGGGGTTTCACCATGTTGGCCAGGCTGGTCTTGAACTCCTGACCTCATGATCCACCCACCTTGGCCTCCCAAAGTACTGGGATTTTAGGTGTGAGCCACCTGGCCCAGCCCTGAGTTTAATTTTATACATTACTAAAATATTTTTTTGACACAGATATTCTATAAAGGTAAAATGTTGCTGTCATTTCTAATGGAACTTTCATAAAAGTAGTAAGGAAACAATATGCAGTCTTAGCCTTGGACATTTTACCTTCCATAGGCAAATTAAGTTTGTACTTTATTATATTGGATTGAGATAAATCACTGATTCAGCTACTTTTACAATGAGGTCAAAGAACTTTATCTTTAGAAATATACATTCTAAGTAATTTACGTTCACAACTATTTTACTTAAAATTATAATATTCATTTTAAACTGAATATTTATTGCCATTAACTTGTTTTCTTTTGCCTATCTGGAACCTAGTTTAATTTTTTATTGTTAAATGATAAAATGTATATATATTGCAAACTATTTGCCATAAATTGTTAACATTATAGAATTTTTTTTTCTTTGAGACAGAGTCTTGCTCTGTCACCAGGTTGGAGTGCAGTGGTGCAATCTTGGCTCACTGCAATCTCCACCTCCTGGGTTCAACCGATTCTCCTGCCTCAGCTTCCCAAGTAGCTGGGATTACAGGCATGCGCCATCACACCCAGCTAATTTTTGTATTTTTAGTACAGATGGGGTTTCACTGTGTTGGCCAGAATGGTCTCGATCTCCTGACCTCATGATCCACCCACCTTGGCCTCCCAAAGTGTTGGGATTACAGGCATGAGCTACCGTGCCCGGCCCATTATAGAATTTTTTTATTTTTATTTTTTTAGGGACCAGGTCTCACTATGTTGCCCAGGCTGGTCTTGAACTCCTGGCCTCAAGCAATCCTCCTGCCTCACCCTCCCAAGTAGCTGGGATTACAGGTGCAAGCCATGGTACTCGGCTATTACTAGAATATTTGTGATATGTTGATATCAGTAACAGTACATTATGGGCATCAATAAATATTCATTATGAGTATGTTATTTTTGAAAAATTAAACCTATGTTAATTAAATTCTTTATATATACACCTAATGATTTTATCCTGCATCTTTGATTAGTTTTATTGTATTTCTCAAAAATAGGATTTCTTCTGAATTCTCAAAAATCTCTGTGATAGCACAAATGTAAATAAAATGTGTGATGTATATTAATAAAATTTTATCATTAATGGTTAACGAGTTTTCTGCCTTCTAAGGTTTTTATGCCTCAACGTTTGAATCACCTTCTCCCAAGGTAAAATTCTAAGGGAAACTTACACAGAAATTGTCTAAAAGTATCCCAGGCAAAAAGCAAAATTAGAACAAAATAAATGAATGATAATAAATGGCCCATCACCCACTTTATTTCTAGCCCACATAGGCTGAGCTGACCGTGGAATTCTTCCTTATCGTAGAGACCATTTATACTCAGTTTTCCTTTCCCCGAACTCTGTAATATTTTTTTTAAATTACTCCCTAAGACTTTTTTCCTCTTTCTTTGTTAACAATTCTCTTCTCAGTCCTACTTTTCTTGCTCTTAAAATCTGATTGGGCTGGGCATGGCAGCTCACACTTGTAATTCCAGCACTTTGGGAGGCCGAGGTGGGCGGATCACCTGAGATCGGGAGTTCAAGACCAGCCTAACATGGAGAAACCCCCGTCTCTACTAAAAATACAAAATTAGCCGGACGTGGTGCCACATGCCTGTAATCCCAGCTACTCGGGAGACAGAAGAAAAAGGAGAAGAAGTCTTTTATGTTAGGTGAGGAAGGGGATACCCAAACAGAGGAAACTCAGCCTTCAGAAACAAAAGAAGTGGAGCCAGAGCCAACTGAGGACAAAGACTTGGAAGCTGAAGAAGAGGACAGCAGGAAAAAATATGCTCCTGATGATCGAGATGACTTGAACTTCTTTAATCAAAAGAAAAAAGAAAAAAACTGAAAAGATATTTGATATTGATGAAGCTGAAGAAGGTGTAAAGGATCTTCAGATTGAAAGTAATGTTCGAGAATCAGCTGAACCAGAGGATGACCTTGACATTATGCTTGGCAATAAAAAGTAGAAAAAGAGGATCAAGTTCTCAGATGAGGATGAAATACTAGAGAAAGATGAAGCTCTAGAAGATGAAGACAGAAAAAATCATGATGGTGTCTCATTCAGTAATCAGGCCCTGCTTGGGCAGGCTCAGAAAGAGACTACACATATAAGGAGCTAATGAATCGAGTGTTCAACATCATGACGGAAAAGAATCTAGATATGGTTGCTGGGGAGAAAAGGAAATTTGTCATGAAACCTCCACAGGTCGTACAAGTAGGAACCAAGAAAACTTCCTTATTTTTTTGAGACGGAGTCTGGCTCTGCCGCCCAGGCAGGAGTGCAGTGGCGCGATCTCGGCTCACTGCAAGCTCCGCCTCCCGGGTTCACACCATTCTCCTGCCTCAGCCTCCCGAGTAGCTGGGACTACAGGCACCCGCCACTACCCCCGGCTAATTTTTTGTATTTTTAGCAGAGACGGGGTTTCATCGTGTTAGCCAGGATGGTCTTGATCTCCTGACCTCGTGATCTGCCCGCCTCGGCCTCCCAAAGTGCTGGGATTACAGACGTGAGCCACCATGCTCAGCAGAAAACTTCTTTTGTCAACTTTACAGATACCTATTAACTATTACATCGTCAGCCCAAACATCTTGCATTTTCGTTGGCTGAATTGGGTACAAGTGGTTCTATAGATGGTAATAATCAACTTGTAATCAAAAAAAGATTCCAACAGAAATAGAGAAAATGTCTTGAGAAGATATATCAAGGAATATGTCACTTGTCACACATGTCAATCACCAGACACAATCCTACAGAAGGACACACGACTCTATTTCCTACAGTGCAAAACTTGTCATTCTAGATGTTCTGTTGCCAGTATCAAAACCCGCTTCCAGGTTGTCACTGGCAAGCGAGCACAGCTCCGTGCCAAAGCTAACTAATTTGCTAATCACTGACTTTGCAAAGCATGTTGTGGAGATGTGGCTGGACAGGTTTGCCATTAGAGTGGATATACCATTGTATTAAAAACAAGATAAAAAAGCTGCCAAGTTGTTTGGAGAGTGGTTGGTTGGTCTGAAATCCTTGCAAGACGCTGATGCTGAAGCTGTTGACATACTCCTTGCCTACTTTAACAACTATCAGAGAAACGTGCTATGGGATAAGGAGGTGCTTTTTTAAAATTGTTCATAGACTTCTGTAAAATGCAAGATAAATTAAAGTTATTATAACAGTGAAAAAAATCTGATTGATGCCTTTTTCCCCCCAACAATGATTGGAAATATAGATGTCGTACTGGTTCGAAATATTTTTTTTTTAAGTTCTCAGGTCTTGAAATCTCCAATCCCATCTGCACATTCACCATTTAGACATCTTGGTAAGTGTTGACTTGCCCCTAATATTTTGATGTTTATAGTAATGAATATACTAGTGTAAATTCTCAATCAGAATGGAATATTCTAAGTGCTACAACTCTTTTAGAATTTGCCCATCAGACTTTACGGTGCTTACCAGAAAGCTCCCCTGGCCACCCTGCAAAAAAGAGAATGGAATATTCTAGTTAATTAAATTTCCTGAAGAATGTAAACTTTTAATACACTTTAGTCCTTGGTGAAAATCATTTATAAAATGTGTTTAATATATTTTTGAATACCTATTTTCATAAGTATACTAGAATTTGCAGCCCTTTTGCATATTTTTTGTTTTATTTGTGTATTTATTTATTTATTTATTTTTATAGAGACAGCGTTTCACCATGTTACCCAGGCTGGTCTCCAACTCCTGAGCTCAAGCCATCCACCAGCCTCTGCCTCCCAAAGTGGTGGGATTACAGGCGTGAGCCACCAAACACGACCCATCTTAACCTTTTTAACAACCTATCATTTTTGTGTGTAGATATTTGAGGACTTTCATGACTTTTAAGATCAAGATGAGAAATAGACTCAAAGATTTGTGGAGCTGGAAGGGGCTTAGAGGCCATCTTCTTAATTTCCTCATTTTATGAGAGTCACTCAGTTTATTATGTGGTATTTGCTGACTGTGCTACGTTCTTGGAGATGCAATGTTAATAAGACATAGCTCCTGCTTTCAAGATGCTTGTGTCAAATAGTCTTTGAGAGTGCTATCCTTCTTCTAGGTTCCAGATTAGATTGGGTGTTGTGTTTTTAGCTTTCCTTCTCTGAATTCTCTCACCCATTCTTCATTCCTACTGCTACCCTAACCTAAGTTCAATTAAGAAAAGGAAGGAGTATTCTAGGAAGTGATTCAAGATTTCTTTGTTATAAAGTGAGATTTCAGAAGTCATAGTTGAATCTGTACAAGAAACCTATAATGGCTGCTTCAAGTAGAACAAATTCTATGTTTAGCTTTTTGGTCCATCATAATCACTTCCTACCCTAGCAATTCATGCTTATTTCCTATGGGAACAAGGACCCAGCCTTGTCCTCCAGTCAGACTTGTCTTTTCATTCATAGACTAACAACATCACTAACTCAAGGCGCCTTTCCTCTACCTGGAATAATGGCTTTCTATCCTACCTAACTTTATCATCCCCCGTATTTAAGATTTATATTTTTCATATAATACTGAAGAAAATTGGCACCTGTGATGATCTTGCTAGAACTCTCTGGAATGCATTCCTCTGGTAACCACAGATTGGGTTCCCACCCTCTGCTGGGCCAGGGAGTGGGTTCCCTGAGATTTTTGTACTTTCAGACAGTGAGAGATTGAGGTGGTTTCTCTCCAATGGTTAAACCTTTTAAATCTAAACTTAGAAACACAGCAGACATATGTCCTACCTTTAGAGAAAGCTGGTTAGTGATGAGAGAAAGTGAAACTGCCATACCGAAAACAACAGAAACAAGACTTGGAAAGACTCCTAACAAGGTTTGGGCCCCTTGTTTCACCTCTGCAGCCCTGCCTTTTGTTTGTTTGTTTTTTGTTTTGTTTTGTTTTGTTTTGTTTTTGAGACAAGGTCTCACTCTGTCACCCAGGCTGGGGTGCAGTGGCTTGATCATGGCTCACTGTAGCATCAACCTTCCAGGCTCAATGGATCCTCCCATTAGGCACACACCATCATACCCAGCTAAGTTTTGTATTTTTCATGGAGACAGGGTTTCATCATATTGCCCAAGCTGGTCTCAAACTCCTGGGCAAGTGCTGGAATTACAGCCTTCCCACCTCAGCCTCCTCAGGTGCTGGAATGACAGACGTGAGCCACCATGCCCAGGCTAGCCGTGCCTTTTTGAGATGGAGTCTGACTCTGTTGCCCAGGCTGGAGTGCAGTGTTGTGATCTCGGCTCACTGCAACCTCCATCTCATGGGTTCAAGTGATTCTCCTGCCTCAGCCTCCCCAGTAGCTGGGATTACAGGTGCCCAACACCTCGCCTGGCTAATTTTTGTGTTTTTAGTAGAGATGGGGTTTCTCCATGTTGGCCAGGCTGGTCTTGAACTCCTGACCTCAGGTGATCCGCCCGCCTCGGCCTCCCAAAGTGCTGGGATTACAGGCGTGAGCTGCCGTGCCAGCAGCCCTGCCATTTTTGACACCTGCTTGTTCAATCCTTCCTTGGATTTCATGAGCCAATAAATCCCCCTCTCAATTTAGATTTGTTTGAGTTGAGTTTCTGTTATTTTCTTTTTTTTTTTTTTGAGATGGAGTCTCAGTCTGTCACCCAGACTGGAGTACAAAGGCGTGATCTCGGCTCACCACAACCTCTGCCTCCAGGGCTCAAGCAATTCTCCTGCCTCAGCCTCCGGAGTAGCTGGGATTACAGGCATGTGCCACCATGCCCAGCTAATTTTGTATTTTTAGTAGAGACGGGGTTTCTCCATGTTGGTCAGACTAGTCTCGAACTCCCGACCTCGGGTGATCGGCCCACCTTGGCCTCCCAAAGTGCTGGGATTACAGGCGTGAGCCACAGTGCCCGGCTGAGTTTCTGTTATTTTCTAATAAAATGTAATCACACAAGTGGTTAGAGGCAGAATTAGAACCAGAAGCCAGATCTGATTGTCAGTGTACAGTGTTGTCAAAAAACTATACTGCTCTGTGTGTGTGTGTGTGTGTGTGTGTGTGTGTGTGTGTGTGTGTGTGTGACGGGGTCTCTCTCACTCTGTCACCCAGGCTGGAGTGCAGTGGTGCTATCTCGGTCCATTGCAACCTCCACCTCCCAGGTTCAAGGGATCCTCCCACCTCACCCTCCCAAATAGCTGAGACCACAGGCACCTGCCACCATTCCTAGCTGATTTTTTGTGTTTTTTGGTAGAGACAGGGTTTCACCATGTTGCCTAGGCTGGTCTCAAACTCCTGTCTCAGGTGATCCACTGGCCTTAGCCTCCCAAAGTACTGGGATTACAGGTGTGAGCCATGGTGCCCGGCCAATACTGCTATGTCTCAGAGGCAAGGGCCCGACCTGATGTTCTAATTTTTAAAAAGTTTTTACTAACATAGTGCTGGGAGCAAAACAGACACTGATGGGTTATACTACAAGTGTATATAGTACACTGGTATGTACTATATACAAACACTATCTTGAATCAGAAAAGCTAGGTTTGTAGCCAGACATGGTGGCTCACACCTGTAATCCCAGCTACTGAGGCTGAGGCAGGAGAATCACTTGAACCCAGGAGACAGAGGTTGCAGTGAGCTGAGAGCATGCCACTGCACCCCATTCCTCTATGATCTTAGGCAAATAAATCATGTACAGTCTCAGAGGTATTATATAACTCTTCACTGCAAAATAGGAAGAATAATTGTCCTCTCTGCCTTGTAGGATTATGGAAAAAGGCTAAAATGACATTATCTATGTTAAAACTTCTTAGACTATAATGTGAATTAACAACCACACACATATAATCATAGTAGTTGTAGGAAATTGGACTGAGAGTATGCTAAGAACAGAATATACCTTGGAAACTGTATTTGAAGTACTGAATCTGATGTCTTACTGTGATCTTAACATCTTAACCATTCAAATGTCCACCACTACCTCAAGCTCAACATCTCCAGACAGAATGCGTTCTCTTCTGCATACCTCTGCCTCTGTTTGCCACCCCTCAAATATCTTTTCCACACTGCTTTCAAAACTGCTTTCTGAAAAGCAAACTTGCTCACAGTTCTACCCTGCTTAATACCCTTCCATGTTTCCCCTCGCCTTAAAGATGAAATTCTGATTTTTTTTGGCTTTCATGAAGGACTAAATTTAGGTTTCTCAAGATACCTGAGGAACAGCAGGTACTTGGGGTCTAATTTACAAAGAACATTGATTTCACAGAGGCTGTTTGGCTACCCACCTCACTTTTAAATATGTATATACAGGGTTTTGCCTTGTTGCCAAGGCCAGAGTGTAGTGGCTATTCATAGGCCAATCACAGGGCACTGAAGCCTCAAACTCCTGGACCCAAGCAATCCTTCTGCCTAGGCCTCCTGAGCAGCTGGGTGACAGGTGCACACAACAGTGCCTGGCTTTCACCTGTATTTTTGTACTTTTTGTTTTCCTGACCAAAGCCATGAGGTATGCAAGCTGAGGGAAGCCAGGTGATAACGAGGCCTCACATGTGAGGTCTTCATCATCCTGCTCCCACCTGCCTTTCTTACCACTGTGCTGTATCCAGTTATTCTCACCCGATGTTCAATTATTCTGAAATGAAGTTCCCTGAATATTCCATGCTCTGTGTGTTCAGACTATTTCTCTGTATATATATACGTGTGTGTGTGTGTGTGTGTGTGTATACACACATACACACACACACACACATATGTATAATTTGGAGGGTAGATGTTCAGATTTGCTACATGGGTATACTATACTGCATGATGCTGAGATTTGGGGTACAACTGATCCCATCACCCAGGTAGTGAGCATAGTACTCATTAGTTTTCAGCCCTTCCTCTTCACCTTTTGGGGTCCCCAGTGTCTGTTGTTTCCATCTTTATGTCCATGTGTACTCAAAGTTTAGCTCCTACTTATAAGTGAGAACATGCAGTATTTGTGTTTTTCTGTGTTAATTTGCTTAGGTAATGGCCTCCAGCTGCATCCGTGTTGCCTCAAAGGACATTATTTCATTCTTTTTTATGGCTGCGATTTCTCTGTCTTGAACTCGCTTCCTTCCATTTCTCACCTGGGTGAGTCCTTCAAGACTGTCTTCTATATTAGTTCATGAGTTAGTCGAAGACAGGAACTGTGTCCTTGATTTCTATATTTCTGACCCAGAAATTTTTGTTTTTGTTGTTTGTTTGTTTTGAGATGGAGTTTCACTCTTGTTGCCCAGGCTGGAGTGCAATGGCGCCATCTCGGCTTACCGCAACCTCCGCCTCCCGGGTTCAAGAGATTCTCCTGCCTCACCCTCCCAAGTAGCTGGGAGTACAGGCATGCACTACCACACCTGGCTAATTTTGTATTTTTAGTAGAGACAGGGTTTCTCCATGTTGGTCAGGCTGATCTCGAACTCCCGACCTCAGATGTTCCGCCTGCCTCGGCCTCCCAAAGTGCTGGGATTACAGGCATGAGCCACCACGCCCGGCCCAGAAATGTTTATTGAATAAACATCAGTGAATAAACTTTAGAAGTCCATTCTCATACAACTCCCCTGCAAAGATATTGAAGCCTGAAGGATGATTAAAACTTGTTTGAACCTGATTATTTGACACTGCTCTTTCCCAGGACAGCTCTTCTCTGGTCCTTATATGAATCTTTGAGGAGATCTGATGATCCTAGAGATGCCACAGGTTCTGGTCAAACCAGTATGTTCAGTAGCTGTTTGATAATCAATTCTTTGGAATTATTTCACTTAAATGATCGCTAGAAAACAACAAGAAAGTGAAGCTTTCTCTTTTTGGATAGCCAATTTTAATAATGAAGGTAACTTTATTGGTATTTATGTGACATGTACTATCTGATGTGCCTTGCAGAGAGTAACCAACTTAATCCTCACAACTATGTGGTAGATTTTCTTTCTATCCTCATCCCACATATGAAAATTTGAGGTACAGAAACATTAAAGAATATATTCAAGGTCATCTAGTAGCTAGTAGAGCCAGAACTCAGAAACTAGAGTCCACACTCATATGTAGTATGCTGTGTTGACTCCCAAGAACTCTTTCTTTAAAAAATATATATATTTTATATTTATAACTTATAATTTATATATATTTTATATTTATATTGTTAAATTATATTATGTATTTCTTTCTTTTTTTTTTTTTTTTGAGATGGAGTCTCGCTCTGTCACCCAGGCTGGAGTGCAGTGGCACGATCTCAGCTCACTGCCTCCTCCGCCTTCCGGGTTCAAGGGATTCTCCTGCCTCAGCCTCCTGAGTAGCTGGGACTACAGGCACACCCCATCACGCCTGGCTACTTTTTTGTATTTTTAGTAGAGACAGGGTTTTACCATGTTAGGCAGGATGGTCTCAATCTCTTGACCTCGTGGTCCACCCGCCTTGGCCTCCCAAAGTGCTGGGATTATAGGCGTGAGCCACCACGCCTCGCCCTTATAATTTTATAAAAATAGACAGGGTCTCACTATGCTGCCCAGGCTGGTCTCAAACCCTTGGGTTCAAGTGATACACCCGCCTTGGCCTCCCAAAGTGCTGGGATTATAGGCGTAAGCCACCACGCCTGGCCCTTATAATTTTATAAAAATAGACAGGGTCTCACTATGCTGCCCAGGCTGGTCTCAAACCCTTGGGTTCAAGTGATACACCCACCTTGGCCTCCCAAAGTGCTGGGATTGCAGGCATGAGTCACCAAGCTTGGCCAACTCCCGAGAACTCTTAAGAGTACCTGTTCGATATTTTCTATTCACTTGTAACCATTATTTTAGGAAATTCCATCTTCTGCCTTACAGCAAACAACATTCAACTGACTTCTGAGTCCTGAACTATCACATTATATTTAGTTTAGATATAATAAACATATGACATATGTTACACAAAATGTTATGTGAGGCCAAAAAGGAAATTGTTTTCCATTCATTTTAATGAAAAGAACAAATATTGGCCGGGCGTGGTGACTCACACCTGTAATCCCAGCACTTTGGGAGGCTGAGGAGGGCGGATCACAAGGTCAAGAGATCAAGACCATCCTGGCTAACACGGTGAAACCCCATCTCTACTAAAAATACAAAAAAAATTAGCCGGGCATGGTGGCGGGTGCCTATAGTCCCAGCTACTTGGGAGGCTGAGGCAGGAGAATGGCGTGAACCGGGGAGGCAGAGCTTGCAGTGAGCCGAGATTGCACCACTGCACTCCAGCCTGGGTGACAGAGAGACTCCGTCTCAAAAAAAAAAAAAAAAAAAAAAAGAACAAATATTGAATGCTTACCAAATGCAAGGTGTTAGGGTAAGGGCTAGAGAAGACACAGAGAGGAATAAGACACTGTCTTGCCCTCAAGAAGCTCATAATCAGAAGGGCAGATTAAAAATACATACGGCATACTGTAATGAAAAACAATTGTGTTAAAACTTTAAGGGAATGGGCCAGGTGCAGTGGCTCATGCCTGTAATTCCAGCATTTTGGGAGGCTGAGGTGGGAGGATCGCTTGAGCCCAGGAGTTTGAGACCAGCCTGAACAACATAGTGAGACCCTGTCTCAAAAAAAGAAAAAAAAAAAAAAGAGAGAGAGAAAGAAAAAAGCTTTAATGGAAGTACAGCCACAGTATCAGAATAATAATAGAATAATCAAAGAGATTATTTCCCAAACAGGGAAGAAATAGCATTTGTGTTGAATAGAAATTCAAAGGGGTAAATTTGGGGTGTTTTTATTGTTGTTGTTGTTTTTTGAGACAGAGTCTCACTCTGTCGCCGAGGCTGGAATGCAGTGGCACGATCTCGGCTCACTGCAACCTTCGCCTCCTGGGTTCAAGCAATTATCTTGCCTCAGCCTCCCTGTTAGCTGAGATTACAGGCACTCACCACCAAGCCCAGCTAATTTTTGTATTTCAGTAGAAACGGGGTTTCACCATGTTGGCCAGGCTGGTCTCGAACTCCTGATCTCAAGCAAACTACCCGCCTCCACCTCCCAAAGTGCTGGGATTAAAGGCATGAGCTACGGTGCCTGGCCCAGAGGGGGAAATTTTGGAAGCAAACCATTCAAGACACAGAAAAGGAGAATGAGCGAACATAGTGTTGAAGTCGTTAGAATCATTATGGGATCACTTGTCTTAAAAAACAAAACAGGCCAGGCGCGGTGGCTTAGCCTGGCCAACAGGGCAAAACCCCATCTCTACTAAAAATACAAAAATTAGCCGGGTATAGTGGCACATGCCTGTGATCCCAGCTACTTAAGAGGCTGAGGCAGGAGAATCACTTGAACCCAGGAGACAGAGGTTGCAGTGAGCTGAGATTATGCCATTGCACTCCAGCCTGGGCGACAGAGTGAGACTCTGTCTCAAAATAAAATAAATCAAAACAAAACAGCCAGGCATGATGGCTCATGCCTGTAATCCCAGCATTTTGCGGAGCCGAGGCAAATGGATGGCTTGAGCTCAGGAGTTCGAGACCAGTCTGGGCAACATGGTGAAACCCCATCTCTACCAAAATACAAAAAAATTAGCCAGACATGGTGGTGAGCATCTGTGGTCTCAGTTACTCAAGAGGCTGAGATGGGAGAATTGCTTGAGCTCAGGAGGCAGAGGTTGCAGGGAGGCGAGATCACACCACTACGCTCCAGCCTGGGTGACAGAGTGGCACCCCATCTCAAAATAAAATAAATTTAAAAAATTAAGAACAAAAACCTTTTCCAAGCACAGCTGTGTTAAAAACAAAACAAAACAAACAAACAAACAAAAAGTTTGTCTTCCTTTACCTCCTTGAATATGCATCATTTACTATGGCACATTGCAATGTCCTATTCCCAAATAAATATAATTTTTGTTTAGAGAGCCTCTGTTAATTAGGGTAACAATGGTGAGACTAGAAATAGCTAGGTAGGTTTGTAGGTTTTTAAAACAGCTGAAAGTGTTCATTAGAGAATGAAGAGATGAGGTTAAACCTCACTGTGGAAAAATTTAAAATCGATGCTACAAAATTGTACTTTATTCTTTGGCAACAGAGAGCTACAAAAAGGAACAAAAAGAGGACAAAAGAATGCTGGGATTGGAATAGTAATCTTTAGGAAGACTAATTTGCTAGTAATAAGAAAAATTAGGCCAGGTGCGGTGGCTCACCCCTGTAATCCCAACACTTTGGGAGGCCGAGGAGGGAGGATCACCTGAGGTTAGGAGTTCCAGACCAGCCTGGCCAATATGGTGAAACCCCATCTCTACTAAAAATACAAAAATTAGCCAGGCGTGGTGGCAGACGTCTGTAATCTCAGCTACTTGGGAGGCTGAGGCAGGAGAATTGCTTGAACTCAGTAGGTGAAGGTTGCAGTGAGCCGAGATCGCACCATTGCACTGTAGCCTGAGCAACAAGAAAAAAAAAGAAAGAAAGAGAAGAGAGAGAGGAGAGAGAAGAGAGAGAGAAAGAAAAAGAGAGAAAGAAAGAAAGAGAGAGGAAGGAAGGAAGGAAGGAGGGAGGGAGGAAGGGAGGAAGGAAGGAGAAATTAACTAAGATGGGAGCTGAGGAATCTAGATAGTAATGTAATGGGGAAAGATGAGGTTATTAAGGTCCTGAACAAGAGGAGTGGCAAGGGATAGGAGAGGCAGAGGTAGGGTATTCAGAAAATATCTCCTGTTAGAATAAAATAATATAAAATCAATTTTTAGAATTCTACATACAAAGATAGACTATGCCAACTAAAAACCAAATCCAACAGAATTATTATGGTGGGGAGAGGACTGCTGCAGTCCTCCCTCAGTATCCATGGGGGATTGGTTCCAGTACCCCCTCCCAACTGCCCTCATACCTTGTAATCGCCCACTGCACAGACAAAATCAATTCACTGAGACTGCAGCAGTGCAGTAGAGAAAGAATATAATTGACACAAGGCTGACCCATATGGGAAAAAACTGGAGTTACCACTCAAATCAGTCAGTCTCTCAGAAGGCTCAGAGGCTGTGGTTTTTATGGACAATTTGGTGGGCAGTGGGGGCTAGGGAATGGGTGCTGCTGACTTGTTGTGGATGAAATCATAGGTGTAAGGAACACTGTCCTCATGCACTGAGTCCACCTCTGGATAGGGCCACAGGAGCAGTTGAGTCATGAGTCACAAGTACAGGTGGGGTCCGTCTGAAAAACATCTAAAAATAAAACCAATCTGAGGTTCTACAGTAGTGATGTTATCTATAGGAGCAATTGGGGAAGTCACAAATCTTGTGACCTCTGGCCACGTGACTCCTGAGCAGCAGGGGGTTGGAAACTACGCCTACATTTTAGCAGAGTTCAAGCATAGCAGAGTTCAAGCCCCTCCCATGATCCTATTCTTGTGGCCTTTCATTAGTCTTACAAAGGTAGGTTTTGGTCCCTGAGCAAGGAGGGCGTTAGTTTTAGGGGAAGGATTACTACTGTCCTTGCTTTCAAGTTAAAGTATAAACCAAATTCTTCTCGAAGTTAGCTTGGCCCATGTCCAGGAGGCGACCTTGGTGTCAGAAGCAAGATTGAGTCGACTATGTCAGATTTCTCTTACTGTCATAGTTTTGAAAAAGTTGGTTTCACACTAAAAGCTGCAGATGCTGAAGTCTGTGATATAAAATGGTGTAGTATTCACATATAACTTACACACATCCTCATGTACTTTAAACCATTGCTCGTTTACTATAATGCCGAATACAATGGAAATGCTATGAAAATAGCTGTTAGTTTTTTGTTTGTTTGCTTGTTTATTTGTTTTTGAGATGGAGTCTTGCTTTTTTGCCCAGGCTGGAGGGCAGTGGCATGGTCTTGGCTCACTGCAACCTCCACCTCCTGGGTTCAAGTGATTCTCCTGCCTCAGCCTCCTGAGTAGCTGGGATTACAGGCGTGCCACCACACCCAGCTAATTTTTTTGTATTTTTAGTTAGAGACGGGGTTTCACCATGTTGGCCAGGCTGGTCTCAAACTCCTGACCTCAGGTGATCTGCCCACCTCAGTCTCCCAAAGGGCTGGGATTACAGATGTGAGCCACTGCACCCGGGCTTGGTTTTTAAATTTGCATTATTTTTATCGCTGCATTGTTATTTTGTATTTTTTAAACATTTCTGATCCGTGTTTGGTTCAATCCCCGAATGCAGAACTCGCGGATACAAAGGGCCAACAGCATTGCAATAGAAACATGTGACCTTAAGACAGGTAAGTTTTCAAAAGTTAGGCAAAAAGGGTTTTTCTTTTAGAGAAAGAACTAGGCTAGAAAGAACCAGGTATGGGAAGGTGGGATAAAGGGTGGACTGATGGGAGAGTAGGTCAGATAATGCTTTACCCTGAAGGCCTCCTATCCTCAGCGAGTGCCTTTAAGGAGTGGCTTTCTGCTGGTCAGGGTCCTGGGGGAAGGAAAAAAAGAACCTTAACCAAAGTGTGGTTAAAAAACCTTTTTTTTTTTTTTTTTTTTTTTTGAGCCGGAGTCTTGCAATGTTGCTCATGCTGGAGTGCAGTGGCACAATCTTGGCTCACTGCAGCCTCCACCTCCCAGGTTCAAGTGATTCTCCTGTCTCAGCCTCCAGAGTAGCTGAGATTACAGGCGTGCCATCATGCCTGGCTAATTTTTGTATTTTTAGGAGAGACGGGGGGGTTCACCATGTTGGCCAGGCTGAAATAAACACTTTTTGTTTCTGTTGATACAGTGAGGACAAAACATTTCAGCTAGTTATTTGTGAGGAGAGGAATGGAGATTTGGACAGCCTGTGTCTGGCACTGTCATAGCTAAACAAGGTAGGCATCCCTGAGTCTTATCTAACTCATATGGGGGAGTAGCTATTTTTTTAGAACACAAAAAGATGAAGGGATTTCCTAACCTTCAGGTTAAGTTCAACATTATCAAATAAAATGGCATTATTTTCTACTCAGATTCCCATTAAGGAATAAAAGTGTTAGTATTCTTTGGGTGTCAATGGCAACACTATTTGAGTTTCATTTCAACACCCAGGTGTCATCATTCACTCTGACACACCCACATTCAGTGATAGGACAAGGACTCTAGTATTTTTACGTTTATGGAACAGAAGTGGTTGCCATATGCTAAAATTGTTGCTGAAAAGTATACCGCAAGTAGAAGAACTTAGGTTATGCAAACGGAAGATATGCTTCAAATCAGCAGTTTGAAAACTGTAGTTTTAATGTTACTAACTTAGGATAACAAGGGGAAGCAACCTTAGAGGTTTCTCAACTTAAGACTAGAAAAAGATGTTATTTTTTTCTTCTTCTTCTTTTTTTTGTTTTTTTTTTTTTTTTGAGACAGAGTCTCAGCTGCAGCCATGAGCTCTTGGGCCCAAGTAATCCTCCTACCTCAGCCTCCCAAGTAATTGGAACCACAGGTGTGCACCACTGATGCAGGAGTTAAAAAGGAATTATTTAGGCAGATAATGGGGGTAAGGAAGTCCTCCGTAAGGTTTTCCTTTTAATGAAAAGCAGCCCTGCCGGGCGCGGTGGCTCACACTTGTAATCCCAGCACTCTGGGAGGCCGAGGCGGGCGGATCATCTGAGGTCGGGGGTTTGAGACCAGCCTGACCAATGTGGAGAAAACCCGTCTCTACTAAAAATACAAAAACTTGGCCAGGCTTGGTGGCACATGCCTGTAATCCCAGCTACTCCGGAGGCTGAGGTAGGAGAATCGCTTGAACCCGGGAGGCTGAGGTTGAAGTGAGACGAGATTGCACCACTGCACTCCAGCCCAGGCAATAAGGGCAAAACTCCATCTCAAAAAAAAAAAAAAAAAAAAAAAAGGCAGCCCCAAAATAATTTTCTTTTCTAACAAACAGCAGCCTGTAAAATTGAGCTGCAGACATAGACAAGCAAGCTAGAAGCTTGCACAGGTGAATGCCAGCAGCTGTGCCAATAGGAAAAGGCTACCGGGGACTAGGCATGTTCAGAACAGTGGCTCCATGTTCCCTTCTCTTTGCCAGTCACGTGTGCAGCAAGGAGCGGACAACACGGCGCCGGCCAAGTGGAAAGTCCATTTGCATAATAAGATTAGGGTGCATTGGCCAGCCTTCCCCATGCTCTATGTAAACATCACACCTGGTATAACCAATCTGTGGTTATGTAAATCGGACACTGCCTCCTTCAGCCTGCCTATAAAATCCGGTGCACTCCCATTCCAGCCCAGAATTCCCATTCGGGGGCTCCTGTCTCTTGCAAGAGACAGAGCTGTTCTCCTTTCTCTTTCTTTATCTATTTATTTATTTATTTATTTTTATTTTTGAGACGGAGTCTCGCTCTGCCGCCCAGGCTGGAGGGCAGTGGTGCGATCTCGGCTCACTGCAAGCTCCGCCTCCCGGGTTCAGGCCATTCTCCTGCCTCAGCCTCCGGAGTAGCTGGGACTACAGGCGCCTGCCACCACGCCCGGCTAAAATTTTGTATTTTTAGTAGAGACGGGGTTTCACCATGTTAGCCAGGATGGTCTCGATCTCCCGACCTCGTGATCCACACCTCGGCCTCCCAAAGTGCTGGGATTACAGGCGTGAGCCACTGCTCCCGGCCTTTCTTTGCCTATTAAACCTCTGCTCCTAAACTCCTTGTGTGTGTTCATGTCCTTAATCTTCTTGACGCAAGACGAGTAACAGCGGGTATTTGCCCCAGATAAGGATGCCACTTCACCACCACACATGGCTAATTTTATTTATTTTATTGAATAACTTTTAGTAAGAAACCTCACCTGGATTTTTAAAACAAAATTTTGTTTAATATCTTTTTTTTTTTTTTTTTTTTTTTGAGACGGAGTTTCGCTCTTGTTGCCCAGGCTGGAGTGCAATGGCATGATCTCTATCATGGCTCACTGCCACCTCCACCTCCCGGGTTCAAGCAGTTCTCCTGCCTCAGCCTCCTGAGTAGCTGGGATTACAGGTGCCCGCCACCACGCCTGGCTAATTTTGTATTTTTAGTAGAGATGAGGTTTCTCCATATTGGTCAGGCTGTTCTCCAACTCCTGACATCAGGTGATCTGCCCACCTCAGCCTCCTAAAGTGCTGGGATTACAGGCATAAGCCACCATGCCTGGCCCTTTAATATCTTTTAGTAAGAACATTTTTAATTTTTTTGTATTTTTTACTTATTTTTTTGTTTGTTTTTTTGAGGGAGGGTCTTGCTCTGTTGCCCAGGCTGGAGTACAATGGCACCGTTACAGCTCACTGCTGCCTCAACCACCTGGACTCAAGTGATCCTCCTGAGTAGCTGGGACTATAGGTATGTGCCACCATGCCTGGCTAATTTTCTTTTTGTATTTTTAAATAGAAACAGGGTTTGGCCATATTGCCCAGGCTGGTCTCAAACTCCTGAGCTCAAGGGATCTTCCTGCCTTGGTCTCCCAAAGTGCTGGGATTACAGGCATGCTCCACTGTGCCCAGCCTATTTTTCTTATTTGTAGGGATGGGGTCCCGCTATGTTGCCCAGACTGATCACAAACTCCTGAGCTCAAGTGATTCTCCCACCTCAGCCTCCCAACGTGCTGGGATTACAGGCGTGAGCCACTACACCTGGCCAAAAGCTGATTATTTTAACCATCAAATCAAGAGACAGACATCATATCCACAAGCAAGAATATGTACATATCGAGAAGTGTGATATTACTTCAATAACAGGTTACTATTGTTTTTTTTCTTCTTTTTCGTATTGTTTTGATTTGGTAAACTTGATTATTTATTTTCATGTATAAATTATGAGTGCTATAAATTCATACCATTTCTACTTACTATCCACAATGACCAGAATAATCTCTTAACTTCATAATTCCAATTGTTTCTATCGTTTTACTTTACCACTAATTTCAGCCACTTTAGATTTTTCTTTTTTTTTTTTTTCTGACTTCTCTATCCTTTCCCCACCCTTTCCCCCTTTTCTATTCCACAAAACTGCCATCGTCATCATGGCCCGTTCTCAATGAGCTGTTGGGCACACCTCCCAGACGGGGTGGTGGCCGGGCAGAGGGGCTCCTCACTTCCCAGAAGGGGCCGCCGGGCAGAGGGGCCCCCCCACCTCCCGGACGGGGCGGCGGCCGGGCAGAGGCGGGCCCCCCACCTCCCTCCCGGACGGGGCGGCTGGCCGGGCGGGGACTGACCCCCACCTCCCTCCCGGACGGGGCGGCTGGCCGGGCGGGGGCTGACCCCCCACCTCCCTCCCGGACGGAGCGGCTGGCCGGGCGGGGCCTGACCCCCCACCTCCCTCCCGGACGGGGCGGCTGGCCGGGCGGGGGCTGACCCCCCACCTCCCTCCCGGATGAGGTGGCTGCCGGGCGGAGGGGCTCCTCACTTCCCAGACGGGGTGGCTGCCGGGCGGAGGGGCTCCTCACTTCCCAGACGGGGTGGCTGCCGGGCGGAGGGGCTCCTTACTTCTCAGACGGGGCGGCTGCCGGGCGGAGGGGCTCCTCACTTCTCAGACGGGGTCGCGGCCGGGCAGAGGCGCTCCTCACATCCTAGACGGGGCGGCGGGGCAGAGGCGCTCCCCGCATCTCAGACGATGGGCGGCCGGGCTGAGACGCTCCTCACTTCCTAGATGGGATGGCGGCCGGGAAGAGGCACTCCTCACTTCCCAGACTGGGCAGCCGGGCAGAGGGGCTCCTCACATCCCAGACGATGGGCGGCCAGGCAGAGACGCTCCTCACTTCCCAGACGGGGTGGCGGCCGGGCAGAGGATGCAATCTCGGCACTCTGGGAGGCCAAGTCAGGCGGCTGGGAGGTGGAGGTTGTAGCGAGCCGAGATCACGCCACTGCACTCCAGCCTGGGCAACATTGAGCACTGAGTGAACCAGACTCCGTCTGCAATCCCGGCACCTCGGGAGGCCGAGGCTGGCAGATCACTCGCGGTTAGGAGCTGGAGACCAGCCCGGCCAACACAGCGAAACCCGGTCTCCACCAAAAAAATACGAAAACCAGTCAGGCGTGGCGGCACGCGCCTGCAATCGCAGGCACTCGGCAGGCTGAGGCAGGAGAATCAGGCAGGGAGGTTGCAGTGAGCCGAGATGGCAGCAGTACAGTCCAGCTTTGGCTCAGCATCAGAGGGAGACCGTGGAAAGAGAGGGAGAGGGAGACCGTGGGGAGAGGGAGAGGGAGAGGGAGAGGGAGAGCTAGATTTTTAAAAGTGGGTGCTTTATAATACATTTGCTTCAAAAAATATATTTAACTGAAAAAGTTAAATGAAATACATTTATACATTGAATTACCAAGAATACCAGTAATACATTTTCATAAATGTAATACATAGTAATACATTTTCATAAATGTAATACATAGTAATACATTTTCATAAATGTAATACATAGTAATACATTTTCATAAATGTAATACATAGTAATACATTTTCATAAATGTAATACATAGTAATACATTTTCATAAATGTAATACATAGTAATACATTTTCATAAAATCGAATACATTATTTCATGTGATCTTTACAATGTTTCTGAAATAAATTATCACCATTTTATAGTTGAGGCAAGTTAGTGGCAGAGCTGGAATGAGATTTAAGTACTGATTGATTTACTTACGTTGCCCTATATACTACATAATCAGAACATTTTATGTAGGATAGTAAAAAGATTAAAATATCCAATAAGAATGATAGCGTAAGGCCGGTCACAGTGACTCATACCTGTAATCCCAGGGCTTTAGGGCATTGGGGCAGGAGGATCACCTGATCTCAGGAGTTTGAGACAAGCCTGGGTAACATAGCAAGATCCATCTCTACAAAAAATAAAGATTAGCTGGGCATGGAGGCACCTGCCTGTAGTCCCAGCTACATGGGAGGCTGAGGCAAGAGAATTGCTTGAGCCTAGAAATTTGAGGCTGCAGTGAGTCCGATGGGTTCACCTTGCCCACTGCCTAGACAGAGCTGATTTATCAAGATAGGGGAATTGCAATTGAGAAAGAGTGATTCATGAACAGCTGGCTATGCAGCAGACCAGAGTTTTATTATTTACTCAAATCAGTCTCGCTGAGCATTCAGGAAGCAGAGTTTTTAAGGAGAACTTGGTGGTTTGGGGGGGGAAGCCAGTGAGCCAGGAGTGCCCATTGGTCAGGGATGAAGTCATAGGGAGTCGAAGCTGTCTTCTTGGACTGAATCAGTTCCTGGGTGGGAGCCACAAGATCAGAAGAGCCAGTTTATTGATCTGGGTGGTGCCAGCTGACCAAGCGCAGGGTCTTGCAAAATATCTCAAGCACTGATCTGAGGAGCATTTTAGCGAGGGTAAGAATCTTGTAGCTTCCAGCTGTAAGACTCCTAAAACCATAATTTCTAATCTTATGGCTAATGTTAGCCCTACAAAGGCAGTCTAGTCCCCAGGCAAGAAGAAGGTCTGCTTTGGGAAAGGGCTGTTATCATCTTTGCTTTAAACTATAAACTAACTTTCTCCCAAAGTTAGTTCAGCCTATGCCTAGGAATGAACAGGACAACTTGGAGGTTAGAAGCAAGATGGAGTCAATTAAGTTAGATCTCTTTCACCGTCTCAGTCATAATTTTGCAAAGGCAGTTTCAGCACCACTGCACTCCAGGCGGGGCAACAAAGTGAGACCCTGTCTCTAAAACAAAGAATGGTAGTATAAGTGAAAACCATGGTCGGGTGCGGTGGCTCACGCTTGTAATCCCAGCACTTTGGGAAGCTGAGGTGGGTGGATCACCTGAGGTCGGGAGTTCGACCAGCCTGACCAACATGGAGAAACCCCATCTCTACTAAAAATACAAAATTAGCCAGGCGTGGTGGCACATGCCTGTAATCCCAGCTAGTTGGGAGGCTGAGGCAGGAGAATCGCTTGAACCCGGAAGGCAGAGGTTGTGGTGAGCCAAGATAGTGCCATTGCAGTCCAGCCTGGACAACAAGAGCAAAACTCTGACTCAAAAAAAAAAAAAAAGAAAAGAAAACCTTTACCTTAACTTTGAATATATATGTATCTGTCCTACATGAACTCTTTAACTGGTTCATCTTCGACATAATTAAAAAATCTCCATAAACAGAGGAATAGTGTTTGTACATAAAAATGGATAAATTTTTCTTCCATGATGAAATAACACTCTTGGACAATTTTTAAGTTTATTAATGGAGATAGGTTGAATTAATGTTTGGGGGAAAATACTGTAACTTGGCCTGGGGCAGTGGCACATACCTGTAATCCCAGCACTTCCAGAGGCCGAGGCGGGTGGGTCACTTGCGGCCAGGATTTTGAGACCAGCCTGGCCCACATGGCAAAACCCCATCTCTAATAAAAATACAAAAAAATTAGCTAGGTGTGGTGGCACGCACCTCTAATTCCAGCTACTTGGGAGGCTGAGGCAGAAGAATCGCTTAAACCTGAGTGGAGGAGGTTGCAGTGAGCTGAGATCACACCCATGCACTCCAGCCTGGGCGACTCCGTTTCAAACAAACAAACAAACAAAAGTATAACTTGATATACTATTCTATTATTTTGGGAACTCCAGAGCTGATATAGCTGAATTTCTAGAGGTACCTTTCCATAGGGTAATATTTAATTAATTAATCCATTACTCTTTGTTTAAATTTCAATTTCAGAACTATCACAAGCAGAGGGGATAAATTTTCTTTCTAAAAGGATCAAAATTTAAGAAATTAACATTGCGATTGAGTTATATTTTGGTTGACCATTTATTTTATTTTTTTAAATTTTTAATTTTTTTTTCCTTTTTTGTTTTTCCTTTAATTTTTAAATTTTTTTAAAAAGTAGAGACAGTGTCTCACTATGTTGCCCAGGCTTGTCTTGAACTCCTGGGTTCAAGCAATCCTCCCATCTTGGCCTTCCAAAGTGCTGGAATTATAGGCATGAGCCACCACACCCAGCCATGGTTGACCATTTTAAATTTATTTTCAGTCCATAAAAATAGGCCGGGCACTGTGGCTCACGCCTGTAATCCCAGCACTTTGGGAGGCCGAGGCAGATGGATTGCCTGAGGTCAGCAGTTGGAGACCAGCCTGGCCAACATGGTGAAACCCCATCTCTACTAAAAATACAAAAAATTAGCTGGGCGTGGTGACAGGCGCCTGTAATTCCAGCTACTCGGGAGGCTGAGGCAGGAGAATCGCTTGAACCTGGGAGGCGGAGGTTACAGTAAGCTAAGATCCTGCCATTGTACTCCAGCATGGGTGACAGAGTGAGACTCTATCTTAAAAAAAACAACAACAAAAAAATATATATATATATTTGTGGGCATGGTGGCATGAACCTGTAGTCCAAGCTACTCAGGAGGTTGAGGTAAGAGGATCTCCTGAGTCTAGGAGTTCAAGACTGTAGTGCACAATAATTGTGCCTGTGAATAGCCACTGCACTCCAGCCTGGACCACATAGCAAGATCCCCATCTCAAAAATAAAATAAAAATAAATAAAATTACTTAATTTAGAAAATTTTGGAATGGTAAATTATTATTATGCAATATGTGTGAACATAGATATATAAAGGTAACATTATAATCTTTAAATGATTCATGAACTCAATATGGTGACAATAAAAAAAGTGAGTTTAATTAATTGAGATTGATAGCCACATTCTACTAAATCAATAAAACAATTGGAACAGTTTTAAAATTTACAAGATATCATACCTATTAAAGATATGGAATGAAGGAAAATGCATGGATGACAGCTAGATAATTTTACTTGGAGTCGGAATTTTAAATTGGCAGTTATGAAGTACATGATACATAAAGAGACAACCTATGGACTAGGCACGGTGACTCACGCCTGTAATCCTAGCACTTTGGGAGGCCGAGGCACGTGGATCTCACTTGAGGTCAGGAGTTCGAGATCGGCCTGTTCAACATGGTGAAACCCCGCCTCTACTAAAAATACAAAAAACAATTAGCCAGGCATGGTGGTGGGCACCTGTAATGCTAGCTACTCGGGAGGCTGAGGCAAGAGAATCACTTGAACTTGGGAGGTGGAGGTTGCAGTGAGCCAAGATCACGCCACTGCACTCTAGCCTGGGTGACAGAGTGACACTCTGTCTCAGAAAAAACAACAACAACAAAAAAAGAGACAACCAATGAAATACATAGATGACCATAATTTTGAAGTTTTAGAAACTTACAACCCACAGGGACCTCAGGTTAGATTCCCTAATTATTGTTGCACGGTATCTCTCATGACATTTTTGTGAAAAAGAAAAAAGGTGAAAAAAGGGATATTATGAAAGTAAACATAAAAATTAAAAAATTTCCTTGCCACACTTAAGAATGAATACTGTTTTTAGTTGGTGTGCATGGGTGTGGTACCTGTGTGATAATATTCTGCATTGAGTTAGATAAATGCTTTTAATTTGAGAAGTATGGCTTAAAGTCTGTATTATGTTACATTTACACATTTTTGGCCAGTAAATTTAAATAGATACACAGTTAAAGGTACCAACTACTATTGCAATATTCTTACCATCCTGAGTCTATTATTAAAAGAGTTATTAAAAACATTCCTGATGCAGTTAACAAAGAACCTTGGCAAGTGAAGACCTCCTTTTACTTTTATCCGTTTTGTTATATATACAGTTACATTTGAGTGAAAGTAAGCCATAATTTTAAAGATTTTCTAATAGTATTTCACATTTATTGAACATTATGAATTGGAAAGTTTTGGATATTGTTGAACTATACAAACATTGGAAATGCTGGAAATTTTATAAAGGATAAAAATTTTAGTCATGTGTCTGAACAGTGAGTTTTACTGCTAGTGGATTAAAAGAAACACTTTTTTAGTCATGCTTGTTCAGAGAACTTAACTTTTATTGGAGTAAGATTGTATCCTCATGCATATGAAAAATAATGAGGAGGCTGGGTACGGTGGCTCATGCCCATAATCCCAGCACTTTGGGAGGCCGAGGCGAGTGGATCACTTGATGTCAGGAGTTTGAGACCAGCCTGACCAACATGGTGAAACCCCATCTCTACTAAAAATACAAAAATTAGTCAGGCATGGTGGCACACGCCTGTAGTCCCAGCTACTCGGGAGGCTGAGGCAAGGGAATTGCTTGAATCCGGGAGGAGGAGGTTGCAGCGAGCTGAGATTGCACCACTGCATTCCAGCCTGGGCAACAGAGTGAGACTCCACCTTAAAAATAATAATAATAATAATAATAATAATAATAATTAGGCTCAGATATTAATTGAACCCTAAACCTATTCAAAGATTTGTCCACTAAATGCTGTTAAATGGACTAGCCTCCTCTTAGTTTAACCTAAAGCTAAAAAGGATTAATTCTCTTCAGTTAGCTGTCTCTTGTCAAATATTTGTTTTCAGTAATTTAGGGCAAATGACCAAAGAAAGGAATACATGGATTGAAGAAGGATTAGAGTAGTGAAAATAGTTGTTTCATGTTTCAAAGAATGCTTTCAGTCTCTTTTATTCTTTATAGCATAAGCTGATTATTTTGTTTGACATGTTTTTACAGTGACTGCTATTGATAGCACCTCTTTGTTTTGGATGTTTTCTTTTATTTTCTTTTACTGACTTTGTTGGTTTAGTTTAGCTTATAATTCCAGCCTTTCCTTACTCTGCACCCCTACCTGGCTTTTGATGTATCCCTCTTTCTGTTGCTTACACAGAAAGGCTAACTTTTTTTCTATAAATAGAAATTCTAGACAACAGCTTAAGGGCACTGGTGGAAATGATATAGTTGTAGTAACTCCATGGTTTTATTCATTGTGCCTTCAGACCTTCTGGAAAGAGGATCCTTTGGCAAAAAAAAAAAAAGACTAGAAGAAGATACATAAAATGATAACAGTTGTCTCGCTTTTTTTTTTTTTTTTTTTTTTTAGACAGAATCTGGCTCTGTCACCCAGGCTGCAGTACAGTGTTTCAATTACAGCTCACTGCAGCCTCGAACTCCCAGGCTCAAGATATCCTCCCACCTCAGCCCCCTAAGTAGCTGGGACCACAAGCACATTCCACCACGTCCAGCCAATTTTTGTATTTTTTGTAGAGATGGGGTTTCACCATGTTGCCCAGGCTGGTCTCGAACTCCCAAGCTCAAGTGATCCGCCTGCCTCGCCCTCGCAAAATGCTGGGATTACAAGTGTGAGCCACCATGCCTGGCAGTCCCATGATATTTTGCCTTTATTTTATATTTATGTCATTTTCAAATTCTCTTAATTATTTTTACAATCTATAAAAATTAAACAAGACTTTATTTTAACTTGATTTTTAGTATACAATGAGTATTGCAAAGGTCAACAGTCCAAATGCAATAATTAAACAACTTATATCTAGCTATGCATTTCAGTTTGTTCCCTTTGAAAATTTATCCTACAGCCTTCTCAAAATATGAACAAAACATATGAAATCAAAGGGTACCAATTTTAAATGAGTGGTATTCAAACTTTTTTTTGCATGTTATTTATTTATACATTATATATGTATTTACTGTATTAATATATAACATACATTATGCAATATATAGACATTTTTAAGGATGAAATAAAAATATAAAGAGGCTTTTTTTTTCTTTTGAGACAGAGTCTCCCTCTGTCACCCAGGCTGGAGTGCAGTGGCGTGACCTTGGCATGGTGATGTGTGCCTTTATTCCCAGCTACTCAAGAGGCTGAGGTGGGAAGATCCCTTGAGCCCAGGAGTTTGAGGTTGCAGTGAGCTATGATTGCATCACTGCACTCTAGCCTGGGTGGCAGAGTGAGATCTTGCCTCCAAAAAATCTGTAGGTCTAGATTTTTTTTTTTTTTAATTTTAGCATATGTGCTGCAGAAGCGAGCACAGATTTTTTTTTTTTTTTTTTTTAAGAATATTTTAGGCTGGGCATAGTGGCTCACGCCTGTAATCCCAGCACTTTGGGAGGCTGCAGTGGGCAAATCACGAGGTCAGGAGGTCAAGACTAGCCTGGCCAACATGGTGAAACCCCTTCTCTACTAAAAATACAAAAAATTGGCCAGGCCTGGTGATGGGCACCTGTAATCCCAGCTACTGGGGAGGCTGAGGCAGGAGAATCACTTGAATCCAGGACAAGGAGGTTGCAGTGAGCCGAGACTGTGCCACTGCACTCCAGCCTGGGCAACAAAGCGAGACTCAGTCTCAAAAAAAAAAAAAGAATATTTTAAATTTATTTACATGCAGGCTGGGCACGGTGGCTCACGCCTGTAATCCCACCACTTTGGGAGGCCAAGGCTGGTCAGGAGTTCGAGACCAGCCTGGCCAACTAGGTGAAACTCCATCTTACTAAAAATACAAAAATTAGCCGAGTGTGGTGGCACACACCAGTAGTCCCAGCTACTCGGGAGGCTGAGGCAGGATAATCGCTTGAACCCAGGAGGCAGAGGTTGCAGTGAGCCGAGATCGCGCCACTGCACTCCAGCCTGGGTGACAGAGTAAGACTCTGTCTAAAAAAAAAAAAAAATGTTTACATGTTGTATTTCCATTATTTAAAAAAAAGATTTGAGAGTAAATAGCAGAAAAAGTAAGAACCAAATTTTTGCATGCCTTCGTGCTATACTTTGCATTCATTTTTTTGAGGATTGGATTTATCTACTAGTCAGGTTCAAAATTTGGCATCCCTGCTCGAAATCGTGTTTTCTAGAATTTTATAGGAATGGTTGAAAGCAAAAATGAAACTGTCAGGCACAGTCCATGAAGCAGAGGATGTGGGCAGAGCAAGGACAGAGTATGTCTAAGACTTACTTTACCATGTGATCTAGGAAGCCGTCACTGTACAAAGACAACCACTGCTGGTTTGAATTAAAATAATTTTTGGCTGCTTCTCTTCACCTTCTTGGAGATCCTTCCTCAGGAATAAGGAAATAATTCAGGAAATTCACGCAGGAGCTCAGAATGTATTTCCAATCTCTGTAGTCTCCATTTTTGGCAGGCACACAGATAAGGGGATGGGAAATTAATATTGAGCCACACACAGGGGGAAGAAAATCTAATGTTCCTGAAGAAAAGGAACCTTGTTCACTGAAACAAGAAAATATTAAGGAGTAAGGCTTATCAAGTATTAAATTTATATTTACTAAGCCACTCAGTGTTAGGTCAATATCCTAAGCAGAAAAGATCAAGGAGGTAATAAACTGAAAGAAATTTTTTTTTTTTACAAAGTTCTGAATCTCCATCTGCAATAGAGATTTGTTTTTGCATTTTGCTTCTCTTTTAGAGATTGAAAGTTAGAGATAGGATTGACACACTTCTACTTGTTTTTTAAGACTCAGCACAAATATTACTTCTGATGTGAAACTTTTGAGGCTACCCTGTAGTTTCCCTCCTATGCTTCCTCATAGCATATTGTATTTTTTTTTTTTTGAGACAGAGTCTTGCTCTGTTGCCCAGGCTGGAGTGTAGTGGCATGATACCAGCTCATTGAAACCTCAGGTGATCCTCCCACCTTAGCTTTCTGAGTAGCTGGGACCACAGGAGTGTGCCACCATGTCCGGCTAATTTTTTGGTAGTTTTTGTAGAGACAGGGTTTCGCCTTGTTGCCCAGGCTGGTCTCGAACTCCTCACCTCAAGTGATCCACCTGCCTTGGCCTCCTAAAGTGCTGGGATTACAGGCATGAGCCACTGCGCCAGGCCTGTACCTCTATTTTTATTTATTTATTTATTTATTTTGTGACAGAGTCTCGCTTTTCTGCCAGGCTGGAGTGCAGCAGCATGATCTCAGCTCACCGCAACCTCCGTCTCCCGGATTCAAGTGATTCTCCTGCCTCAGCCTCCCGAGTAGCTGGGACTATAGGCGTGCACCACCACGCCCAGCTAATTTTTGTATTTTTAGTAGAGACGGGGTTTCACCATGTTGGCCAGGATAGTCTTGATCTCCTGACCTCGTGATCCACCCTCCTCAGCCTCCTAAAGTGCTGGGTTTACAGGCGTGAGCCACCACGCCTGGCCTTGTACCTCTATTTTTGAAAAGCATTATGATATAATTGTTCCTTTAAAATAAAATGTGACTGAGGCCGGGCACCATGGCTCACGCCTGTAATCCCAGCACTTTGGGAGGCTGAGATGGGTAGATCATGTGAGGTCAGGAACTAGAGACCAGCCTGGCCAACATGGTGCAACCCTGTCTCTACTAAAAATACAAAAATTAGCTGGGTGTGGTGGTGGACGCCTGTAGTCCCAGCTACTTGGGAGGCTGAGGCAGGAGAATCGCTTGAACCTGGGAGGCGGAGGTTGCAGTGAGCCAAGATCGTGCCATTGCACTCCAGCCTGGGGGACAAGAGCAAAACTCCGTCTCAAAACAAACAAACAAACAAAAACAAATAAAACATGACTGAGACTATGTGTGTGTGTTTTTTTTCTTTTTGATCCACGGTACTGCAGGGTGAAAGAACTATTTTCCTTCCTACCTAAGGTTCATGACTGAGACCCCGTAACAAAAAATAGATTAACAAGAGAAAAGCATACACATTTATTTAACGTAAGTTTTACGTGATGCGGAGCCTTCATAAGGAAATGAAGAACCGAAGCAACAGTTAAACAGAAATGTTTTTATGCTAGATCTGATGAAGAAGTGGATAGTTATGGAGAAGTATGGCCGGAAAAAGGAGGTATGATCTAATGGCAGGAAGCTGGAGGGCATTTTGCAAGGCCTGTTTGTTCAGATTCTTCTCTGAGTTCCTGTGTCTTCATAGATAAGGATGTTCCTTTTCTTCAGGTATAGGGAGAATACTTCTCTAATGAGGGACTTATGACCTGCTTCAGAGAAAGGCAGAAATGTCCTTTTCGGCTTTATGACCTGCTTCTGGAGAAAAAAGGGGAAAGGTGAGAATGAGCCTCCTCCTTCTGCTATCTTCTCAAATGCCAAGGTGTTGTATTTTGGGATAGCACGTCATGAATTCCATCAGCATCTACTACAGTGAAAGTGTTCAGGACATTGCCAAACCTCTCCCAGAGTCAGGCGTGTAAACCAGCCCGAGCGGCGGCGGCAGCTGCAGGACCGCCGTGACGACCAGAGTAGCGACCCGCGGGGAGCGGCACGGGGTGACGCTGGCTGCGGGGACCCAGTGACAGCGTGAGAGGTAATAGGTTTTGACAAGTTTGCATCATGTGTGAATATAAGCTAGTCGTTCTTGACTCAGGAGGCGTTGGAAAGTCTGCTTTGACTGTACAATTTGTTCAATGAATTTTTGTTGAAAAATATGATCCTACGATAGAAGATTCCTATAGAAAGCAAGTTAAAGTGGCCAGGCGCGGTGGCTCACGCCTGTAATCCCAGCACTTTTGGGAGACCGAGGCAGGCGAATCACCTGAGGTTGGGAGTTTCAGACCAGCCTTGACCAACATGGAGAAACCCCGTCTCTACTAAAAACACAAAAAATTAGCCGGGCGTGGTGGTACATGCCTGTAATCCCAGTTACTTGGGAGGCTGAGGCAGGAGAATAGCTTGAACCTGGGAAGCAGAGGTTGCAGTGAGCTGAGACCGTGCCATTGCACTCCAGCCTGGGCAACAGGAGTGAAACTCCATCTCAAAAAAAAAAAAAAAAAAGTTTATTGGGACAAAAAGAAAAGAAAAAACTATCAAGAACTTTTTTTTTTTTGGACAATTCAGGAAACTAGAATGGACTGGATCATTAAATGCCTTGGCCATAAATATGGTATTGTGGTTATGTAGGATAATTTTTTCTTTCTTTTTTTTTTTTTTTTAATAAATTGAGACAGGGTGTTGCTATGTTTCCCAGGCTAGTCTCAAACTCCTGGGCTCAAACAATCCACCCGCCTTAGCTCCCAAAGTGCTGGGATTACAGATGTGAGCTACCATGCATGGCCAGGAGAATGTTCTTGTTCTTAGGACAAACACGCTGAACTATTTAGTGGTGAAATGTCATGATGCCTGCAACTTACTTTCAAATGGTTCAGAAAGAGAGAGAAAAAAAATGCAAATTTGTAGAATGCTAACAAATGGTGAATCCAGGCAAAGATTATATGAGGATGTATTATGCTGTAATTTTCTTTACTTTTTCTAATTTGAAATTAAAATAGAACATAATTTAAAACAAGTTTTTCGTTTTGTTTTGTTTTGAGACAGAGTCTCACCTGTGGCCCAGCCTGTAGTGCTACGGCACAATCTTGGCTCACTGCAACCTCTGCCTCCCAGGTTCAAGAAATTCTCCTGTCTCAGCCTCTCCAGTAGCTGGGACTACAGGCGCCCACCACCACACCTGGCTAATTTTTGCATTTTTAGTAGAGACAGGGTTTCACCATATTGGTCAGGCTGGTCTCAAACTCCTGACCTCAGGTGATCCGCCTGCCTCGGCCTCCCAAAGTGCTGGGATTATAGGCATGAGCCACCACGCCTGGCCAACAAAAAAGTTTTTAAAGCCTTAAAAGAGTTTTCCTCCTGGAAGCCTACTGTAAAGAAGTAATGCCCATGGTTTTTAGATGCAAAATAAAGCACATTTTAACTCCTGAATCATTTATACTTTATTTTGTTTACTTTTTTTTTTCAAGAGACAGAGTCTCTGCCTGGTTTGGTGGGTCAGGCTTGTAATCTCAGGACTTTGGAAAGCCAAGGCAGGAGGATTGCTTGGGGCCAGGGGTTTGAGACTAGACAGGGTAACATGGCGAGACCCTGTCTCTATAAAAAATAAAAATAAAAAGGCCAGCCATCATGATGGCTCAGGCCTGTAATCTCAGCACTTTGGGAGGCTGAGGCGGGAGGATTGCTTGATACCAGGAGTTCAAGCCCAGCCTGGGCAACATAGCAAGACCTAAAAAAAGACAAGGTCTTGTTCTGTCCCCCAGGCAGGAGTGCAATGGCATGATTATAGCTCAGTACAGCCTCAAACTCCCAGGCTCAAGTAATTCTCCCACCTCTGCCTCCCCAGTAGCTGGAACCACAAGAGCGCATGCCCTCATGCCCAGCTAATTTATTTTTTATTTTTTGTAGAGATGGGGACTTGCCCTATGTTGCCCAGGCTGGTCTCCCCTCAAGGGTTCACCTGAAGCGATCCTCCTGCCTCTGCCTTCCAAAGTGCTAGGATTACAGGAGTGAACCACTGCACCTGGCCCTGAATCATATTTTAATTTACAACTGAGTTCTAAACTTTTGTCTTCCCAAGAAATTTTAAAAGGAAGGCAATATAGATAACTCAAAACAAATTTGTAAAATGGAATTCACTGGCATCAGTCCAGGAGAATTAAAATTTGGGGGCTAGCTGTTAGGCATAAGTAGAAAATATGACTTAATCTGGGAATGTCTGGTCACAGATAAAACTGACATACATGTGAGTCTACAGACTGGATTAATGACATATACCTGAAAGCTTAGAAGAGTGTTTTGCAAAGAGCCCCACTGTTTGTATCCGTGAAAGTCCAGTCAGAAACATAGAAGCCACTGTTTGAAAGAGAGAAACTAGTTCAGGGAATTGTTTACACGAGGGATGAACAGCTGAGGCTAAGAAGTTCAAAGTGGACAGTGAGGGCCAGCTGCAATGGCTCACGCCTATAATCCCAGCACTTTGAGAGGCCATAGCGGGAGGACTGCTTGGGCCCAGGAGTTCGAGACCAGGCTGGGCAACATAGTGGGACCACCCCCTGCCCCCCGCCCCCGCCTCCATCTCTTAAAAAAAAAAATCTGTTCTTTTGACTCTTTTTTTTTTTTTTTTGATTTATTTTACTTTAAGTTCTAGGATACATGTGCAGAACGTACAGGTTTGTTACATAGGTATACATGTGCCATGGTGGTTTGCTGTACCCATCAACCTGTCATCTAGGTTTTAAGCACTGCATGCCTTAGGTATTTGTCCTAATGCTCTCCTTCCCTTTGTGCCCCACCCCACAACAGGCCCCAGTGTGTGATGTTCCCCTCCCTATGTCCAAAAAATTTAAAAATTAGCTGGGCGTGGTGGCGCACACCTGTGGCCCCAGCTACTTGGGAGGCTGAGGTGGGCAGACTGCTTGAGCTGGAGAGGTCGAGGTTACAGTGAGCTGTGATTGTGTCACTGCATTCCGGAGTGGGCAACAGAGTAAGACCTTGTCTCAAAACAAAACAAAACAAAGTGGACAGTGAAGCAACTCAGAGTTAACATCAGCAGAAAGCCACAACCACCCCTACGTGTCATCATCCTCAGGAGCTACAGCCAGGGGGTCAAGGAGGAGCAGGAGCCCCTGAGGAAGGGGCTGTTCTAAGGGTACGGGAGAGAGGGGGAGAAATCCCACCTTTCCTCTTCCTTCCATCCTCTAACTTTTCACCATGACTAAGCCCAGGGGTAGGTCAAGGGCAAGGGAGTTTGGGGAAAATAGTTTCTTGTGATAAAGAGCAGAGTAGCAGAAGGGCAAGGGATGGATCTGAAAACAAGTAGCTAGAGAAGAGGCATATACACTATTCCATCTTTTTTGCTTTTTGCTAAGATTTCTCAAATTCATACTCATATGCGATAGACTTGTTTTTTGTTTTTTGTTTTGAGATGGAGCCTCACTCTGTCACCCAGGCTGGAGTGCAGTGGTGCGATCTCGGCTCACTGCAAGCTCCGCCTCCTGGGTTCACACCATTCTCCCACCTCAGCCTCCCGAGTAGCTGAGACTACAGGTGCCCGCCACCATGCCCGGCTAATTTTGTTTTTGTATTTTTTAGTAGAGACAGGGTTTCACTGTGTTAACCAGGATGGTCTCGATCTCCTGACCTCATGATCCGCCTGCCTCGGCCTCCCAGAGTGCTGGGATTACAGGTGTGAGCCACCACACCCAGCCCATATGTCATCGACTTTTAAAAAACAACAAGAAATATGAAACTCTAGTAATAATGGTTGAGTTAAGACTAATGAAAAGACAGAATTTGAAAAATAATGTCTTCTGACCATATCTGGACTTACATAGGATTGCTGCGAAACATTAAGTTTCATTTTGCATCTTCAATAAATAATCTATTTTGTAAAAAAATTATATCTGCCCTGGCCAGGTGTGTTGGTGCACGCCTGTAGTCCCAGCTACTCAAGAGGCTAAGGCAGGAGGATTGCTTGAGCCAAGAGATTGAGGCTGCAGTGAACCATGATTGTGCCACTGCACTGCCACCTGGGTGACAGAGCAAGACCCTGTCTCAATAAATAAGTAAACATATATATCTGCCATTGGTACCACCTAACTACTCTTGCATGGATAAAAATCTCTTGAGTGGATTTTTTTTTTTTTTTTTAAGAGAGTCTTGCTCTGTCACCCAGACTGGAGTGCAGTGGCATGATCTCGGCTCACTGCAACCTCCGCCTCCTGGGCTCAGGCAATTCTCCTGCCTCAGCCTCCCGAGTAGTTGGGATTACAGGTTCCTGCTATCACACCTGGCTAATTTTTTGTATTTTTAGTGGAGACAGGGTTTCACCATGTTGGCCAGGCTGGTCTTGAACCCCTGACCTCAAGTGATCCGCCCGCCTCAGCATCCCAAAGTGCTGGGATTGCAGGCATGAGCCACTGCTCCCAGCCAATAGTGGAATTCTTTTTCCAGGAGTATGTATAATGCTAAATGTTGAATACTTGTTTGCCTGAAAGTAAAGCATCATCCCTGTGATACTAAAAAAAGCTCCTGGAACAGCTGGTGTCACCTGGGGAGCAGTTTCTTTGTTGTTGTGTGGTTAAGTATTGTACCATATACAGTTATCCAGTGGCAGGGAGCTGTGCAATGTGACAAGACTCCAGAAGTGCAGGTTTAGCAGTGGCAAAGAGCTCCATTAATTATTCTTCTAGGTGTACTGTTCTCCAGACAGGAAGGAAATTCTGGGACAACGTTGTTTAAACTTTTCAGTCTGTAGACCACTTCAGGGGAAGAAAAGAAAACCTTGTATTTCACCTCTCCCACTCACTCCCCTTCCCTCTAAAGAAAACCTCTCTGGGGAGAGAGGGACAAAAGGCCTTAGATCTCCTTCTTTGTTAGCGGAATCACTTAATGATACTGGAAGCCAGTGAATGACGTTGGGATTGAAGGTAGGTAGTACAGAGGAGACAGGGATGAGTAAAACACCAGAGGAAACAAGATGCAATGGGCAGAAGTTGGTGAGTCCATGATTAGAAAGTTATCATAAAATTTAGAGTCTAAATTAAATACACCATATCAAGCAGAGTCAATAAAATAAAAAATAAAAATAAGAAAATAAATTAAATATGCCAAAATGGCAGGGGCGTTTTGTTCAGCCTGCACAATCTTTTATTTTTTTTATCTTTTTTTTTTTTTGAGATGGAGTCTGGCTCTGTCGCCCAGGCTGGAGTGCAGTGGCGCAATCTCGGCTCACTGCAATCTCCACCTCCCAGTTCAAGCAATTCTCCTGCCTTAGCCTCCCAAGTAGCTGGGATTTCAGGCGCCAGCCAACACGCCCAGTTAATTTTTGTATTTTTTTTTAGTAGGGATGGGGTTTCACCATGTTGTCTAGGCTGGTCTTGAACTCCTGACCTCAAGTAATCCGCCCACGTCTGCCTCCCAAAGTGCTGGGATTACAGGCATGAGCCACTGTGACCGGCCAATTTTTTATTTTTTAAATTTTTCTTAGTTTTTTAAAATTGTGCATGTATCTCATCTTATGCAAAATCATTTAAATTAAGTTATTTGACATTAAAAATAGAGAATTTCATATAAAAATCGAAATTCTAGCTTCTCTTATAGATTGGGATGCCGTGGCCACACTGGGCCCTGATTCCTACATGGCAGTCACTTGAACCCTCTCTGGTCCACCATGTCCCAGCCTTACCTGGTTCAGTCATGTATGTTACTTGCCTGGCCCCTGTGTGCAAGTAATCCTTTTTCCTTTCTTCTGCCTGCATTCTAAATTGCCTAAGCGTTTGCACTATCACCCTCATATTCTATCTTTTTGTATTGAATCAGCTTCTGTAGTGATTAGTGTCCATTTGTTAAGCCACTATTTGAATTAATAAAAACTCATCTCAGAAATTGCAATGAATATCCCCCATGATACATCATTTCACATTTTTTTGTGAAAGGAGGGATATATGAAAGCCATTGTGTAAGCTGGGCACAGTAGCTCACGCCTGTAATCCCAGCACTTTGGGAAGTCAAGGTGGGCAGATTGCTTGAGCGCAGGAGTTCAGGACCAGCCTAGGCAGCATGGTGAAACCCCGTCTTAACAAAAAATACAAAAAATCAGCTGGGCTTTGGTGGCACCTCTGTAGTCCCAGCTACTTGGGAGGCTGAGGTGGGATCGCTTGAGCCTAGGAGGTCGAGACTGCAGTAGCCATGATCATGCCACTGCAATCCAGCCTGGGTGATGAAGTGAGACCATGTCTCAAAAAAAAAAAAATTGTATGATTACACACGCAAACACATCTCTGCCTACAACTGAAAGAATTTGAGTTGACTTGAAGTAAAATTAAATTATAACAACAAAACAAGTGACAAACCACCCCACAATTAAAGGCAAAAATCCAGTAAAAAACGTCAGTTAGCTGAGATTAAGCCTTCATGTTGTAAACCTCCTTTGGGTCATTCCCTTTTTTAGTACTTACCCAGTTAAAACTTGTTTGATGCCTTAAACCCCTGCTAGACTATAAACTCTTAATGGCAGGGACTTTGTCAATCTTATATATTACCATATTCCAAAGTGCATAGCATAGAGCCTCATTAGTTCAATAAATAGATGAAAATGTATCAGGAAACTTTTTTGCTCAGTTGCTGCTAAAGAAAATCTATAGCAATCAAACATAAAATTGTTTTTCAAACTCTTAGCAGCCAGGACAAAGAAAGAAGCAGCCAAAGGTCTTGGCCTGTAGCCTGTCCGTATTGTAGGATTAGCCCCTGTCCCAGAAACAGTGTGGATAAAACAAACAAACAAACTAAACCTCCAGCTAAGAAAGTTGCTCTGGATTCCTATTTGTTGGTGCCTTGAGGAGCAAGGTACAAGGTGCATATCACTAGTCTGGCTTCCAGGACAAGACTGTGATCACTTGGAGATCACAGTCATAGAGGAACTGGTTTTCAGACAGGCACCTAGATGATGAAGAACAAAACACAAGACATATTAATTGCAATGAGGATTTAGGAGGTGGCAGAATCCTATTACTAGGTCTAGCCAATAAGATTAGAAGAGGACAGGTTGAGCATGGTGGCTTACACCTTTAAGCCCAGCACTTTGGAAAGCCAGGGCAAGAGGATGGCTTGAGCCCAGGAGTTTGAGACCAGCCTGGGCAATACAGTGAGACCTCATCTCTAAAAAAATGTTTTAAAAAAGATTAGAATAAAACAAGCTTAACTTGTAGGAAGTAACCAGAGCGATGAAGTAAACTTCCACTTTCAGAATTGGTTCCAGCATCTAGAGATAGGTCAAGACTGTAGTGCCTGGGGAACAATCTAAGAATAGAGAATCAGGAAGGCCATTAAATATTACAGGGGTAGGCCAGGCATGTTGGCTCATGCCTGTAATCCCAGCACTTTGGGAGGCCAAGGCAGGCAAATTGCTTGAGCTCAGGAGTTCAAGACTCACCTGGAGACCAGGCACAGTGGCTCACGCCTGTAATCCCGCACTTTGGGAGGCCGAGACAGGCAGATCATGAGGTCAGGAGATCGAGACCATCTTGGCTAACATGGTGAAACCCCGTCTCTACTAAAAATACAAAAAAATTAGCTGGGCGTGGTGGCGGGCGCCGGTAGTCCCAGCTACTTCGGGAGGCTGAGACAGGTGAATGGCGTGAACCCGGGAGGTGGAGTTTGCAGTGAGTCGAGATCGCGCCACTGCACTCCAGCCTGGGCAACAGAGCGAGACTCCATCTCAAAAAAAAAAAAAAAGACTCACCTGGGCAACAAGGTGAAACCCTGTCTCTAAAAAAAAAAAAAAAGAAAGAAAAAGAAAAATCAGCTGAGTGTGGTGGCATGCACCTGTGGTCCCAGTTACTCAGGAGGCTGAGGCGGGAGGATCACTTAAGCCCAGGAGGTGGAGGTTGCAGTGAGCCAAGATTGTGTCACTGCACTCTAGCCTGGGCAACAGAGCCAGATCCTGTCTCAAAAAAAAATTCTAGGGGCAACATATATATATATTTGAGATGGTCTTGCTCTGTTGTCCTGACTGGAGTGCAGTGGCACAATCACAGCTCACTGCAGCCTTGACCTCCGCGGACAAGCAATCCTCCTGCCTCAGCCTCCCAAGTAGCTGGGACCACAGGTGTGCCATCATGCCTGGCTAATTATTTTTTATTTTTATCTTTTGTAGAGACAGTGTCTTATCATGTTGCCCAGGCTTATGTATAATATTGAACTAGTTATTTCATCTCATGATGTCTTATTGTACATAGTCATATGGAAAAACAAAATTAAAATAATGAAATACCGGGGGAAAGATGTGACATACTGCAAAAATACATTAAAACTCCAAGATCTTGATGTAAGCAATAGTGAAAAATACCCATAAAAATGTTAAGTAAAGCTAAACTCCCCTATCCTGTGTGGACTTGAATGCTACTATGCCACATTCATCGACCTCTTTGGGCTCCCTCTGGTGGCACATTAGTCCTCAGTGATAACTGAGTATTTTGGAGAATTTCTTGTAAATTCCTGTGGATGAAAGCTTCATTGAATAGTTTTTTAGCTAACCAGTCATAAATATTCAAATAAGTATAAAATGATGGCTGGGCACAGTGGCTTATGTCTGTAATCCCAGCACTTTGGGAGGCTAAAGCAGGAGGATCACTTGAGCCAGGGAGTTTGGGACCAGCCTGGACAACATAGTGAGACACTGTTTTTACCGAAATAAAGAAAAGGGGTGGCACATACCTGTGGTCCCAGCTATTCAGGAGGCTGAGCTGGGAGGATCATTTGAGCTCAGGAGATTGAGCCTGCAGTGAGCTGTGATTGTGCCACTGCACTCCAGCCTGGGTGACAGAGCAAGATCCCATATCCACTGTGTGAGCCACTGTGCCCAACCAAACATTTTTCAATAAAAAAAAATTTTAAATTCATCAACCCTGGCTTACAGAAGTCAATTTAAAAAAAAATTGAGAGACAGGGTCTCACTATATTGCCCAGGTTGGTCTTCATCTCCTGGCCTCAAGTGTTCCTCCTGCCTGGGCCTCCAAAAATGCTGGGATTCCAGGGATAAGTCATCATGCCCGACCTAAAATCAGTCAATTTTTGATGTTGGTGAGGAAATAGAGTCACAGAAACCCTTATACACTCTTTTTTTTTTTTTTTTTTTTTGAGACGGAGTCTCGCTCTGTGGCCCAGGCGGGAGCGCAGTGGCGCAATCTCGGCTCACTGCAAGCTCCGCCTCCCGGGTTCACGCCATTCTCCTGCCTCAGCCTCCCGAGTAGCTGGGACTACAGGCGCCCACCATCACGCCCGGCTATTTTTTTTGTATTTTTAGTAGAGACGGGGTTTCACCGTGTTAGCCAGGATGGTCTCGATCTCTTGACCTCGTGATCCGCCCGCCTCGGCCTCCCAAAGTGCTGGGATTACAAGCGTGAGCCACCGCGCCCGGCCCCTTATACACTCTTGATGTGACTGAAATTTTGCTAATGACTTTGGATAAAAATTTGGTATTGTCTTAAAAATTGAAAATGTCATTTCTAATCCAGCAATTTCACTCCTATGTATTTACCTTAGAGAAACTTTGGCACAAACACCAACAAACATATGTGGGAATTTCTTGGCTAAAGTGTTCATAATAGCAAAACCTGGAAACGTCATAGAAGGATAAAACTGTAGTGTATTAAAAACACTAAACACAGGCCGGGCATGGTGGCTTACGCCTGTAATCCCAGTATTTTGGGAGGCTGAGGTGGGTGGATCACCTGAGGTCAGGAGTTCGAGACCAGCTGGCCAACAGGGTGAAACCCTGTCTCTACTAAAAAAATAACGAAAATTAGCTGGGTGTGTGTGTGCCTGTAATTCCAGCTATTCAGGGGGCTGAGGCATGAGAATCACTTGAACCCAAGAGGCGGAGGTTGCAGTGAACCGAGATCACGTCACTGCACTTCAGCCTGGGCGATAGAGTGAGACTCTGTCTCAAAAAGCAAAAACAAAAACAAAAACTAAAATTGAAACACTATACAGCAGTGAAAATGGGTAAACCATAGCGGTAGGCATGAATATGGATGAGAACCTCAAAAATGCTAAATGGGGAAAAAACTATCACAGAAAAATATATAGAGCATGATTCCATTATGTAAAGGTCAAAGACAGGCTGGGTGTGGTGGCTCATGCCTGTAATCCCAGCACTTTGGGAGGCCAAGATGCATGCATCCCTTGAGCCCAGGCATTTGAGACCAAGTGTGGGCAGCATGGTGAAACCCTGTCTCTACAAAAAATACAAAAATTAGCAGGGTGTGGTGGTGTGCACCTGTGGTACCAGCTACTTGGGGGGCTGAGGTGGGAGGATTGCTTGAGGCCAGGAGGTTGAGGCTGCAGTGAGCTGTGGTCATGCCACTGTACTCCAGCCTGGGCGGCAGAATGAGACTCCATCTCAAAAACAAAAAAACAAACAAACAAAAAACCTCAGCAAACAGTACTTCTTTTCTCCATCAAGCTACCTATTAGCAATACATCTTTTACTTTTAAGAAATCTAAGCTATAGGTCAGGCGCGGTGACTCACACCTGTAATCCCAGCATTTTGGGAGGCAAAGGTGGATGGATTACTTGAGCAGGAGTTTGAGACCAGCCTGGCCAACACGGTGAAACCCCATCTCCACCAAAAATTACAAAATTTAGCTGAGTGCGGTGGTGTGCACCTATAATCCCAGCTATTCGGGAGGCTGAGGCAGGAGAATCACTTGAACCCGGGAGACAGAGGTTTCAGGGAGCCGAGACCATTCCACTGTACTCTAGCCTGGGCGGCAGAGCAAGATTCTGTCTCAAAAACAGAACAGAACAAAACAAAAATCTAAGCTACATTACTTTTTTTTTTGGAGATGGAGTTTTGCCCTTGTTGCCCAAGCCATAGTGAAATGAAGCCATCTCGACTCACTGCAACCTCCACCTCCCAGGTTCAAGTGATCCTCCTGCCTCAGCCTCCCGAGTAGCTTGGATTACAGGTGCACACCACCACACCTGGCTAATTTTTTGTATTTTTAGTAAAATGGGGTTTCACCATTTTAGCCAGGCTGGTCTCGAACTCCTGACCTCAGATGATCTGCACGCCTCGGCCTCCGAAAGTGCTGGGATTACAGGCATGAGCCACTGCGCCCAGCCTATATTACATTTTAAAAGAAGTTATTTGCCATTTTATTGTTGTTTATTATTCATATAATAAATTTTACTGTTTAAACTCCATTTTGTTATTATAAATTTATTTAAATGCTATTTATTTTATTGCTTAAAAAAATTTTTTTTGGACAGGGTCTCACTCTGTCACCCAGGCTGGAATGCAGTGGCTCAATCACGGCTCACTGCAGTCTCAACCACCCGGGCTCAAACAATCCTCCCACCTCAGGCCCCTAAGTAGCTGGTACCACGGGTGCACACGACCATGCCCTGAGAATTTTTGTATATTTTGTAGAGACAGGGGTCTTCCCATGTTGCCCAGGCTGGTCTCAAACTCCTGGGCTCAAGCAATCCACCCGCCTCACCCTTCTAAAGTGCTGGGATTACAGGTGTGAGCCACTGCTCCTGGCTAATACGCTACATTTTTTAAAGCCTATTTTTAAAATAAGTTTTTTCTTTGTTTGTTTTTACTTTTTTAGAGATGGGGGTCTCACTATGCTGCCCGTGCTAGAATATAGTGATTATTTACAAGTGCAATCATACCATGCTATAGACTGAAACTCCTCGGTTCAAACAATCTTCCTGTCTCAGCCTCCTGAGTAACTGGGACTACAGGCATGCACCAACATGCCCAGCAAAAAGAAGCTATGTTTAATATGGTTATTATGAGCAAGACTGTCATGTCTAAAGCAACAGACTTCAGTTTTACATGAAAAGTGCAGATACCAATGCATTTGCCTCTGATGATCTGTGATTATCCTTCTGATAGAATAATCTCTTGTTTGAGCTAAGCACATCTTGTTTGAAATACGATTATATATTTAGCAATCCTGACCTCTCATAGGACTTTTACACCTATAATAAAATTATTAATGCTTTGCATTTGTAAGGCATTTCATGGATTTTCAAGTGTCACTAGAAGACGTTTCCCTCATTGTACAGTTCAGAAAACTGAAGACAAGAGGCTGGGTGCGGTGGCTCATGCCTGTAATCCTGGCACTTTGGGAGGCTGAGGCGGGCAGATCACGAGGTCAGGAGATCGAGACCAGCCTGGCCAACATGGTAAAATCCCATCTCTACTAAAAATACAAAAAATTGGGCAGGCGCAGTGGCTCACGCCTGTAATCCCAGCACTTTGGGAGGCTGAGGCGGGCAGATCACCTGAGCTCAGGAGTTTGAGAGCAGCCTGGCCAACATGGTGAAACCCCATGTCTACTAAAGATAGAAAAATTAGCCAGATGTAGTTGTGGGCGACTGTAATCCCAGATACTTGGGAGGCTGTGGCAAGAGAATTGCTTGAACCCGGGAGGTGGAGGCTGCAGTGAGCCGAGATCGAGCCATTGCACTCCAGCCTGGGTAACAGAGTGAGACTCCGTCTCAAAAAAAAAAAAAAAAAAGAAAAAAAGAAACAAAAAAAGAAAACTGAAGACAAGAGAGAAGTTTTTTTCTTTTTTTTCTTTTTTGAGACAGGGTCTCGCTCTGTCACCCAGGATGTAGTGCAGTGGTGTGATCACGGCTCACTGCAGCCCCCATGTCCCAGGATCAAGCAATCCTCCTGCCTCAGCCTCCCAGGTAGATGGGACTACAGATGTGCATTACTACACTTGGCTAAAGAGAGGTTTTAATAAATAAAATAGCTATAATTTGGTAGGTAGAATTTAAATTATTGTATTAATAATTGTCTTCATATGCTATAACAAAATGCCATAAATTGCATGGCTTAAACAACAGTTTAAGCCATTTAATGAAATGCAAGGCAGCATGTTAGGCACTGACAGAATTACAGCATTAATAATATGACATGATCTGTGTCTCCAAGAAGCTTACAATGTAGGAAGGGCAATCTGCCAGTATTTTAATTTAATTTTATTTATTTATTTATTTACTTTATTATTTATCATTTTGAGATGGAGTTTCACTCTTGCCGCCCAAGCTGGAGTGCAATGGCATGATCTTGGCTCTCTGCAACCTCCACCTCTTGGGTTCAAGTGATTCTCCTGCCTCAACCTCCCAAGTAGCTGGGATTACAGGTGCCCACCACCATGCCCAGCTAATTTTGTATTTTTAGTAGAGATGGGGTTTCGCCATGTTGGTCTGGCTGGACTCAAACTCCTGACCTTGGGTGATCCACCACCTCGGCCTCCCAAAGTGCTGGGTTTACAGACATGAGCCACCACTCTTGGCCTTTATTTACTTATTTTTTGAGATGGAGTCTCACTCTGTTGCCCAGGCTGGAATGCAGTGGTGTGATCTCGGCTCACTGCAACCCCTGCCTCCCAGTTTCAAGTGATTCTCCTCCCTCAGCCTCCAAAAGTATCTGGGATTACAGGTGCCTGCCACAGTGCCCAGCTAATTTTTGTATTTTTAGTAGAGACTGGGTTTTGCCATGTTGGCCAGGCTGGTCTTGAGCTCCTGACTTCAGGTGATCTACCTGCCTCGGCCTCCCAAAGTGTTGGGATTACAGGCGTGAGCCACTATGCCAGACCTATTTTATTTATTACTATTTTTTGAGACAGGGTCTCACTCTGTTATGCAGGCTGGAATGTAGTGATGTTACCACGGCTCACTGCAGCCTCAACCTCCTTGCCTCAAGTGATCCTCCCGCCTCAGCCTCCAAAAGTAGCTGGGACTACAGGTGCGTGCCACCGCCCCTGGCTAATTTTGTTTGTTTGTTTGTTTGTTTGTTTTGTAGACATGGGGTCCCACTATGTTGCCTTGGCTGATCTGCCAGTATTTTAGGGGAGATATAGTAATAGCTTTTGTTAATGGGCTAAAAAAACTAGGCTTCTTCTCAGTTAACACATTAAAAAGAGCCCCTAGTACTTTTCCTTTACCATTAGACGCATACAGAGTGCATTTGGTAAATTAGTAAGCACACCAAGGGAGAGGCAACACACTGACCTATATCAATGTATTGTTTTTCATTTAAATAGCATCTTAATTCACTGGAGACTTTAAATGAATGTTTATTAGAATATTTACACCTATTGATTACCATGGTAGCAGATGATTAGTGAGTTCGATGCCACAATTAAAATGAAAATTCCTACTGCTCTGATGAACAGGAATGTCCAGATGATGGCAAGTCTGAAACTTGCAACAATCAGATAAATTATTGCATGAACCCTTAAGCAATGACAATCTTTTGCAAATATGTCTGATTCTAGAAGGTTCACACAATTATAGCTTTGGACTATTGAGAGGGTCTTAGTCCAATCCAGCTGCACACGTGCCTTTGAACTTAAGTAATATCTACTGTGAATAGCACACATTTCTCAGCACAAATCTCTTTGCCTTTTAGTTTTACTACCATAATGAAAATGTTAAATAGTACAGAATAATAATATTTATGTCAAAAATAGTAAGAGAGTTTTGCATTATAGATCCTTGGATGAATTCAAATAGAAAGAAATCAGAGGAGTATTTTACTGACAAATGATCCCACCTGCTGTCAAGTGGGCAGAGCTTTGAAGATCACCCAAGACTGGGAATTTCTTTTTTTCTTTCTTTCTTTTTTTTTTTTTTTTTCAGACAGAGTCTCACTCTGTTGCCCAGGCTGGAGTGCAGTGGTATGATCTCAGCTCACTGCAACCTCCGCTTCCTGGGTTCTAGTGATTCTCCTGCCTCAGCCTCCCAGGTAGCTGAGACTACAAGTGTGCGCCACCACCACCCAGCTAATTTTTGTATTTTTCGTAGAGATGGGGTTTCACCATCTCGGCCAGGCTGGTCTCAAACTCCTGACCTCAAGTGATCCGCCCACCTTGGCCTCCCAGAGTGCTGGGATTACAGGTGTGAATCACCATGCCCAGCCAAAACTGGAAATTTCTAAGCCAAAGATTATTTTTGTACACATTCACCATTCTTCTATAGGCAAACAAACTAAAATACATTGTTATTTAATTTTAGAGACTCCTAGAGATTTTCTAAACTAGGATTTGCAATTGTTTTTAAAAAACAGTGGCACACTACCTTTAAACAAAATCACATACAGCAGCCCAACATATTAAACTACTGTCTGGGAGGAGGTAGGAAATTCTTTATCTAACAAATGGGGAAAATCAGTAAGCTATATTATGAGGCTTTTAATGAGTAAGATGACTCACAGCTGAAAGAATTTGCCCTTGACTGCTATGACAGAATACTTTGTTAAAACAGAGGACAGTCTTGCAATTCAGAGCAAGAACAGTGGGAAACCATCTTTTCTATTCCATTCCCAGCAACTAAATTATTATGAATGGAAATATGTCCAAATGTGGTTAATATCTTCTACTTATACTTCTCATACAAACTGGTATACAGGCCAGGTGCAGTGCCTCATGTCTGTAATCCCAGAACTTTGAGAGGCTGAGGTGGGAGGATTGCTTGTGCTCAGGAGTTCAAGGCTGCAGTGAGCAGCCTAGGTGACAGAGCAAGACCCTGCCTCAAACAAAACAAAACAAAAACAAATTGGTGTATGAAACCAGTCTGAGACCTTCAGCTTTGAAGACTCACAGAAGATAATTATTATAATTTAAAATTTTCCACGTTACAGTTCTGTAATAGTGGAGTAGTTTGTATTGGATCAACATTCCCACATACAATAATAATATATATTTTAAAGACAGGGTCTCGCTCTGTCACCCAGGCTGGAGTGCAGTGGCTCAATCATAGCTCACTGTAACCCGGAACTCCTGGGCCTAAGGGATCCTCCAGCCTCAGCCTCCTAAGTAGCTAGGACAACAGGCACAGGCCATCATGCCTGGCTAGTTTTTAAATTTTTGGTAGAGGCAGGGTCTTGCTATGTTGCTCAGGCTGGTCTCAAACTCCTGGCCTCTATTGATCCTCCCATCTCAGCCTCCCAAATGCTGGGATTACAGGCATGAATCACCATGCCTGACCGAGAGTAGATCTTGAATGTTCTAACTACACATGAAAAAACAGTAACTATGTGAGGCAATGGATATATGATATGATATGGTTAGGCTTTATGTCACCACCCAAATCTCATCTTGTATTGTAATCCCCAGGTGTTGAGGGAGGAGGCTGGTGGGCGGTGACTGGATCATGGGGGCATTTCCCCGCATCCTGTTCTCCTGATAGTGAGTGAGTTCTCACGAGATCTGGTGGGTTTATAAGGCAGTTTTCCCTGCTCTTGCTCATGCCCTCTCACCTGCCCCGTTGTAAGATGTGCCTGCTTCCCCTTCCTCTGCAATTGTAAGTTTCCTGAGGCCTCCCCAGCCATGCAGAACCGTGAGTCAATTAAACCTCTTTTTTTTAATAAATGACCCAGTCTTGGGTTTGTCTTTACAGCAGTGTGAAAATGGATGAATACATGCTAATTAGCTTGATTGTGGTATTCATTTAACACTATATGCATATGTGAAAACATCATGTTGTACACCATCAATATATACAACTTTTAATTTTATTATTTTATTTATTTATTATTCTTAAAATTTTTCCTGAGACCGGGTCTTACTCTGTCACCCAGCCTATAGTGCAGTGGCATGATTATAGCTCACTGCAGCTTCAACCTCCTGGGTTTAAGTGATCCTCCCACATCAGACTCCTGAGTAGCTGGGACTACAGGCATGCACCACCATGCCAAGCTAATTTTTGTCATTTTTGTAGAGACAGGGTTTCACTCTGTTGCCCAGGCTGGTCTCAAACTGCTGGCCTCAAGTAATCCACCCACACTGGCCTCCCAAAGTGCCAAAATTACAGATTTGAGCCACCGCACCTGGCCCATTATTATTTTTTTGGAATGGGGTCTCACTATGTGGCCCAGGCTGGTGTTGAACTCCTGGCCTTAGTGATCCTCCTGCCTCAGTCTCCCAAAGTGTTGGGAGTCTCCCAAAGTAGCTCATGGCTATGAGCCACTGTGCCCAGCCTATAAGCACATACAATTTTATTTCATCAATGTTACCTCAGTAAAGCTGGGAGGGAAGAAAGAAAGAAATTAATCAACAGGCCAGACGCAGTGGCTCAATCCTGTAATCCTAGCACATTGGGAGGTTGAGGTGGGTAGATCACCTGAGGTCAGGAGTTCGAGATCAGCCTGGCAAACATGGTGAAACCCCATTTCTACTAAAAATACAAAAAAAAAAATAGCCTGACATGGTGGCATGTGCCTGTAATCCCAGCTACTCAGGAGGCTGAGGCAGGAGCATCACTTGAACCTGGGAGGCTAAGGTTGCAGTGAGCTGAGATCATGCCACTGCACAACAGCCTGGGCAACACGAGCAAAACTCCGTCTCAAATAAATAAATAAATAAATAAATAAATAAATAAAATCAGTAATCTAAATTTCCACTTTAAGAAGCTAGAAAAATACTCTGTTCCCCTTCTCACTACTGCGCTTGACTGGTCTCAAAAAAAAAAAAAAAAAGCTAGAAAACGAGGATCAGCTGCAAAAACCTCAGAGCTAACCTCACACAATCAGTGAAATATTGAATTATTTTTTGTAAGATCAGGAACAAGCCAAGACGTCCCCTCTCAACATTTCAACTCAACATTGTATTAGAAATCTTAGCGAATGCAAATAAATAAATAAATAAAAGGAACCGGGCACAGTGGCCCACACTTGTAATACCAGCACTTTGGGAGGCTAAGGTGAGCGGATTACTTGAGGTCAGGAGTTCGAGACCAACCTGGCCAACATGGCAAAACCCCATCTCTATTGCAAATACAAAATTAGCCAGGCGTGGTGCCACGTGCCTGTAATCCCAGCTACTCAGGAGGCTGAGGCAGGAGAATCGCTTGAACTGGGGCTTGAACTGGGGCGGGGTGAGCAGGGGCGGAGATGGGCAGAGTTTGCAGTTAAGAGAGCAAGACTCCATCTCAAAAAATAAATAAACAATAAAATAAACGGAATACAGATGGGAAATGAATAAGTAAAACTTTCAGTGTTCACACATATCATGATCATTAATTTTGGAAATCCAGGAATCTATAATAACTCTAGAATTAATAATCCCAAGATCATAGGACACATGGTCAATATTTTAAAATCAATGACATTGGAAATACAACTGGAAAATGAAATGAAAACAATTCTATTTACAATAGCATAAAAATACTTAGGAATAAATCTCACAAAAGCTGTGTAAGACTTCCACCCTGAACACTACAAAACAAACTGTACTATATTTATACAATGGAATACTACTCAGTAATAAAAAGGGGCCAGGCATTGTGGCTCATGCCTGTAATCCCAGCACTTTGGGAGGCCGAGGCGGGCAGACGATTTGAGGTCAGGAGTTCAAGACCAGCCTGGCAAACATGGCGAAACCTCATCTCTACTAAAAATACAAAACTTAGCTGGGCATGGTGGCAGGTGCCTGTAATCCCAGCTGCTTGGGAGGCTGAGGCAGGAGAATCGCTTGAACCAGGGAGGTAGAGGTTGTGGTGAGCCGAGATCATGCCACTGTATTCCAGCCCGGGCAACAGAGCAAGACCCTGTCTCTAAATAAATAAACAAATAGGATCAAACTATACAGTTTCTACTCTCTGCAAGTGAATAGGCTGAGAAAATTGTAAGGGACTCTGAATGGACATAAAAATTCTGCTTGTTAAGAACAAGTCTGGCTCTGGTAACTGACCTTCATAACTAAAATATAAAACTGTTTGAGAAGTATTAAAAAAAATGAACAAACTACTGAAGCCTACATCAACTTGCCTGAATCTTATTACATTGAACCAAAGAATCAAAAAAAGAATACATAATCTATGCTTCATTTGCATGTTGTTCTAGAACAGGGAACACTTATCTGTAGTGAAAAAATCAGGACAGAGTTTGTGGATGGCATTGGGATGGGGATCAACTGAGAAAGAAGAACAAAGGAGCTTTCTGGGGTGATGGGAATGTTTATCGGGAGGTTAAATGGGTATATTTAGTTGTTAAATGATACCCTTAAGATTCTTGGACACCAGGCACGGTGGCTCACGCCTGTAATCCCAGCCCTTTGGGAGGCCGAGGTGGGCGGATTACCTGAGGTCAGGAATTCGAGACCAGCCTGATCAACATGGAGAAACCTTGTCTCTACTAAAAATACAAAAAATTAGCCAGGCGTGGTGGTGCATACCTGTAATCCCAGCTACTCAGGAGGTGGAGGCAGGAGAATCGCTTGAACCCAGGAGGCAGAGGTTGCGGTGAGCCGAGATCGCGCCATTGTACTCCAGCCTGTGCAACAAGAGTGAAACTCCAACTCAAAAAAAAAAAAAAAGAAAGATTTGTGGACATCGCTGTATGGAAATTTTACCTGAAAAAATGGAAAAGAAGTATAAATAAATATTGAAATTCATGAGATTTGCTTTCCACAGTAGTATGAATTAGCAATCCTAAAAGTACCTCATTTGCATTCTAGGTTTGCGCAAATAAATAAGTATATAGGAAGATAATGAAAGCCACTTTTTTTTTCTTTTTTTTTTCTTGGAGACGGAGTCTCGCTCTGTCGCCCAGGCTGGAGTGCAGTGGCGCAATCTTGGAAAGCCACTGTTTTCTCACTGTTGGAAATGGAAGTTACACATATGGAGAAGAGGAGGGCTAGCATGAACCCCAGAGGTAGAGAGAGAGATGGACCTTAGGCCTTCTCTCTCTCTATATATATATAAAGTTATATTTATATACTTTTTTTCTAGCATTTTCTCCAGTGTGGGACTAGAAACAATGACACACCAATAGCAGTGAGCACACCTAGCACCCAGATTTGATTCCTTTATTTTCCTCTTGGGCTTGCAAAAGAATAAGGTAGTATAGAATATCCTGTGTCAAATTGGAAAAGTGTTTAAAAGGTCAGGAGCAGTGACTCATACCTGTAATCCCAGCACTTTGAAAGGCCGAGGCAGGAGAATCACTTGAGTCCAGAAGCTGGAGACCAACCTGGGCAACAGAGCGAGACCCTGTCTAAGAAGAAAAGTAGCCAGGCGTGGTGGCACACAGCTGTAGTCCCAACTACTTGGGAGGCTGAGGCAGGAGAATGGCTTGAGGCCAGGAGTTTGAGGCTGTTGTAAGCCATGTTCATGCCACTGCACTTTAAGCTTGTGCTACAGAGCAAGACCCCATCTCAAAAAAAAAAAACCAAAAACAAAAAATGAAAGAAAAGGGCTTAAAGAATGATTGGGGGCCAGGCACAGTGGCTCACGCCTGTAATCCCAGCACTTTAGGAGGCCGAGGTGGGTGGATCACCTGAGGTCAGGAGTTCGAGACCAGCCTGGCTAAAATGGTGAAACCCTGTTGAAAATACAAAAATTAGTCGGGCCTGTTTGCATGTGCCTGTAATCCCAGCTACTCAGGAGGTTGAGGCTGGAGAATCACCTGAACCCAGGAGGCAGAGGTTGCAGTGAGCTGAGATCACACCATTGAACACCAGCCTGCCAACAAGAGTGAAACTCCATCTCAAAAAAAAAAAAAAAAAAAAAAGAGTGACTGGAACACATCAAAAGGGACAAAAGATCTAACTTGAAAGTCTCTTACCAGCCAAATTCCAGGCAATTTGATCATCAAAATAAATAATGATAGAAATGGAGTATTACCCATTGAATAAAATAAGACTCTGTGAGCCCGTATTGATAAGAATTAATGAATAAATAAATAAGAAAGAAGAGAAAACTTTTACTTGTAAGAGAATGCCAACTACAAAGTGTAGAAGAAATGGTAAAGTGAAATATTATTAGCAGATGCCAAAACTAGTGGGTAAAACATGACAGAATATTCACATAGTATAAAAGTACTTTCCCATGAATTACTTAATATTAAAATTACAAATATATAAAATCAATTATTTGTAAATTAAATTGAAATAATTAAATTTTGTTTAATTAATATCCTCAAATATTAATTAATATAAAATATTAATTTTAAAATGGAGAAGTCTGGTGGCCATCATCTTCACCTGGTGATTATAGTTAACATTAGCGATATTGGGACAATCTGACATATGTCTCCTGATAAAATGCTTTAAGAAGGATATTGATATGGTTTGGCTGTGTCACCACTCAAAATCTCATCTTTGATTGTAATCCCCATAATCCTCTTGTGTCAAGGGAGAGACCGGGTGGAGGTAATTGAATCATGGGAGCAGTTCTCCCATGCTATTCTCATGATAGTGAATGAGTTCTCGCGAGATCTGATCGTTTTATAAGTGTTTGGTAGTTCCTCCTGCGCTAATTCTCCTTTTTGCGGCCTTGTGAAGAGGGTATCTTGCTTTCCCTTTGCCTTCCGCCATGATTATAAGTTTCCTGAGGTATCTCCAGCCATGGGAAACTGTGAGTCAATCCCTTTATAAATTACCCAGTCTCGGGCACTTCTTCTTCTTCTTTTTTTTCTGAGACTGAGTCTTGCTCTGTTGCCCAGGCCGGAGTGCAGTGGCGCGATCTTGGCTCACTGCAACCTCCGCCTCCCGGGTTCAAGGAATTCTCCTGCCTCAGCCTCCTGAGTAGCTGGGACTACAGGCGCACGCCACGACGGTCTCGGAGACTTCTTTATAGCAGTGTTAAAACGGACTAAACAGATATAGTATCACTTTTGTGGTATTCCTGCCAAAAATGCATAACCTGAATCTAATTATGATGAAACATAAGACACATCCAAATTGAATAACATTCTACAAAATATCTGGCCAGAGGAGCAGTTCCAGACTAAAAGAGACCAAAGATTGCCTTTATAACTGCCAGAAAAGAAAAAGAGAGATCAAAGACTCATTACAACTAAATGTAAATATGTAATCCTGGCTTGGATCCTGGACAAGGAAAAAAGAAATAGCTGTGGAGGACTCTATTTGAACAATTTATGAAATTTGAACAGGGACTGTAGATTCAATAGTATGGTATCAACGCTAAACTTTCTGATTTAGGTCATTGTACTGGTTATTTAAGAGAATGTCTTTGTATTTAGAAAATACACGCAAATGTATCAAGGGGTAAAGAACACAGTTGCCCTCTATACCTGGTAACAACTTAACTTTAAGTGGTTCAAAAAATATACATGTGCATATATGTGCATGCATGCATACAAATAAATGTGTGTCATAGAGAATGATGAAGCAAGTGGTGCAAGACAGAAACCATTTGTGGGTCTAGTGGGTAGATAGGAATTCCCTATACTATTCTTGCAAGTTTTTTTGGTAAATTTGTAATTTTTTGGGCCAGGTGCGGTGGCTCATGCCTGTAATCCCAGCACTTTGGGAGGTTGAGGCGGGTGGATCACGAGGTCAGGAGTTCGAGACCAGCGTGTCCAATATGGTGAAACCCTGTCTCTACTAAAAAAAAAAATACAAAAATTAGTTGGGCATGGTGGTGCACGCCTGTAGTCCCAGCTGGTCGGGAGGCTGAGGCAGGAAAATCTCTTGAACCTGGGAGGTAGAGGTTGCAGTGAGCTGAGATCGTGCCACTGCGCTCCAGCCTGGGCAACAGAGTGATACTCCATCTCAAAAACAAACAAACAAACAAACAAACAAACAATTTTTGTTTGTTTGTAGAGATGGGTCTCTCTATGTTGCGCAGACTGGTCTCAAAGTCCTGGGCTCCAGTGATCTTCCCACCTGGGCCTCCCAAAGTGCTGGGATTACAGGAATGAGCCATGGAGCCCAGCTATAAATTTGTAATTATATAAAAATAGTTTATGCTGAGTGAAGTGGCTCATGCCTGCAATCCCAGCATTTTGGGAGGCAGAGGCAGGAGTATCACTTATACCCAGGAGTTCGAGACCAGCCTGGGAAACATAGAGACCCTGTCTCCTATAAAAATAAAAATATATAAATAAATAAGTATAGTTTTAAAAGTTATTTGCACCACCTATATATCATATGTATAAGTGTACCTGCACACATATGTGTTTGTTTATGTGTGTACATCTACTAAATTCAGTGGTGGACTGTTATTTTTTTGGGGGGGTGAGGGGTGTTGTATTTGTGAATGTAGGAAAAACACAAGCTCTTTGTGTTAAGTTTGAAGTGGTGATCCTCATTCTTAAGGAAAACAAACCCTCTTGTATTGATAAGTCCCACTATTCACTATTCCTCAAATGTTTTATTTTTGTTTTGGAAATATTGAAGAGTTGGGAAAATATATCCCACCTTACTTTCACCCTTAATCGGAATTGGCACACTTCAGGCCAGGCACGGTGGCTCACACCTGTAATCCCAGCACTTGGGAGGTCAAGCGGGCAGATCATCTGAGCTCAGGAGTTCGAGACCAGCCTGAGAAACATGGCAAAACCCCGTCTCTACCAAAAATACAAAATGTAGTTAGGTAGGTGGTGCACACCTGTGGTCCTAGCTACTTGGGAGGCTGAGGTGGGAGGATTGCTGGAACCTGGGAAGTTGAGGCTGCAGTGAGCCATAATTGTGCCACTGCACTCCAGTCTGGGTGACAGAGTGAGACCCCATCTCAAAAACAAAACAAAACAAACAAACAAAAAAAACACCTGGCACACTTCATATCCAGAATCTATTAGGATTAACTCCCAGTTACAATTTCAAACCTGTTCATGAAGTAATTATGGTCTATTTACCTGCTTCTAGGGATGAATTGCTTGAAGGAATTGGCATGATCCAAAAAAGAACCATGTGCGACAAGTGTGGATATCTGTCCACAAAACGTACAAGATTCTGTACTATCTTTTGATATGTGGCTATGTCTCATAAAACCAAAGAAATATGAAGCTTTAGTGAAGCTTTTTTTAAATCATTATTGACATTATACACACACTTGGTTTAAAGACTCAAGTGATTTAACAAGTTTTGTTAAGAAAAACAGCACAGGCATGGTGGCTCACACCTGTAGGTCCAGCATTTTGGGAGGCCAAGGCAGGAGGACCAATCGAGCCCAGGAGTTCAAGACCAGCCTGGGCATCATAGCCATACCCCATCTATACAACCAAAATTTAAAAATTAGCTGGGCAGCCGGGCGCAGTGGCTCACGCCTGTAATCCCAGCACTTTGGGAGGCTGAGATGGGCGGATCATCTGAGGTCAGGAGTTCAAGACCAGCCTGGCCAACATGGTGAATCCCGTCTCTACTAAAAATAAAAAAAATAGCTGGGCATGGTGGTGTGTGCCTGTAATCCCAGCTACTAGGGAGGCTGAGGCAGGAGACTCTCTTGAACCCAGGAGGCGGAGTTTGCAGTGAACTGAGATCACACCACTGCACTCCAGTCTGGGCAACACAGCAAGACTGTCTCAAAAAAAAAAAATAGCTGGGCATGGTGGCATGAGCCTGTGGTCCCAGCTACTCAGGAGGCTGAGGCAAGAGGGTCACTTGAGCCCAAGAGGTCTAGGCTGCAGTCAGCAGTGATCATGCCACTGCACTCCAGTCTGGGTGATAGAGCGAGATTGTCTCAAAAAGAAAAAAGAAAAACAGCACTGCCCTTCCCTTCTTCCACCCATTACTTTCCCTTCTCTTCAGACATAACTACTTTCATCATTTATAACTGATTGTTTTGATGTTTACTGCCATGTCTTTAAACAACATGCTTAATTGTTATTTCTTGGGTCTTCAGTTTTGTAAACTATCTGTTGGTTTCCTATTGCAGATGAGGACCCAACTCTATTTGCTCTTCCTTCACCAACATTAAGTACGTAATTATGATTATGTAAACATTATTCATAGCTGAGAGAAGTAGTATATGCTATGATTATCTTCTTATCCTGAATAAATCTTTATTTTGCCTAGATTTAATAATTGTGCTTTTTCTCTCTTTTTAAAAAAAGTTTTTTAGACAGGGTCTCGCTCTGTTACCCAGGCTGGAGTGCAGTGGTGCAAACATGGCTCACTGCAGCCTGGACATCCTGGGCTCAAGTGATCCTCCCACCTCAGCCTCCCAAGCAGTGGGACTACAGGCATGTTCCACCATGCCTGTCTAGCTTTTGTATTTTTTGTAGAGACAGGGTTTCGCCATGTTGCCCAGCTTAGTCTTGAACTCCTGGGCTCAAGCAATCCACCTGCCTTGGCCTCCCAAAGTGCTAGGATTACAGGCATGAGCTACTGTGCCCAGCCTTCTTTTTTCTTTCTTTCCGTTATTTTTGAGCCCGGGTATACATACATGCATACAATATATGATGATCAAAGCTGGGTAATTGGGATATCGACAATCTCAAATATTTATCATTTCTTTGTGTTGGCAACATTCCAAATCTTCTCTTCTAGCTATTTTGAAATGTATGATTAATTATTGTTAACTATAGTCACCTCATTGGGCTGTTGAAATCTAGATCTTATTCCTTCTACGCAACAAAATTTTTGTACCCATTAACTGACTCATCTTCTTCCCCACCTCCCCACTACTCTTCCCAGTCTCTGGTAACCCCAATCAACTCTCTACCTCCATGAGATCAATTTTTTTAGTTCCCACATAGGAGTGAAAACATGTATTGTCACTCTTTTGGCCAGAAACCTCTGTGGCCGGTGATGCCTTTGCCTGAGTTCTTATCCTGCATCCAGGAAGAATGAGGTATGCAGACAAGTGGACGATGAGCAAGATGAAGAGGAACTTCATTGAGTGTTAGAACAGCTCAGAGGAGACCTGCAGTGGGTAGCTCCCCTCTGTAGCCAGGTTGTCCCAGCAGGCCCTGGAGTGGGTGGCTCCTCTCTGCAACTGGTAGTCCCATGATCTCTCCATCCTCTGCCCTGCTCTGGCTGAGTTGGGGGCTTTTATGGACCTCGGAGAGGACAAAGTGCTCTGGGTCCATAGGCAGCCATGGGCTGGCTGGAAAAGGCACCACAAGTGCCCACTTGGACCCACAGGGACTGGCACCTGACCTGCAGCCTTCAGGCCCTCCCTGCCCTGAAGGTGGGGTCTTACAGGGACCGCTCCCTTTGCCCAGGAGCCTGTCTGCATCCCACTGTGCCACCAGCATCCATGGCACCCAGGCTGTTCTCACCAAGGGGCTTCTGCAGGCCAGTGCCAAGCCGCCCTCAGCCCCCACTTGGCTTCCACTCTCAGCGCCCCCTTGGCTTCCCCTCTCACGCTCGTGGGTGCCCAAATTCTGGAGGCAGCAGAGGCGGCAGAGGGCTGGCGTATAAGCACTGCCGCAAGCTTGAGCACACCCAGCTGGACTGCGACAGCATCCCTGCTCATCCCCAATCCCTGCTTTGATATTGGAGCCATGCTGGGAGAGGAGAGAGGCCAGGCAGAGGGAGAAGAAACCCGCGAGCCTGCTGGGACAGGGATGAGGAAGCCTTCCAGGGTCCCCAAGGGTGCAGACTGTAGAGACAGCTGCCTGGGTCCTGCACCTGGGAGGGCAGCTGCAGCTGCAGCTGCACCAGGGAGTTCTCGCCCTGCCAACTCAGAAGGGGCAGAGCTTCTGCTTATCACCGGCTCCTTGGAGCAGGAGGCCTGGGTCTGCAGCAGTGGGTCAGGCAGCTGCAGCTGCACCCGGGAGGGCAGGGCAGGGATCCTGCCTGCTCCCGGCCCACACAAGAGCACAGGGAGGCTCGGATCTGCAGCCACAACTTGGGTGGCTACAGCCTGTCCAGGAGAGCGGGGCTCCTGCCTGCTCCATGGAGCAGGAGGCCCAGGTCTACAGGCACGGTTTGGACGGCTGCAGCGGCACCCAGGAAGCTCCCGCCTTAACTCAGAAGGAGGGGGGTTCCTGCCTGTCCCGGCGTCCCGCTGCCTCCACGGAGCATGCAGCCCCAGCCGCACCTCCCCACTGCCTGGCTTATTTCACTTAACATAATGTTCGTACACTGATGAGGAATGTAAATTAGTACAGCCACTATGTAAAACAATATGGAGTTTCCCCCAGAACTAAAAATAGAACTAGCATATGATCCAGCAATTCCGCTGCTGCGTATATACCCAAAAGAAAGGAAATAAGTGTATCAAAGAGATATCTGCACTCCCATGTTTATTGCAGCACTGTTCACAGTAGCCAAGATGTGTAGTCAACCCAAGTGTCCATCAACAGATAAATAGATAAAGAAAATGTGGTGTATATATACACAATGGAATATTATTTAGCTATAAGAAAGAATGGATTTCTGTTATTTGCAGCAACATGGATAAAACTAGAGAACATTATGTTAATTTTCTTAGTTTTCATTACCCCAAACCCTTTGCCAATTTGTCTAAATCTCCTTTCAAGAGGTTCTGATGCATCAAATATTTCACTGGTTTCATCATCTAAAGAAATCCCTCTTGGTGCCTATGATCTGCTCCAACTGAACAGGTTTGCTCTCAGTGCCTGGTGACAGCTGTCAACTGGGGAACTCCCTTCACTATCCTGGTGCTTATCCTAGATCTCCTGTTTCCTGTGTCCTATGTCATTTTCATTTTTTGGTTATATTTTTGTTTCAGAAGAGCATATCTCTAGTAAATTCCTAGTAAAGATACGAAGGAATTTTGTTTCATTTTGTTTGCTTTTTCATTCTTTGCACGCCTGAAAATATTCCCATTTCCCATCTTGTATTTGATTTATCAGAAGTAGAATCTGGCCGGGCGCAGTGGCTCAGACCTGCCATCCTAGCACTTTGGGAGGCCAAGGCAGGCAGATCACCTGAGGTCAGGAGTTCAAGACTAGCCTTACCAACATGGCGAAATCCTGTCTCTTAACTAAAAATACAAAAATTAACCAGGTTGGTGGCACTGTAATCCCAGCTACTCTGGAGGCCAAGGCAGGAGAATCGCTTGAACCAGGGAAGTGGAGGTTGCAATGAGCTGAGATCGTGCCACTGCACTCCAGCCTGGGCGACAGTGAGACTTGTCTCAAAAAAAAAAAAAGAAGAAGAAGTAGAACCTAAACTAAGGAGACCTCACCAAAGACAGATTGGGAATATAAAAAGTGAGTGTAGAGATGAAAAAATTGTAGGGGAGTTTGAAAATTCAGGAGTGGATCCTGGAGGACTGCCTGAATACATTCACCTGAAATGAGACATTGAACTAGAAAGAAACTGAGATACCTTTAATTGGCTGCATTACATTCCTATTCCACTTCCACCCTCCCTCTGTAGAATGAGAGCTCAAGAGGAAGTTTAAGTCAGTGGTAGAAATTAAGGGATTGGCCGGAAATTGCTCAGCAATTTGGAAGCCCAAGGTGGGCCAATTAATTGAGCCCAGGAGTTCCAGACCAGCCTCGGGCAACATGGCAAAACCCCATCCCTACAAAAAAATACAAAACAGCTGGGTATGGTGGCATGCACCTGTAGTCCCAGCTACTCAGGAGGTTCAGGTGGGGGGATCACCTGAGCCTGGGGAGGAGGAGGAGGCTACAGGGAGCTGTGATTGTACCACTGCAATGCAGCCTGGGTGACAGAGCAAGACCCTGTCTCAAAAAAAGAAAAAGGAAGGAAAGAAGAAAAGAAAGAAGGAAGGAAAGAAAGAAAAAGAAAGAAAGAAGGAGTGCTGTATGTTTTGTATATCTGAGTTTGTTGTGGGCTCAAAGTTTACCCCTCCGCCATGTATATTTCTGACTTCCATTACTGTTTTTTTCCATAAAGAATACCTTTTACTTTTGTAATCAGAAAAAACAATACAGCTGTCTCCATTTGGTGGCAAAGTTTGAGAGAAACTGAAGAACACCTTGTAGAGGAGCATTTCCAAGGTATACAGTAGTTTCTTATCAATGAGTGATGAGGGAGTGGTGTGAATAGGAGAGGCTGTTGGATAAATGAAAGGTCAGTAGAAGGATCACACAGTTCTATTGAATATTATTCAACATTTTGCAGAGGTGTCTGGCTCTGTGCAGAAAGAATTGCCACAATTTTTCAAAGAACAACACAAAGATATAATAACTTTATTATGCCACTTATTTTCCTCCTAATGGAAACTTCATTCTCACTGGGTTCTTTGCAAACTCTCCTGTCTAGAGACAGGAGAAAATCATGTATAGAAACACAGTACAGAACAGAAATAATAACTACCCCTGATTCCTATGTCTGAAGATTATAGCTACCAGAAGAATTTTTTTTTTTTAGACAGAGTCTCGCTGTCGCCCAGGCTGGAGTGCAATGGCATTATCTGGGCTCACTGCAAACTCTGCCTCCCAGGTTCAAGTGATTCTCATGCCTCAGCCTCCCAAGTAAGTGGGATTACAAATGCCTGCCACCACACCCAGCTAGCTAATTTTTGTATTTTTAGTAGAGTCAGGGTTTCACCATGTTGTCCAGGCTGGTCTTGAACTTCTGACCTCAGGTGATCTGCCTGTCTCGGCCTCCCAAAGTGTTAGGATTACAGGCATGAACCAGTGTCCAGCCAGAGTGATTCTGATTGGCCCAATCCCGCCTCCTTGAAATTGATCCTCCTCATTACTGTTAGAAAGGTCTAACTGAAATGCAAATGTAACAACATTTCCTTATAATTTAAAATAATTTACTGTCCTGTCAACTCCCTCCTCCATTGACTTAGCATGGTATATAAAGTCCTTTATGATCTGGTGCTTGTTGTCTCTTCTGTCACTTCCCTATTACATTTTATGCCTATAAATATCTCAATTTTTCTCTTTACTTTAGAAGAGATGAGAAAATGGAAGTATATCATAGCAAATTTGCTATATTTTTACCAGAACTAGTTAGCATTAGCCTGAAGTAACTGTGATAAAGAAGCATACTGCAATCCCTATAGCAATTGGTAAGAAAATTACTCAAATAAAAACTTAAGGCTGGACGTGGTGGCTCATACCTGTAATCCCAGCACTTTGGGAGGCTGAGGTGGGAGGATCATGAGGTCAGGAGATTGAGACCATCCTGGCTAACATGGTGAAACATCGTCTCTACTAAAAAATACAAAAAAATTAGCCGGGCGTGGTGGCAGGTGCCTGTAGTCCCAGCTACTCAGGAGGCTGAGGCAGGGGAATGGTGTGAACCCAGGAGGCGGAGCTTGTAGTGAGTGAGATCGCGCCACCGCACTCCAGCCTGGGTGAAAGAGCGAGACTCCGTCTCAAAAAAAAAAACAAAAACAAAACTTAAAAATGAACAAAGGAATTAAAAGAATACATTGAAAGATATTTGTTTAATGCAAAAGAAGGCAGTAACATTGGCACAGAGGAACAAAAATGACATGAAACACAATAGAAACAAATAGGAAAATGACAGGCATAAATCCAACCATACGAGTAATTACATTAAATGTACATGAATTAAACACTCCAATTAAAAGCAGAGATTATCAGATAAATAAATAGGGTTCAATTACATGCTGTCCATAAGAGATACTCTTTAGATTCAAAGATATAATGTAAATGTAAAACTATGGGAAAAATCATCTTAAGAGCTGGAGTCACCTGTAATCCCAACAATTTGGGATGCTGAGACAGGTGGATCACTTGGGGTCAGGAGTTCAAGACCAGCTTGGCCAACATGATGAACATGGCGAAACCCCATCTCTACTAAAAATACAAAACATTAGGCTGGCGTGGTGATGTGCACCTGCAATCCCAGCTACTCGGGAGGCTGAGGCATAAGAATCACTTGAACCCAGGAGGTGGAGGTTGCAGTGAGTGAAGATTGTGCCACTGCACTTCAGCCTGGGTGACAGAGCAAAACTCTGTCTCCAAAGAAAAAAAGAGCTGGAATAACTATATTTATATCAGATAAAATAGACTTTAAGATTTTTTTAGAAGTTACTATTGAAGAGAGGGATGTTTTATTTATTTGTTTGTTTGTTTGTTTGTTTGTTTTTTAGAGACAGGGTCTTGCTCTCTCGCCAAGGTTGGAGTGAGTGGCACAATCAGAGCTCACTGCAGCCTCAACCTCCCAGGCTCAAGTGATCGTGATCACCTGATCGTCCCACCTCAGCCTCCCAAGTAGCTAGGACTACAAGTGCGTGCTACCATGCCCAGATAATTTTTTATTTTTTGTAGAGATGGGGTCTCACTATGTTGCCCAGGCTGGTCTTGAACTCCTGGGCTCAAGGGATCCTCTCGCATCCACCTCCCAAGTGCTGGATTACAGGCTGAGCCACTGCACCAGCCTGAAATATTATTTTTTATCAAGTTTCACAAAAATGTAGAATATTATCATACTTTTTTTAAAGCTATATTATTAGCACACAGAACACTTCATTGTTGTTTTTTGGAGAAGAGGCACATTATGTCACTAATAGAATGTCCCCAAAGCTGGATTGATGTGGGCAAAACAGCTTTCTCTTTTAGATTTGAGAGACTTCCTCTTGGCTCCCAGGAGGAGGAATTTCCTGATGTTGACACACACAGCCACCTTGGCACAAATGTCTTAAGGTATGGAAAAACAAATTCATCTTTATGTCCACTTCTGCCTTCCCACCTTCTGAACAGACTTAACTCCCTTAAGCCCAGACAACTTTTGAGACCTGACCTCCAATAATTGATTACCTGTGTGTCAGGCAATCTGCAATCTGAACTTTCCAGTGATGCCACTAAGAAGGTGCACCTCAAAAGAGCAGCAGTTCCATTTCTACTGTCGATAAATTTCTACTGCAGATAAATTCTGCCATTTTCATTTTACTTCTTGAAAGTCGAGTTAGCTCTTGAAAAGTTGTCAAGCAACATGCTAAACGTGAAATGTCAACTCTCAACTTTCCCTATTCAGAGCATCAAACAAAGACTTCATTGAGTTTTTTAGGGGCTTTCTGATTTGGGTAGTCCATTGAAGAGGGGAGTTTGAAAGTTGTTGGGCTGGGCACAGTTGGCTCATGCCTATAATCCCAGGGCTTCCGGAGGCCAGAGCATGAGGATTGTTTGAGCCCAGGAATTCAAGACCAGCCTGGGCAACAAAATGAGGCCCCCCCCCAACTAAAAAATTAAAAAATTAGGCAGGCATGGTGGCACATGCCTTTGGTCTCAGCTACTTGAGAGGCTGAGGTTGGGAGGATCACTTGAGCCCAGGAGTTCAAAGCTGCAGTGAGCCATGATCATGCCACTGCACTCCAGCCTGGGCAACAGAATGAGACCCTGTCTTAAAAAAAAAAAAGAAAAAAGAAAGTTGTTGTAAACTGTTAAGAATTGTCTGCACATGTCCTGCCTGAAATACCATGGTACCAGGGTTGTTTGTGGAAAGTATCTTTAATAAAGCTGGATACAGATTTGCTTAGAAAAAAATTATAAACATATATCCTTCTAACAACAGAGCCCCAAATATATGAAGCAAAACTTGACAGAATTGAAGTGAGAAATACAATTCAACAATAACTGGAAACTTTATTTATTTTTGTTGTTGTTACAGAAACTTTATTTTTACTTTTTATTTTATTTTATTTTTGAGATGGAGTTTCATTCTCGTGCCCCAGGCTGGAGTGCAATGGTGCGATCTTGGCTCACCACAACCTCCGCCTCCTGAGTAGCTGGGATTACAGGCACGTGCCACCATGCGTGGCTAATTTTTATATTTTTAGTAGAGACAGGGTTTCACCATGTTGGCTAGGCTGGTCTCAAACTCCTGGCCTCAAATGATCCTCCCGCCTTGGCCTCCTAAAGTGCTGGGATTACAGATGTGAGCCACCGTGCCCAGCCATGTTATAGAAACTTTAAATATCCTATTCTCAAAAACGGAAGTAACAACTACACAGAAAATCTTACAACTCATTAAAAAGAATATAAACAATCAACTATAAAATGGATAGAATAGACATTTCACTAAAGAAAATATATAAATGTTTAATAAACTCATGAAAATGTGCTCAATTAATATCATGAACTATTAGAGAAATGCAAATTACAACCACAATAAAAATATAACTACACACTCACTGAAATGTGCTATGATCAAAGAGACAGCACATACCAGTATAAGTGAGCATATAAAGAAAGGGAACCCATACATTGCTGGTGGAATGTAAAATGGAATAGCCACTTTGGAAAACAATTTGGCAGTTACTTAAAAAGTTAAACGTAAGTTTATCATATGACCCAATAATTCTACTCCTAGATACTACCCAAAATAACTGAAAACATCTGCCTACACAAACACTTGTATGTGAACCGTTTTTATTTGTTTGTGACGGGGTCTTACTCTGCCTCCCAGGCTCAGGTGATCCTCCTACCTCAGCCTCCTGAGTAGCTAGGATCACAGCCATGTGCCACCACACCTGCCTAATTTTTTTATTTTTTATTTTTTGGCAAAGATGGTGTGATGGTTAATACTGAGTGTCAACTTGATTGGATTGAAGGATGCAAAGTATTGATCCTGGGTGCATCTGTGAGGGTGTTGCCAAAGGAGATTAACATTTGACTCAATGGGCTGGGGAAGGCAGACCCACCCTTAATCTGGGTGGGCACCATCTAATCAGCTGCCAGCGTGGATAGAATATAAAGCAGGCAGAAAAATGTGAAAAGCCTAGACTGGCCTCGCCTCCCAGCCTACATCTTTCTCCTGTACTAGATGTTTCCTGCCCTCAAATATCAGACTCCAGGTTCTTCAGTTTTGGGACTCGGACTGGCTCTTCTTGCTCCTCAGCTTGCAGATGGCCTATTGTGGGACCTTGTGGTCGTGTGAGTTAATACTTAATAGTTAATACTTAATAAACTCCCCTTTATATATATACATATATACACATACATACACACCCTATTAGTTCTGTCCCTCTAGAGAACTAATACAGATGGGGGTCTCACTTTGTTGCCCAGGGTGGTCTCAAACTCCTGGATTACAAAGTAAGTAATCCTCTCACTTTGGCCTCCCAAAATGCTGAGATTACAAGCATGAGCCACTGTGCCCAGCAACGTGAATGTTCACAGCAGTGTGATTCATAATAGCCAAGAAGTGGAAACAACCCAAAAGTCCATCCGATGGTGAATGGGTCATACAATACTGCATGTCTACAGAATACAATTAAAGAGAACAAACTATTAACACAATGTGGATGAACATCAAACACCTCATGCTCTGTGGAAGAAATCAAACAGAAAGACTACTTATTTTATAATTGCATTACATTAAATGTTTAGAAAAGGCAAATTTATAGAAACAGAAAGCAGATCTGTGGCAGTCTAGGGTGAGGATAGGAGTGGGGATTAACCATAAATGAGTACAGAGGAAATTGTTAGAATGTTGGAAATGTTCTAAACATTTTAGTAAATATCAAAATCTGTCCAAGGTTGTGCAGCTAATAAGTAGCAAGCCAGGATTCAAATCCAGGCATTTGGTTCCAGTGGCCATTCTCTTACCTCTCTGCTAATATAAATCAAATGTTGATGATATTTGGCCAGGCACAATTGCTCACACCTGTAATCTGAGCACTTTGGGAGTCCACTGCAGGCAGATCACAAGGTCAAGAATTTGAGACCAGCCTGGTCAACATGGTGAAACCCCATCTCTACTAAAAATACAAATATTAGCTGGGCATGGTGGCACACACCTGTTCCCAGCTACTTGGGAGGCTGAGGCAGGAGAATCGCTTGAACCCGGGAAGCAGAGGTTACAGTAAGACGAGATCTCGCCGCTGCACTCCAGCCTGGGCAACAGAGCAAGACTCTGCCTCAAAAAAAATTTTTGTTTTGATGAGATTTTAAAAGGTTTGATAAAGAAGAATCATTCAGAATCTCTCCTGAAGTTGAAAATGTATAACGTATTAAATTTGGTAGTACAAAGCATGGGAAGATATATGTTTTCCAATTTTAAGAAAATAATAAAAATGCTTTATCAGTCTTCTAGACACAAATAAGGAAGAGTACCTTGCCTTTTTTTTTCTTCTAGTTGTACGGCAGGAGGCAATATATATACAAAAAAGATAATGGGCCTTAGAAAAGATATAACTCAGATTTCAAGGCTGCAGAGCACTATGATTACAGCTGTAAATTGGCATTATGCTCCAGCCTGGGCAACATAGCGAGACCCATTTTAAAAAAGAAATAGGCACTTTGGGAGGCCGAGGAAGGCAGATCACGAGGTCAGGAGTTGGAGACCAGCATGGCCAATATGGTGAAACCCTATCTCTACTAAAGATACAAAAAATTAGCCGGGTGTGGTGGCGTGCGCCTCTAGTCCCAGCTACTCGGGAGGCTGAGGCAGAAGAATCGCTTGAACCCAGGAGGTGGAGGTTGCAGTGAGCCAACCTCGTGCCACTGCACTCCAGCCTAGGTAACAGAGTAAGACTTCATCTCAAAAAAAAAAAAAAAAGAAAAGAAAAGAAAAGAAAAAGGAAAAGAAATAGGCTGGACGTGGTGGCTCATGCACTTTGAGAGGCTGAGGTGGGCAGATCACCTGAGGCCAGGAGTTTGAGACCAGCCTGGTCAACATGGTGAAACCCTGTAAAAATACAAAAAATTAGCTGGGCATGGTGGCGTGTGCCCGTAAAGCCAGCTACTAGGGAGGCTGAGGCAGGAGAATTGCTTGAACCCAGGAGGCGGAGGTTGCAGTGAGCCAAGATCACACCACTGCACTCCAGCTTGGGTGACAGAGTGAGACTCAGTCTCAAAAAAATAATAATAATAATTGAGATTTGGTCTCTGACTCTGCTACTTAACCATTTGATGTTGACAAGTTATTCAACTTGTTTGGAGCCTAATTTCTTATCTATAAAAACAGATGCAACCTGCTCACTGCAACCTCCACCTCTTGGGTTCAAGCAATTCTCCTGTCTCAGCCTTCTGAGTAGCTGGGATTACAGGCATGCGCCACCACACCCGGCTAATTTTTGTATTTTCAGTAGAGACGGGGTTTCGCCATGTTGGCCAGCCTGGTCTCGAACTCCTGACCACAAGTGATCCACCCGCCTTGGCCTCCCAAAGCGATGGGATTACAGGTGTGAGCCACCACGCCCAGCCAGATGTAATAATTTCTACACATCAGGATTGTATGTGTGAAACACAGTATGAATTAATGCATGCAAAATCTTAGCACAATACCTTGCTCATAGTAGACACTGAAGAAGTGAGAGATTTTTCTAGCCATCAGGATTCTTCTAAACATTAGAACCAGTCATGTATTCCACAGAGGGACAGGGCAATTTGCTAGGACTTCTTAGCAAAACTAAACTTGAAAAAGAACAAAGAACAATTCAGAACTTATTCAGTGGCTAGATATATTCAATATATTTGTTTTATTTGATCTAGGTTAGCATATTAAACACCTCTTTTCTTGCATCTATATTTTTTGAGGCAAGGTCTTGCTCTGTCACCCAGGATAAAGTGCAGCTCACTGCAGCCTCCATCTCCTGGGCTCAAGCAGTCATCCCATCTCAGCCTCCTAAGTATCTGTGACTATGGGTGCACACCACCACGCTCAGCTGTTTTTTTGGTTGTTTGTTTTTTCAACTAGAGATAAGGTCTCACTATGTTGCCCAGGATCGTCTCAAACTCCTAAACTCAAACAATCTTCCCACCCTGTCCTCCCAAAGTGCAAGAATTACAGGTGTGACCCTCTGCATCTAGCTTTCTTGCATACGTCTTATCTAGAAACCTTAACTTGTTTTTTTTTTTTTCTTTTTTTTTTTTGAGACAGTATTTCTCTCCTGTCTCCCAGGCTGGAATGCAGTGGTATGGTCTCGGCTCACTACAACCTCCGCCTCCTAGGCTCAAGCAACCCTCCTGCCTCAGCCTCTCGAGTAGCTAGTACTACAGGCATGTACCACCATACCCAGCTAATTTTTGTATTTTTAGTAGACACGGGGTTTCACCATGTTGGCCAGCCTAGTCTCAAACTCCTGACCTCAAGTGATCCACCTGCCTTGGTCTCCCAAAGTGCTGAGATTACAGGCATGAGCCACCACGCCTGGCCTGAAAACCTTACTTTAATCTCCTTCTCCTATTTTCTGGACTCTACCCTGGGGTCTAAGAGATATTATTTCACTATTATCTCCAAGCATGTTTAAGAGGTATGATTAGAGCAACACCCATCTGTATGGCTACTGTCAAAACAATTCATGAGAGTTCTAATGGAGGGAAAAAAGGTGGGTAGGAACAGGCCTTGTTCGCTTGTCCAAATGGGTTCTGTGGATGCCAGAGATGACCCGATATCCTGCTGAACAACTCTTCATGGGTCCCAGGGTCCTGCTCACACAAGTCACCAAGAACATTTTCTAAATATAGATGCTGGAAACCTTTTCTATCAATGGCACTGACCTGTATTTAGGAAACAAACACTTAAAGGACAAATGTGCTTTGTTTTGTTTTGTTTTTATGAGACAGACTTTCGCTCTGTCATCCAGCCTGGAGTGCAGTGGCGCAATCTCTGCTCACTGCAACCTCCACCTCCCGGGTTCAAGCAATTCTTCTGTCTCAGCCTCCCAAGTAGCTGGGATTACAGGCATGCACCACCATGCCTGGCTAATTTTCGTATTTTTAGTAGAGACGGGGTTTTGCCATGTTGGCCAGGCTGATCTTGAACTCCTGACCTCAAGTGATCTGCCCGCCTAAGTCTCTCAAAGTGCTGGGATTACAGGCATGAGCCACAGCACCCTGCCAATAAATGTTTTAAAACTTTTTTTTTTTTTTTTTTGGCCGGGCGCGGTGGCTCATGCCTATAATCCCAGCACTTTGGGAGGCTGAGGCAAGTGGATCACGAGGTCAGATCGAGACCATCCTGGGCAACACAGTGAAACCCCGTCTCTACTAAAAAAACAAAACAAAACAAAAAAATTTAGCCGGGCGTGGTGGCGGGCGCCTGTAGTCCCAGCTACTCTGGAGGTTGAGGCAGGAGAATGGCGTGAACCTGGGAGGCAGAGCTGGCAGTGAGCCACTGCACTCCAGCCTGGGCGACAGAGAGAGACTCTGTCTCAAAAACAAACAAACAAAAAAGACTTTTTGTTTTTCTAATTGACAAAAACAAAAATGTTTCGTTTATTTGGTAAATTACTCAAGTATTTCTTCCAGTAGATGTCAGTGTCGCACTTGAAAAATGAACTTTCACTTTTATAATATGAAAGTTAAATTCTTTTAGCCCTGGGATGGCATCTTTCTTTCGCTCTAATAGAAGATACTGCCAGATGATCCAGACTGATCTTATCCTCAGATAATTTCCTTCAACGGGACATCAGGAAGGAATTTGTTGTACAGAATTGAAGATTTGGCAAGAAGATCTAGACGCATCCAAAGTCTCCTAGAGAATGACACTTTTAAAATAAGAACTCTAGTTAAAAAACAAACAAACAAAAACTCTTAATTTTCCTGTTAGCCTGTTCATTTGAGGTTCTTTTGGTGAGCCCTTTAACTCTGTGACCTGTGTTATGTTTCCATCCTAGAACAAGCTTTCTTCTGAGGATGAAAGGCAATTAGTCTCTGATTTTCTTACAGAAAGTATAATAATAGGTTTTTTGGTTTTTTTTTTGAGACGGAGTCTCCTTCTGTTGCCCAGGCTGGAGTACAGTGGTGCTCCAGCTCACTGCAACCTCTGCCTCCCACGTTCAAGTGATTCTTCAGCCTCAGCCTCCTGAGTAGCTGGAATTACAGGCATCTGCCACCCAAAGTGGTGGGATCACAGGTGTGAGCCTCCCAAAGAGCTGGGATCTTTTGTATTTTTAGTACAGATGGGGTTTCTCTCTAATTTTGTATTTTAGTAGAGACTAGGTTTCACCATGTCTGCCAGGCTAGTCTCAAAACTCCTGACCTCAACTGATCCGCCTGCCTTGGCCTCTGAAAGTGCTGGGATTATAGGCATGAGCCACCGCACCCAGCCATAATAATACTTCAGTTCAAAAACTAGAATGTTTTGTAGCCATAAAAAAGAAAAAGATCATGTATTTTGTGGGAACATGGATGGAGCTGGAGGCCATTATTCCTAGCAAACTAATGCAGGAACAGAAAACCAAATACCACATTTTCTCACTTGTAAGTGGGAGCTAAATGATGAGAACTTATGAACACAAAGAAGGAAGCAGACACTGTGATCTACTTGAGGGTGGAATCTGGGAGGAGGGAGAGGAGCAGAAAAGATAAGCATTGGGTACTGGGCTTAATACCCGAGTGATGAAACAATCTGTACAACAAACCCCTGTGACATGAGTTTACCTATGTAACAAACCTTCACAGGGACCCCCAAACCTAAAAAGTTAAAAAATAAAATAAATGATAATGTTAAACATTTCTCTATTCAAGGAATTATGAAGATAAGTAAGCATATTCTTTTTCTTTCCCTGTTGTATTTATTAACAAAATAGAAATAAAAATCTCTTTAGAAAATTGTTTTTGAGCTCTATGCCTGAAGTTATATGGAAGTATAACAGATGGGAGCACAGTGGGATTCTTGCAGAGTGCCTGCCAGATATGACACATGCTACACAGAGAGCAGAAAGGGTTTCTTAATGCAGAGTCAAAAGGTTACTCATAAAAAAGACAACAAATACGGTGCAGTGTATACTGCTTGGGTGATGGGTGCACCAGATTCTCACAAATCTCCACTAAAGAACTTACTCATGTAACCAAATACCACCTGTACCCCAATAACTTACGGAGAAATAAAATTTAAAAAAAAAGATAAACTGGGCGTGGTGGCTCACGCCTGTAATCCCAGCACTTCAGAAGGCTGAGGCAGGCAGATCACCTGAGGTCGGGAGTTCGAGACCTCGAGACCAGCCTGACCAACATGGAGAAGCCCCATCTCTACTAAAAATACAAAATTAGCTGGGCATGGTGGCGCATGCCTGTAATCCCAGCTACTCAGGAGGCTGAGCCAGAAGAATCACTTGAACCCGGGAGGCAGAGGTTGTGGTGAGATTGCGCCATTGCACTCCAACCTGGGCAACAACAGTGAAACTCCATCTCGAAAAAAAAAGTAGTATAAAGAAATAAAACCCTAGAAATAGAAGAAAAGGATAATTCTATTTAAAATTTAGGTTAGCCTTAATTTATTCGTCTTAAGAAGGTCTTTTTAAACAATACATGAAAGGCAAAAGCAATAAAATACTGAAAATTTTTAATTCATCTAAATATAAAAACTTAAAAACATTTAAGTTTTTATAAGTATAAAGAAATAAAACCCTAGAAATAGAAGAAAAGGATAATTCTATTTAAAATTTAGGTTAACCTTAATTTATTCATCTTAAGAAGGTCTTTTTAAACAATACATGAAAGGCAAAAGCAATAAAATACTGAAAATTTTTAATTCATCTAAATATAAAAACTTAAAAACTTTTTTTATAAGTATAAAGAAATAATACCCTAAAAATAGAAGGAAAGGATAATTCTATGTTGTTGTTACTATTATTATTATTTGAGATGAAGTCTTGCTCTGTCACCCAGGCTGGAATGCAGTGGCATAATCTTGGCTTACTGCAACCTCCGCCTCTCAGGTTCAAGTGATTCTCCTGCCTCAGCCTCCTGAGTAGCTGGGATTACAGGCATGTGCCACCACACCCAGCTAATTTTTGTATTTTTAGTAGAGACGGGGTTTCACTATGTTGGCCAGGCTGGTCTTGAACTCCAGCTCTCAGGTGATCTGCTCGCCTCGGCCTCCCCAGGTTCTGGGATTACAGGCATGAGCCACTACATCCGGCCACAGACTTGTTTTTGATTTTACAGGCTCACAGGCAGAAAGAACTTCCCTTATGTCAGATGAGACATTGGACTTGTACTTTTGAGTTAATGATAAAATTAGCTAAGGCTTTGGTTGACTGTTGGGAAGGCATGATTATGTTTTAAAATGTGAGAAGAACATGATATTTGGAAGGGGCCAGGAGTGGAATGATATGGTTTGATTCTGTGCCCGGAATTGGTGGGTTCTTGGTCTCACTGACTTCAAGAATGAAGCCGCAGACCCTCGCGGTGAGAATTACATCTCTTAACGTGGCGCGTCTGGAGTCTGTCCCTTCTGATGTTCAGATGTGTTCGGAGTTTCTTCCTTATGGTGGGTTCGTGGTCTCGCTGGCTCAGGAGTGAAGCTGCAGACCTTCGCGGTGAGTGTTACAGCTCTTAAGTCAGCGTGTCTGGAGTTGTTCGTTCCTCCTGGTGGGCTCGTGGTCTCCCTGGGCTCAGGAGTGAAACTGCAGATCTTCGCGGTGAGTGTTACAGCTCATAAAAGCAGCGTGAACCCAAAGAGTGAGCAGTAGGAAGATTTATTGCAAAGAGCGAAAGAACAAAACTTCCACAGTGTGGAAGGGCACCTGAGCAGGTTGCCAATAATGGCTCAGGCAGCCTGCTTTTATTCTCTTATCTGGCCCCACCCACATCCTGCTGATTGGTAGAGCCGAGTGGCCTGTTTTGTCAGGGTGCTGATTGGTGCGTTTACAATCCCTGCGCTAGATACTAAGGTTCTCCACCTCCCCACCAGACTCAGGACCCCAGCTGGCTTCACCTAGTGGATCCCCCACCGGGGCTGCAGGTGGAGCTGCCTGCCAGTCCAGCGCGGTGCGCTCGCACTCCTCAGCCTTTGGGTGGTCGATGGGACTGGGCGCCATGGAGCAGGGGGTGGTGCTAGTCGGGGAGGCTCGGGCGGCACAGGAGCCCATGGAGTGGGTGGGAGGCTCAGGCATGGCGGGCTGCAGGTCCCGAGCCCTGCCCCGCAGAAAGGCAGCTAAGGCTCGGTGAGAAATCGAGCGCAGTGCCGGTGGGCTGGCACTGCTGGGGGACCCAGTACACCCTCCGCAGCCACTGGTCCGGGTGCTAAGTCCCTCATTGCCCGGGGCAGCAGGGCTGGCCGGCTGCTCCGAGTGCGGGGCCCGCCAAGCCCATGCCCGCCCGGAACTCCAGCTGGCCTGCAAGCACGCACGCAGCCCCGGTTCCTGCTCGCGCCTCTCCCTCCACACCTTCCTGCAAGCTGAGGGAGTGGGCTCAAGCCTTGGCCAGCCCAGAAAGGGGCTCCCATAGTGCAGCGGTAGGCTGAAGGGCTCCTCAAGTGCCGCCAAAGTGGGAGCCCAGGCAGAGGAGGTGCCGAGAGCGAGCGAGGACTGTGAGGACTGCCAGCATGCTGTCACCTCTCAGTTCTATGTCCCTGCCAAAATCTCATGTTGAATTGTAATCCTTTGTGTTGAGGGAGAGATCTGGTAGGAGGTCATTCGATCATCAGGGCAGATTTCCTCCTTGCTGTTTTCATGATGGTGAGTAAGTTCTCACAAGATCAAGTTGTTTGAAAGTGTGTGGCACTTCCCCCTTCACTCTCTGTCTCCTGCTCCGCCATGGGAACTTGTTCTTGCTTCCCATTCACCTTCTGCCATGATTATAAGTTTCCTGAGGCATCCCAGCCATGCTTCCTGTACAGCCTGTGGAACTGTGAGTCAATTAAACCTCTTTTCTTCATAAATTACCCAGTCTCAGGTAGTTCTTTACAGGAGTGTGAGAATGAACTAATACACCCATTTTTTAATCAGTTTAATTTGGTTTTTGTTTTTCGAATTAAGTTCCCTATAGGTTCTGGATATTAGAACTTTGTCAGATCATGGTTTGCATTTTTTTTTCCTTCCGTGGGTTGTCCGTTTACTCTGTTGATAGTTTCTTTTGCTGTGCAGAAGCTCTTTAGTTTAATTAAGTCCCATTTGTCAATTTCTGTTTCTATTGCAATTGCTTTTGGAGTCTTTGTCTTGAAATCGACGATGACCTATATCCAGAATGGTATTTCCTAGGTTTTCTTTTCTTTTCTTTTCTTTTCCTTTCTTTTCCTTTTTTTGAGTTGAAGTTTCGCTCTTGTTGCCCAGGCTGGAGTGCAATGGCGCGATCTTGGCTCACCACAACCTTTGCCTCCCGGGTGCAAGCAATTCTCCTGCCTCAGCCTCTTGAATAGCTGTGATTACAGGCATGTGCCACCATGCCCAGCTAACTTTGTATTCTTAGTAGAGATGGGCGTTTCTCCATGTTGGTCAGGCTGATCTCGAACTCTCGAACTCAGGTGATCCGCCCGCCTTGGCCTCCCAAAGTGCTGTGATTACGGGTGTGAGCCACTGTGCCCAGCCTTCCTAGGTTTTCTTCTAGGGTTTTTATAGTTTCATTAGGTTGGTGCAAAAGTAACTGTGGTTTTGCCATTACTTTGAATGGTTTTACATTTAAGCCTTTAATCTATCTTGAGTTGATTTTTGTGTATGATAAAAGGAAGGGATCCAGGTTCAATCTTCTGTATAAGGCAGCCAGTTATCCCTGCACCATTTATTGAATAAGGAGTCCTTTTCCTGTTGCTTGTTCTTGTCAGCTTTGTCAAAGATCAAATGATTGTAGGTGTGCAACTTTATTTCTGGGTCCTCAAACCTGTTTCATTGGTCTGTGTGTCTCTTTTTGTACCGATACCGTACTAGCCTTGTAGGATAGTTTGAAGTTGGATAGTGTGATGCCTCTGGCTTTGTTCTTTTTGCTTAGAATTGCTTTGGCTATTTGTGTTCTTTTTTGAATTTTAGAATAGGTTTTCTAATTATGTGAAAAATGTCATTGGTAGTTTGATAGCAATAGCATTGAATCTGTAAATTACTTTGGGCAGTATGACCACTTTAACAATATTGATTCTTCCTATCCATGAGCATGGAATATTTTTTTCACTTGTCTGTGTCACCTCTGATTTCTTTCAGCAGTGTTTTGTAATTCTCTTCACCCTGTCGCTCAGGCTGTAGTGCAGTGGCGCAATCCCGGCTCACTGCAAGCTCCGCCTCCCGGGTTCACGCCATTCTCCTGCCTCAGCCTCTCCGAGTAGCTGGGACTACAGGCGCCCGCCACCACGCCCGGCTAATTTTTTGTATTTTTGGTAGAGACGGGGTTTCACTGTGGTCTCTATCTCCTGACCTCGTGATCCGCCCGCCTCGGCCTTCCAAAGTGCTGATTACAAGCGTGAGCCACCGCGCCCGGCCATCACTGTAGAGATCTTTCACTGCCCGGTTAGCTGAATTCCTAGGTATTTTGTACGTGTGTGTGTGGCTATTGTGAATGGGATTGCATTATTGATTTGGCTCTCAGCTTGGACGTTGTTTGTATATAGAAATGCTACTGATTTTTGTATATTGATTTTGTATCCTGAAACTTTGTTGAAGTTGTCGATCAGATCTAGAAACTTTTGGGCAGAGGCCATGGGGTTTTCTAAGTATAAAATCATATCATCTGTGAAGAGAGATAGTTTGACTTCCTCTCTTCCTATTTGGGTACCTTTTATTTCTTTCTCTTGTCTAATGGCTCTGTCTAGGACTTCCAGTACTATGCTGAATAGGATGATGAGAGTGGGCATCTTTTGCTTGTTCCAGTTCTCAAGGGGAATGCTTCCAGCTTTTGCCAGTTCAGTATGATGTTGGCTGTGGGTTTGTCATAGATGGCTCTTATTATTTTGATGTATGTTTCTCTAATGCCAAGTTTGTTGAGGGTTTTTAACATGAAGAGATGTTGAATTTTATTGAAAGCCTTTTCTGTGTCTGTTGAGATGATCGTGTGGTTTTTGTATTTAGCTCTGTTTACGTCACAAATTACATTTGTTGATTTGTGTGTGTTGAAACAACTTTGCATTCCAGGAATAAAGGCTACTTGATTATGGTGGATTAACTTTTTGATGTGCTGCTGGATTCAGTTTGCTAGTATTTTGTTGAGGATTTTTGTTCATCAGTGATTTTGGCCTAAAGTTTTCTTTTTTTGCTGTGTCTCTGCCAAGTTTTGGTATCAGAGTGATGCTGGTCTCAAAGAATGAGTTAGAGAGGAGTCCCTCCTCCTCTCTTTTTTGGGATAGTTTCAGTAGGATAGGTACCAGCTCTTCTTTGTTGGTTTGTTAAGGGTTTCAGTTTCTTCCTAGTTCAATCTTGGGAAATTGTATGTTTCAAGGAATGCATCCATTTCTTCTAGGTTTTCTAGTTTGTGTGCAAAGTTGTTCATAATAGTTTTTGAGGGCTTTTTGTATTGCTTTCTTTTTTTAAAATTTAACAAATCTGGCTGTTCCGAAGTTCTTTTGTTTTTCGTAGGGTAAATGTTAATGTCTCCGTTGTCATTTCTGTGTTTATTTGGATCTTCTCTCTCTTTTTTTATTAGTCTAACTAGTGATCTATCAATCCTATTTTTCCTTTTTAAACTTAAAATTTTTTTTTTTTTTTCAAAAAAGAATAGAACATATCGCTATGTTGCCCAGGCTGGTTCCAAACTCCTGGCCTCAAGTGATCCTCTTGCCTTGGCCCCTCAAACTGCTAGGATTACAGGTGTGAGCCACTGAAGCCCATCCACATTTCTCTTTTTAATGTAACTCTGGGCCAGGCACAGTGGCTCATGCCTGTAATCCCACCACTTTGGGAGTCCAAGGTGGGCAATTGCTTGAGCCCAGGATCCAAGACCAGCCTGGACAACATGGTGAAATGTAGTCTCTACAAAAAGTACCAAAAAATAAAAAAGTAAAGATTAGCTGGGCATGGTGGCATGTGCCTGTAGTCCCAGCTAGCTACTCAGAAGGCTGAGGCAGGTAGATAGATTGAGCACAGGAAGTCAAGGTTGCAGTGAGCTCTGACTGTGCCACTACATTTCAGCCTGGATGACAGAACAAGACCCTGTCTCAAAAAAAAAAAAAAAAAAGTAGGTCTGTACTAAAGTGGAATGACAGGTTGTTTCAGAATGAAAAAGGAGACTAAAGGACAAAAACTGAATACGTTATAAAAATTATGTAAGGTTTGCAGAAAAGGAATCTTGGAAAAGGATATCTTGTGTGGTCAAAGCTGTCTGAGATTAGATGGATTTATTTATAAGGATTTATTAAAATCAGCTTTGTTATTAATAGTACACTTGTATAAAACTAGAAATTGGTTTTTTCTCTCTGCGCAATGACAAAGTTTTCTTAGAGAGTTGGTCTGCTCTTGGTAAGTGATCATGAAAGGTTTTTCCTTACCATTTTTTTTTTTGAAACAAGGTGTCACTCTGTTTCCCAGGCTGGAGTGCAGTGGCAGGATCATGGCCTCCACCTCCTGGGCTCAATGGATCCACCAGCCTCAGCCTTCTGAGTAGCTAGGACTACAGGCATGAACTACTACTCCAGGCTTATATATATATATATATATATATATATATATATATATATATATATAATTTCAATAGTTTTTGGGAACAAGTGGTGTTTGGTTACATGGATAAGTTCTTCTGTGGTGATTTCTGAGATTTTGGTGCACCCATTACCTGAACAGTGTACCATGCCCAGTGTGTAGTTTTATTATCCCTCACCCCCATCCCACCCTCCCACCCTTCCTCCTAGTCCCCAAAGTCCATTACATCATTCTTATGCCTTTGCGTCCTCATAGCTTAGCTTCCACAGGCTAATTTTTAAAATTTTTATAGAGATGAGGTTTTGCTATGTTGCCCATACTGGTCTCAAAGTCCTGGGCTCAAGCGATTCCCCTGCCTTGGCCTCCTAAAGTGTTGAGATTACAGGTGTGAGCCACTGCACCCAGCCAGTTTTTCCTTATCTTTTAAGAAATCTGCCTCGGGTGGATCACCTGAGGTCAGGAGTTCGAGATCAGCCAGACCAACATGGTGAAACCCTGTCTCTACTAAAAATACAAAAATTTGCTGGGTGTGTTGGCAGGCACTTGTAGTCCCAGCTACTCCAGAGGCTGAGGCAAGAGAATTGCTTGAACCCAGGAGGTAGAGGTTGCAGTGAGCTGAGATCATGCCACTGTACTCCAGCCTGGGTGACAGAGCGAGACTCTGTCTCAAAAACAAACAACCAAAAAGAGATCTGCCTCCACCCAACCCCTGCTGCGCCACCATCATGGACACCAGCCATGTGCGGCATATCAAGCGAGCCTGGGGCACCATGGTACTGGGCATGACCAGCTCTCAGGGACAGTGTATGGGGATGGACATGGAATTTGTGGACAACAGGAGCCACTCCATTATCCACAATGTCAAAGGCCCTGTGTGCAAGAATGACGTGCTCACCCTGTTGGAGTCAAAGTGAAGAGGTGGCTGGGCGTGGTGGCTCACGCCTGTAATGCCAGCATTTGGGGAGGCCGAGGTGGGCGGATCGCCTGAGGTCAGGAGTTTGAGACACGCCTGGCCAACAGGGTGAAACCCCATCTCTGCTAAAAATACAAAAATTAGCCAGGCATGGTGGCACATGCCTGTAATCCCAGCTTCTCGGGAGGCTGAGGCAGGAGAATTGCTTGAACCCAGATGGCAGAGGTTGCAGTGAGCTGAGATCGCACCACTGCACTCCAGCCTGGGTGACAACAGTGAGACTCTGTCTCAAAAATGAACAAACAAACGAGAAAGTGGAGAGGCCCGGAGGTCACACTGAACTTGGCTGCTTTGCTGGGTTTTGGATGTTTGGGTGGACCACTTGGCTCACAGGAATGATGTGCCACGATCTGCTCCTTTATTTTATTTTTTTTGCTTACCAAAGAGGAATTAAGATGCACCTTTAAATAAAGCGTTTGTGTTCTACGTTTAAAAAAAAAAAAGTAAATTTGCCTAGGAAACATCCTGTATTTTATCAAAATAATGCCATGTGCCTCATGTTGTTTTTCTAAGGTCTTTGATTACTTAAGAAAACTGAATTTTCTCAATATTAAGAGTTATGTTTTGTTCACAAATGTGTAAGCTTCTGTATTTGCCTTGAAAATCTTTTATTGTTCTTTTGGTTAAATAGATAACCAGGTATTGCCTCATTGTGGTCTATGATCCTATAATCAAGTGGGGTTTTTGTTTGTTTGTTTAAAGAGACAGGGCCTCTCCCTGTTACCAAGGCTGCTGGAGTGCGGGGGCATGATCATAGCTCTCTGCATCCTCCACTCCTGGGCTCCAGGCCCAGCACTCCAGGCTCCAGCGATGCTCCTGCCTCATCCTCCCAAGTAGCTGGGACTCTAGGCACATGCCACCATGATCGGCTAATTTTTTTTATTTTTTGGAGAGATAGGGTCTCTCTATGATGTCCAGGCTGGTCTTGAACTCCAGGCCTCAAGTGATCCTCTTCCCTCAGGCTCTCAAAGTGCTGGGATTACAGACATGAGCCACCGCGCCTGGCTAATTAAGTATTTTAAATCTTATTGATAATTTCCTGAAATCAAATGGAGGTCTTTTGACCTCAAACTAACTTTGAGGATTCCCAGAGGGCTCCTAAAAAAATCTCAAAAGAATCCATTCTCTCTCCTTATCAAGGCAAGAAGGCCAGGTGTGGTGGCCCATGCCTATAATCCCAGCACTTTGGGAGGCCAAGGCAGGAGGATATCTTAAGGCCAGGGTTCAAAATCAGCCTGGGCAACTTAGCCAGACACTGTCTCTACAAAAAATTATTTTAAAACTAGCCAGGTGGGATGGTACATGCCTTTAGTTCTAGCTACTAGGAGGCTGAAGCAAGAGGATCCCTTGAGCCCTGGAGTTTGAGGCTGCAGTGAGCTAAGATTGCACAATGCACTCTAGGCTGTGCAACAGAGTAAGACTCTTTCTCAAAAAAAAAAAAAGAGAGAGAGAGAGAAAGAAAAAAGAAAGATGTTTAACTGATTAGCAGTATCTGATACATTAAATTGCATGGAAGCATGTTGAATAAGTGATGATAAACCCATATATATAATAAGTGTGTCAAAAATGTATAAAGTTTGGTTATTGTTTTACTCTGATGCTTTCCTGGAAGCTTTTGTAAGGAGCTGAGATATAATAAGATTACTTCATCTTCAAAGATAATTTATGAAAAAGACTCTGGAAAGTACTCTAAAATACAAACAAACTTTTGAAAACTTGGGATCATACCACTGGCCTGGGTAAGAATTTCTGTAGCACTAATGAAGAAACTGATGGGTTCATGAAACTTAACCCAAGATCAAGCAGAACAAGAGTTAATTACATGGGACAGAAAAAACTGATAAGGATGATTATAGTTTTTTTGATTTTCTATTTGAAACATTGCCTGTTCTTTAATATTTTGTTTTCCAGATTTAAGGAAGCCTTTTTCTCTTAACCTGTCTATAGCTTATAGCAATTTAGTAAAGTACTTTTGTAAACGGAATTGAAATACTTGCTTTTCTCTCTGACTGATTCCTCCAGAATTCAGAAAGTATTAGTGAGTATCCTTTTTTTATTTAAGACAGAGTCTTGCTCTGTTGCCCATGCTGGAGTGCAGTGGCACAATGTCAGCTCACTGCAACCTCTGCCTCCTGGGTTCAAGCGATTCTCCTGCCTCAGCCTCCTGAGTAGCTGGGACTACAGGTGCCCGCCACCACCTCCAGCTAATTTTTTGGTATTTTTAGTAGAGATGGGGTTTCACCGTGTTAGACAGGATGTTCTTGATCTCCTGACCTCGTGATCCGCCCACCTTGGCCTCCCAAAGTGCTGGGATTACAGACGTGAGCCACCATGCCTGGCCTATAGTGAATATTCTTATTTTCATGGCAATATACTTATTTGCATGAGTTTAATAAGAATCTGTTCTCCTCGTAACAAGACAAAATTGGAAACATTAGTTATCTTACCAAGGCTTTGACTGTATTATTATTATTTTTTTTGATTCAGGGTCTTGCTCTGTCACCCAGGCTGGAGTGCAGTGGTGTGATCTTTGCTCACTGCAGCCTTGACCACCTGGGCTCAAGTGATCCCTCTGCCTAAGCCTCCTGAGTAGCTGGCCCACAGGTGTGCATCACCATGCCTGGCTAAATTTTTTTTGTACTTTTCTTTTGTAGAGATGGTGTTTTGCCACATTGCCCAGGCTGTTCTTGAATTCCTAGGCTCAAGTAATCCTCCAGCCTTGGCCTCCCAAAGTGCTGGAATTACAGGAATGAGCCACTGCACCCAGCCTTGAGTGGAATATTATATTTTCAGATATGACCAGTTTTAAAGAACTAAAGTTGACTATCTGGGGAACTCGCCCCCAATATTTCAACGTAGGTTCTTTCTATTTTCCCTAAGCATTGGCTGGCTGAGAAAAAGAAAGAGTACAAAGAGAGGAATTTTACAGCTAGGCTTCCGGGGGTGACATCACATATCAGTAGGACCATAATGCCCCCCTGAGCCACAAAACCAGCAGGTTTTATTAAGGATTTTAAAAGGGGAGGGGTTGTACAAACAGGGAGTAGGTCACAAAGATCACATGCTTCAAAGGGCAAAAAGAGAACAAAGATCATAAGCTTCTAAGGCCAATAAAGATCACAAGTCAAAGGGCAAAGCAAGATCACAAGGCAAAGGGTGAAATAAAAAACTCCTGATAAGGGTCTATGTTCAGCTATACACGTGTTGTCTTGATAAACATCTTAAACAACAGAAAACAGGGTTTGAGAGCAGAGAACCGGTCTGACCTCAAATTTACCAGGGTGGGGTTTCTTCCCCAACCTAATAAGCCTGAGGGTACTGCAGGAGACCAGGGTGTATTTCAGTCCTTATCTCAACCTCATAAGACAGACACTCCCAGAGCGGCCGTTTATAGACCTCCCCCCAGGAATGCATTCCTTTCCCAGGGTCTTAATTATTAATATTCCTTGCTAGGAAAAGAATTCAGTGATATCTTCTCTACTTTCACATCCATTTATAGGCTCTCTGCAAGAAGAAAAATATGGCTCTATTCTGCCCAACCCTGCAGGCAGTCAGACCTTATGGTTGTCTTCCCTTCTTCCCTGAAAATCACTGTTATTCTGTTCTTTTTCAAGATGCACTGATTTCATATTGTTCAAACACACGTTTTACAATCAATTTTTACAGTTTAACACAATAGTGGTCCTGAGGTGATGTACATTCTCAGTTTATGAATATAACAGGATTAAGAGATTAAAGACAGGCATAAGAAATTATAAAAATATTAATTTTGGGAACTGATAAATGTCCATATTAAAATGAAATCTTCACAATTTATGTTCAGGGATTGCAGTAAAGACAAGAGTAAGAAATTATAAAAGTTTTAATTTTGGGAACTGATAAATATCCATGAAATCTTCACAATTTATGTTCCTCTGCTGTGGCTCCAGCTGGTCCCTCCATTTGGGGTCCCTGACTTCCTGCAACAGTTGACTTTAAGGAACTAATGTTTATAAAGCCCCTTAGAAAAACTAGCTTCTAGGTGCAGCAAACCACCATGGCACATGTATACCTATGTAACAAACCTGCACATTCTGCACATGTATCCTGGAACTTAATGTAAATTTTAAAAAAATTAAAAAAAGAAAAACCAGCCTGATAAATGGCTTTCAATGGTTTCTGGCCCTACAGGTGAGTAAAAATGGTCACTTCCTGGTAGGCTAAGGAAACTGCAGATACTTTGGGGACCTCAAGAAGAGAGGAATTCACTCAAATATATAAGTACTGCAGTCAAATTCTGATGGCCAGTCATTTGCTTGGCTTCCTAGCCTTCAGAGGTTTTTAAAAGTGTAAAATTTTTAGAGTTTCAACAAAGCAGACCTAAGGAAAGCCTATAAAATCAACCACTATTCTTGCTGCACTTATGTAAACAATCAAGCAAGTTTAATGAGACTAAACTTATTTTGGAAAGAAATTAGTCTTATTGTCATTGTCTTTGGCAGAAATGAGAGTGAATGTAGAGAGAAAAATCGTGTTTCAGTAGAAAACTATAGCACGTGTGGATATCAAATACTAGCCCTGTTCATTGTCTTTGAGGTTTTATTATCTACTTGTAAACTGGATGTGTAAACCTGAATTAATCTACTTTCCTCCAATGTCTAGCTATGATTCTCCAAACAAACATGTCCAATTTTCCACCCTTGTGACTTGAAATCACTAATAACACTAACTGCCTGTATTGGCTGGGCATGGTGGCTCACACCTGTAATCCCAACACTTTGGGAGGCCCAGGGGGGTGGATCACGAGGTCAGGAGTTCAAGACTAGCCTGGACAAAATGGTGAAACCCCATCTCTACTAAAAAAAATTAGACTGGGTGTGGTGGCTCATGCCTGTAATCCCAACACTTTGGGAGGCCCAGGGGAGTGGATCACGAGGTCAGAAATTCAACACCAGCCTGGACAAAATGGTGAAACTCCGTCTCTACTAAAAAAGTATTAGACCGGGTGTGGTGGCTCATGCCTGTAATCCCAGTACTTTGGGAGGCCAAGGCAGGTGGATCATGAGGTCAGGAGTTTGAGACCAGCCTGGCCAATATGGTGAAACCACGCCTCTACTAAAAATACAAAAAATATTAGCCAGGTGTGGTGGCACGTACCTGTAGTAGTCCCAGCTACTCAGGAGGCTGAGGCAGAAGAATTGCTTGAACCCAGGAGGCAGAGGTTGCAGTAAGCCGAGATCACACCACTGCACTCCAGCCTGGGCAACACAGCGAGACTCTGTCTCAAAAACAACAACAACAACAACAACAACAACAACAGCAACAACAATAACAAAAAACTAAAAAAATTAGCCAGGCACAGTGGCAGGCACCTGTAATCCCAGCTACTCGGGAGGCTGAGGCAGGAGAATCACTTGAACCCAGGCAGCAGAGGTTGCAGTGAGCTGAGATCATGCCACTGCACTCCAGTCTGGGCCACAGAGCGAGGCTCTGTCTTAAAAAAAAACAAAAACAAACAAACAAACAAAGAACAGAACAAAACAAAACAAAACAAAAAACTGCCTGTATTAGTCAGGGTTCTCTAGAGAGAAAGAACTAATAGGATATATATTATATATATATCCATAAACATATCCATATATATAATATATATCCTTATATATATCCATATATATAATATATATCCTTATATATCATATATAATATATATCCTTATATATATCCATATATATAATATATATATCCATTATATATATCCATATATAATATATATATCCATTATATATAATATATATCCTTATATGTATCCATATATATAATATAGATCCTTATATAGATCCATATATAATATATATCCTTATATATCCATATATTATATATAATCCTTATATATATCCATATATATCCATATATATCCATATATATATCCATATATATCCATATATATCCATATATATATCCATATATATATCCATATATATCCATATATATATCCATATATATATCCATATATATCCATATATATCCATATATATCCATATATATATCCATATATATCCATATACATATCTCCATATATATCCATATATATCTCTCCATATATATCCATATATATATCCATATATATATCCATATATATCCATATATCTATCCATATATCTATCCATATATATCTATCCATATATATCCATATATATCTATCCATATATATCCATATATACATCCATATATATCCATATATACATCCATATATATCCATATATACATCCACATATATATATCCATATATACATCCACATATATATATCCATATATATGCACATATATATCCACACATATATCCATATATATCCACATATATATCCATATATATACACATATATATCCATATATATCCACATATATATCCATATATATATCCATATATATATCCATATATATATCCATATATATATCCATATATATATGGATATATATATATATATAAGGGAGTTTATTAAGGTGTATTAAACTCACAGGATCACAAGTTCCCATATAGGCCGTCTGCAAGCTGAGGAGCAAGGAAGCCAGTCTGAGTTCCAAAGCTGAAGACCTTGAAGTCCAATGTTTGAGGGCAGGAAGCATCCAGCATGAAAGAAAGATATAGGCTAGGAGGCTAGGCCAGTCTAGTGTTTTCATGTTTTTCTGCCTGCTTTATATGCTAGTTGTGCTGCCAGCTGATTAGATGGTGCCCACCCAGATTAAGGGTGAGTCTGCCTTTCACAGCCCACTGACTCCAATGTTAATCTCCTTTGGTAACACCCTCATAGACACACCCAGGATCAATACTTTGCATCCTTCAATCCAATCAAGTTGACACTCAGTATTAACCATCACACTGCCCTTTTCCCAAAGCTCTGCAAGTTTATATCAAGTGGAAAACTTGATATAAACTTTAGAGACATCACCATAACAACTCAGGTATGGACAACCTTCGTGCCTAATGCTGTATGGGCCACTCAGAAAATTCACTATGATACCACCACAACACTCAAATTACAAGATATGCTTCAAGCCTCAAATCTATAAATCTCCACTGTCTGCTCTCCAGACTCAGAAACTGAGTTTATAATTTGCTCCAACCATTAACCTTTGTTTTTCTTTTGTTTCCATAGAAATGTTCTTATTAAATTATTCTTTTTTTTTTTTTTTTTTTGAGATGGGAGTCTTGCTCTGTCACAGGCTGAAGTGCAGTGGTGCAATTTTGGCTCACTGCAACCTCTGCCTCCTGGGTTCAAGCAATTCTCCTGCCTCAGACTCCCAAGTAGATGGGATTACAGGCAGGTGCCACCACGCCCAGCTAATTTTTGTATTTTTAGTAGATACGGGGTTTCACCATGTTGGCCAGGATAGTCTTGGTCACCTGACCTCATGATATGCCCGCCTCGGCCTCCCAAAGTGCTGGGATTACAGGCGTGAGCCACCATGCCTGGCCTAAATTATTATTATTACCATATAGAGGCCTAATTTTGGTGGGAGCCCACCTGCCACATTCAAATGGACAGAGTCATTTAAGTGGACTGAACTATTCCCCAAACTGAGAGACTAGTTCAATGGATTATGGAACAATCTATCAACTCAGCTTTTGGACTGTGAAATTTCTTGGGGAAGTGTCATAAGAGGGAATGCTGGGGTTCAAGACATGCTACCCAAAATATGCTACCTTGGTATACTGAATAACAGCAGGAGCAGAAAGGTCACTCTCACCCTCCTCCCACCCTTCTTCCCTGAAGCAGGTCATAAAATCTAGGAAGAATTTTCTGACCTCCCCCTAAAGCTCGTCATAAGACCCTCATATAAGAGGTGTCTTTTCTGTAGCTTTAGGGAAGGAATATTCTTCTCTCTGAAGATGAAGTGTGACAGAGAAAAGTCTGAACAAACAGGTCTTTTTAATTTTAATTTTAATTTTAATTTTAATTTTTAGAGATGAGATCTTGCTATATCACTCAGGCTAGAGTACAGTGGCATGATCATAGCTCACTGCAGCCGTGAACTCCTGAGCTCAAGAGATCCTCGTGTCTCAGCGTCCTGGGTAGCTGAGACCACAAGTGACTCATTACCATACCTGGCTATTCTTTATTATTATTTTAAGAAACAGGGTCTTGCTATATTGGCTAGGCTAATCACAGGCATGATCATAGTGTACTTCAGCCTTGAACTCCTGACCTCAAGCAACCCTCCTGCCTCAGCCTTCTGAATAGCTGGGACTACAAGTGCACACCACCATGCCTGACTTGATGATTCTTTATTTCAGATCCTGCCTTTTCTTTCTGCCCTTGGATTCGACAATTCCAGACTATCCCAGTTCTCTTGCAAAGCCTTAGACTCTGGTTCCTGATTGTTCCTATGTCCATACAACACAGGTCAGCCAGGTGAGGTGATTCATGCTTGTAATCCCAGCACTTTAGGAGTCCGAGGCAGGTGGATTGCTTGAGCTCAGGAGTTTAGAGACCAACCTGGGCAACATGGAAAAATCCTGTCTCTACAAAAAAACACACACACAAAATTAGCTGGGCACGGTGGCATGTGCCTGTAGTCCTGGCTACTCAGGAGGCTGTGATGGGAGGATAGCTTGAGCCTGGGAGGCAGAGGTTGCAGTAACCTGTGATCACTCCACTGTACTCCAGCCTGGGTGACAGAGCCAGACCCTGTCTCAAAAAACATAAACAAAAACAAACAAACAAACAAACAAAAAAAGACGTAGGTCATCATTCTCCACCCACTTCTTTTTCCAGCCTCATCTTGCATGAGATACTGAGCCCTTAAAATGGAGCTAGTTCAAGTTGAGATATCCTTTAAATTATAGTCAATAAACCAATGTAACATATTAACAAGACTAAAAAAGAAAAACTGTATGGTAATCTCTCAATACATGCAGAAAAAGCATGTAACAAAGTCCAATATCCATTTCAGACCTAAAACAAATGTCAGGCCAGGCGTGGTGGCTCATGTCTATGATCCCAGCACTTTGGGAGGCCAAGGCAGGAGGATTGCTTGAGCCCAGGAGTTCAAGATCAGCTTGGGCAACACAGGGAGACCCTGTCTCTAGAAACAAATTAAAACATTAGTCGAGCATGGTGGTGCATACCTGTGGTCCCAGCTAGTTGGGAGGCTAAGGTGGGAGGATCACTAGAGCCTAGAAGGCCGAGGCTACAGTGAGCCATGATAGCACCACTGCACTGCAGCCTGGGCTACCAAGTGAGACCCTTTCTCAAAAAAAAAAAAAAAAAAAAAACAAATAAATAAAAATTAGACCAGGCCAAGTGGCTCACGCCTGTGATCCCAGCACTTTGGGAGGCCGAGGTGGGCACATCACAAGGTCAGGAGATCCTGGCCAACATGGTGAAACCCTATCTCTACTAAAAATACAAAAATTAGCTGGGCATGGTGGCACATGCCTGTAGTCCCAGCTACTCGGGAATCTGAGGCAGGAGAATTGTTTGAACCTGGGAGGTGGAGGTTGCAGTGAGCTGAGATTGCACCACTGCACTCCAGCCTGGTGACAGAGTGAGACTCTGTCAAGACTCCGTCTCAAAAAAAAAAAAAAAAAAAAAAAATTAGTTGGGCATGGTGACACAAGTCTGTAGTCCCAGCTACTCGAGAGGCTGAGGTGGGAGGATCCTTTGAGGCCAGGAGTTAAAAGTTGCAGTGAGCTATGATTGCTCCCCTGCACTCCAGCTGGGCAACAGAACGAGACCCTGTCTCGAAATATATAAATAAATAAGTAAACGTATGTCAGTGAATTAGAAATAAAATGGATTTTCTCAATGTGATATAAAGCATCTACATAAAACATACAGATAATATCATGAATGGTAAAAGATTAAAGGTTTTTCCCTAAGTATAGGAACAAGGCAAAGATATCCATTCTCATACATTTTTTTCTTTTCTTTTTTTTTTTTTTTGAGATGGAGTCTTGCTCTGTCACCCAGGCTGGAGTGCAGTGGCTCGATCTCGGCTCACTGCAAGCTCTGCCTCCCAGGTTCACGCCATTCTCCTGCCTCAGCCTCCCAAGCAGCTGGTAATACAGGCACCCGCCACCATGCCCAGCTAATTTTTTGTATTTTTAGTCGAGACTGGGTTTCACCATGTTAGCCAGGATGGTCTCGATCTCCTGACTTCGTGATCCGCCAGCCTCAGCCTCCCAGAGTGCTGGGATTACAGGCGTGAGCCACTGCACCTGGCCCAAATTTTTTTTTTCAATATTGTACTAGGAGTTCTAGCCAGTGCAATAAGGCAAGAAAAAAAAAACTGGAAAGATTCAAATTGTGAAGGAAGTGGTAAAACTGCTTATATCTGATTGCTCAAACAGAAAATCCTTTGACATTAAAAAAAAGAAAGTTACTAGAACTGGAAAATAAATTTGGAAAGTCACCAGGATACAAGATTAACATACAAAAATCAATTTCTTTCTTTTCTTTTCTTTTCTTTTTTTTTGAGACAGAGTTTTGCTCTTGTTGGCCAGGCCACAGTGCAATGGCATAATCTTGGCTCACTGCATCCTCTGCTTCTCGGTTTCAAGCAATTCTCCTGCCTCAGCCTCCTGAGTAACTGGGATTACAGGTGTCCGTCACTATGCCTGGCTAATTTTTGTATTTTTAGTAGAGATGGGGTTTCACCATGTTGGCTGGGCTGGTCTCGAACTCCTGACCTCAGGTGATCTACCTGCCTTGGCCTCCAAAGTGCTGGGATTACAGATGTGAGCCACCATGCCTGGCCAATTTTATTTCTTTTTTTTTTTTTGAGACAGAGTCTTGCTGTGTAGCCCAGGCTGGAGTGCAGTGGTGCAATCTCAGCTCACTGCAAGCTCCGCCTCCTGGGTTCATGCCATTCTCCTGCCTCAGCCTCCCAAGTAGCTGGGACTACAGGCGCCCGCCACCATGCCTGGCTAATTTTTTATATTTTTAGTAGAGACGGGGTTTCACCGTGTTAGCCAGGATGGTCTCGATCTCCTGACCTCGTGATCCACCCGCCTCGGCCTCCCAAAGTGCTGGGATTACAGGCGTGAGCACCGCATCCTGCCCCAATTTTATTTCTTTATGCTAGTAATAAACAATCAAAAACTGAAACTAGAAATCCAGTTACAATAATATATTTTAAAAATACATCAAAACATATAAAATGCTTAGGGAATATTCTGGTAAAAGATTTGCAAGACATATCTAGTAAAATGCTACAAAACATTGATAGAAGGAATTAAAAGTCTTTTTTTAATTTATTTTTTCATTGTAAAATCATGAGCCAAAAAAAGACCATAACTAAATAACTGAAGACCATAACATTTATATGGAAATGCAAATAACCTAGATTAGGAAAAATGACTCTGAAAAAGGGCAAAGTTGGAGAACTGATACTATCTGACTTAAGATTCATTACAAATTCATGGAAGTCAAGATAATGTGATTATAGATAGCATCAATATAGGCAAATAGGGCAAGTAGAAATAAACCCATACATATATGGTCTCTTGATTGTGAACAAAAGGTCAAGTACAAGTCAGTGTCTTTTTAACAAATGGAACTAGAAAAATTGAATATCCATGTGCAAAAAAAAAGTTTCAATGCATACTTGGTGCCATGTACAAACATTAATTAAGAATGGATCAGAGACATAAATTTGAACCTAAAACTATAAACATTTAGAAGAAAACATAGGAAAAATATTGTAGTCTTGGACTAGGCATAGTTCTTACATATGATATAAACAATTCATAAAGAAAATTTTAAAAATTTGATTTTTTCAAAAAATTTAGAACTCTTTCTCTTCAAAAAACACTGCTAAGGAATGAAAAGACTAGCCAGACACTGAGAAGTGTATTTGCTAATCACATATCTGATAAAGCACTTATATCCAGAAAGGAAATTATTTCAGAGAAGAAATCAGTGCTTGTTTTGGGATGGATGAGCTAGGTGGGGAATTGCAAAGGAGCACAGGAGAACTTTTTTTTTTTTTTTTTGAGATGGAGTCTCACTCTTTCACCCAGGCTGTAGTGCAGCAGCACAGTCTCCTCTTACTGCAACCTCTGCCTCCTGGGTTCAAGTGATTCTCATGCCTCAGCCTTCTGAGTAGCTTGCATTACAGGTGAGCACCACAACACCCAGCTAATTTTTTGTATTTTTAGTAGAGACGGGGTTTCACCATGTTGGCCAGGCTGGTTTCGAATTTCTAACCTCAGGTGATCCACCCACCTCAGCCTTTGGGATTACAGGTGTGAGCCACTGCACCCGGCCAGGAGAACTTTTGAGGTAAATATAGGATATTTTCATTACTTGATTGTACTGATGTGGTTTCATGGATATATAAAACTTATTAAATTGTATACTTTATATTATATATGGTTTATTGTATACCAGGTAAACTCAGTAAAACATAAAAATATAAAAACTTACTACATTTCAAAGACAATATTATAAAAATCTTCACAATAATTTTTATACTGATTACAGCCTGAAATAACATTTTGGATCTATTAAAGTTAATTTCACCTGCTTCTTTTCAACTTACTAATCTAGCTTCTACAATTTAAAATTTGGTACATAAGCAAACTGCAATTAAGTGAGAAATCAATAATAAAATATAGCACCCCAAACATCCTATATAAATAAGGAAACTTCAAAATGTATTTGTGTAGAAGCACTTCTAGAATAATGGAGTAATTGAGGCTGGGCACAGTGGCTCATGCCTGTAATCCCAGCGCTTTAGGAGGTTGAGGTGGATGGATCACTTGAGGTTAGGAGTTCGAGACCAGCCTGGCCAACATGGTGAAATCCCATCTCTATTAAAAAAAAAAAAATTAGCTGGGCATGGCAGTGCACGCCTGTAGTCCAGCTACTTGGGAGGCTGAGGCAGGAGACTCACTTGAACCTGGGAGGCAGAGGTTGCAGTGAGCCAAGATCGTGCCACTGCACTCCAGCCTAGGTGACAGAGCAAGACTCCATCTTGAAAAAAAAAAGAATAATGGAGTAAGGACCTATGAAAATCTGTTCATTCATAAAAGGAACTTGTCTAAAAATTGTCCAAATCAAATTGTTCAAAACATTAGAAATTAACCAAAAACTTGCAGTATCTTAGAAGCATTTATTCAAGAAAAACTGATGGACTGGGCACAGTGGCTCATGCCTGTAATCCCAGCACTTTGGGAGGCTGAGGCAGGCACATCACTTGAGGTTAGGAGCTCAAGACCAGCCTGGCCAACATGGCGAAACCCCGTCTCTACTAAAAACACAAAAATTAGCTGGGCATTGTGGCACGTGCCTGTATTCCCAGCTATTTAGGAGGCCGAGGCAGGAGAATTGCTTGAACCTGGGAGGCAGAGGTTGCTGTGAGCCGAGATCACACCATTTCACTCCAGCCCGGGTGACAGAGGGAGACTCTGTCTCAAAACAAAACAAAGCAAAAACAAAAAAAGCAAAAAACAAACAAAAAAAAAAACCCTGCTGAATATCAGAAAGAACAGTGAGTTTTGTAGCTTTTAAGTTACACTATTTCCATTCTATGCTCTTTAGTTTCAGGGTAGGCTTAACTTTTATCCCCAGAGAATTGTCACTATTTAACCTGTGGCAGCTCCCTGAAAATCTCCATTCCCAAGGCCTGTCTTTATTTGACCTGAGTAGGCTCACTATGTGTGACTAGCTTTATCCCTAGGGCATTTGTTGAAAACAATCAGTGGCAATCATTTAACACTGCAGATGCCTGAGGCAGTGATACCAGTTAGAGCTAACAAGGTGACCCACCTTGTTACCCACCAAAAAACAATTAAAAAGGAAAACTGTGGAATGAGATGTTCATGTGAAAATTTGCAAAGGTTAAACATATTACTGGAAACCTAAAAGGCCATGTGCAAGTCCAATGCTCTGCTCATGTCTAGAATGAATCTTGAGGGTTCTGCATAAGCAGGAAGTGAAGGCTAAGGCACAGGGCTGGAGCTTTGAAAACATTCCAACACACGCACAGAGCAGTGCTTAATTTGAAATTTATAACGGTAGACACCTATATTTAAAAAGAAGAAAGGGCTGGGTACAGTGGCTCATACCTGTAATCCTAGAACATTGAGAGGCTGAGGCAGAAGGATCACTTGATGCCAGGAGTTTGAGACCAGCGTGGGCAACATAGTGAGACCCCATCTCTATAAAATTTTTAAAAATTAGCTGGACATGGTGGCATGCACCTGTAGTCCCAGCTACTTAGGAGGCTGAGGCAGGAAGATCCCTTGGGCCTAGGAGTTCGAGGTTGCAGTGAGCTATGACCATGCTACTGCACTCCAGCCAGGGAGGCAGAGCGAGATCCTGTCTCTGCAAAAAATAAAAAAGAAAGAAATCTCATAATTGAAAATCCAGGCCCACTTGACTTCTCAGCTGAAGTCTACCAAATCTTTTTTTTTTTTTGAGACGGAGTTTCATTTTTGTGGTCCAGGCTGGAGTGCAGTGGCGCAATCTCGGCTCACTGCAACCTCCACCTCCCAGGTTCAAGTGATTCTCCTATCTCAGCCTCCCAAGTAGCTGGGACTACAGACATGCACCATCATGCCTAGCGCATTCGTATTTTTAGTAGAGACGGGTTTTCATCATGTTGGCCAGGCTGGTCTTGAACTCCTGATCTCAGGTGATTCACCCACCTCAGCCTCCCAAAGTGCTGGGATTACAAGTGTGAGCCACCACACCCAGCCCAAGTCTACCAAATTTTTGAAGAAGAATTAACACCTGTACTTCACAAACTCTCAAAAAATAAAAGAGGAGGGAACACTCCCTAAAACATTCTTTGCCAGTATTATACTGTTATCAAGACCAGACAAAAACACCACATGGAAGGAACATTTTTTTTTTTTTTTGTCTGAGACAGGTTCTCATTCTGTCTCAGAATGCACTCTCAGGCTAGAGTGCAATGGCCCTATCTCAACTCAATGCAGCCTCAACATACCAGACTCAAGCAATCGTCCCACCTCAGCCTTCCCAGTAGCTGGTACTACAGGTGCTTGTCACCATAGCCAGCTAATATTTTTTATTCTTTGTAGAAACAGAGTCTCCCTATGTTGTCCAGTCTGGTCTCAAATTCCTGGGCTCAAGCAATACTCCCTCCTTGGCTTCCCAAAGTGCTGAGATTACAGGCATGAGCCACCACACCTGGCCCAGGTTAATGGTTAGTGGATACAAAAAAATAGAAAGAGTAAATAAGACCTACTATTTGCTAGCACAACAGGGTGATTATGGTAAAAAATTAATTTAATTGTCCATTTAAAAATAACTAAAAGAGGAGTGCAGTGACTCATACCTGTAATCCCAACACTTTGTGAGGCCAAGGCAGGCAGATCACTTGAGCTCAGAAGTTAGAGATCAGCCTGGGCAACATAATCAAACCCCATCTCTACAAAAAATACCAAAGTTAGCCGAGCATGGTAGTGTGCATCTGTAGTCCCAGCTACTTGGGAGGCTGAGGCAGGAGGCTCAAGCTCTACTTGAGCTCCAGGGCTCAAGGCTACAGTGAGCTGTGACTGTGCCATTGCACTCCAGCCTGGGCAACACAGTGAGATTTTAAAAAATGCATAACTAGGCCGAGTGCGGTGGCTCACCTCTGTAATACCAGCACTTTGGGAGGCCGAGGTGGGTGGATCACCTAAGGTCAGGAGTTCAAGACCAGCCTGGCCAACAGGGCAAAACCCTATCTCTATTAAAAACACAAAAATCAGCTGGGTGTGGTGGCAGGTGCCTGTAATCCCAGCTAGTTGGGAGGCTGAGGCAGGAGAATTGCTTGAACCTGGGAGGCAGAGGTTGCAGTGAGCTGAGATGGCACCACTGCACTCCGACCTGGGTGACAGAGCGAGAATCTGTCTCAAAAAAAAAAAAAAGCGTAATTAAAAGAGTGTAATTGGATTGTTTGAAACACAAAGGATAAGGGCTGGAGGTGATGCATACCCCATTTACCCTGATGTGATTATTACACATTGCATGCCTGTATCAACATATCTCATGTAAGCCGTAAATATACACACCCACTATGCACCCACAAAAATTAAAAATTAATTTTTTTTTAAGAGTTAGGGACAGATGCCTGGGCGCAGACTCACACTTGTAAACCCAGCACTTTGGGAGGCCAAGGTGGGCGGATCGCGAGGTCAGGAGTTTGAGACCAGCCTGGCCAACACAGTGAAACCCCATCTCTACTAAAAATACAAAAATTAGCTGGGCAGGAGGCTGAGGCAGGAGAATTGCTTGAGCCTGGGAGGTGGAGGTTACAGTGACCTGAGATCATGCCACTGCACTCCAGCCTGGGTGACAGAGGTAGACTGTTTCAAAAAAAAAAGTTAGGGACAGACAAAAACTTTATTAACTGATAAAGGACATTGATGAAGAAAATTACACTAACATACTGTATGATGAAAAACTAAATGCTTTTTTTCAAGTATCAGGAACAAAGCAAGGAGGTATATTTTCATCACTTCCACTCAACGTAGCACTGGAGTGAGATCAAAAAAATTACCAAGGTTGGAAGGAAAGAAGTTAAATTGTCTTTAATGGCAATAACATAAACTTTTATGTAAAAAAACCTATTGTATCTACAAAAAAACACCAAAACTAATGTGTTTACCAAGGTTGCAAGATATAAGAGCAATACACAAAAATCAATTGTATTTCTATATACTGTCAATGAAAAAAATCAAGAAATTACAATTGGAAAATATCATTCACAACAGCATCAAACAGAATAAACTAATTACCAATAGATTTACTGAAAGAAGTGCAAGACTTATTCAATGGAAACTACAAAACATTATTGAAAGAAATGTAGCCAGGTGCAGTGGCTCACATCTGTAATCCCAGCACTTTGGGAGGCCGAGGCAGATGGATCACCTGAGGTCAGGAGTTCGAAACCAGCCTGGTCAACATGGCAAAACCCCGTCTCTACTAAAAAATACAAAAATTAGCTGGGAATGGTGGCGGGCGCCTGTAATCCCAGCTACTCGGGAGCCTGAGGCAGGGAGAATTGCTTGAACCCAGGAGGCAAAGGCAGGGAGCCAAGATCACTCCACTGCACTCCAGCCTGGGCAACAAAGTGAGACTCTGTCTCAAAAAAAAGAGAAAGAAATGTAAAGACCTAAGTAAATGAAAAGATAGCCCATACTCATGGACTGGAATACTTAACATTGTTTAGATAGCAGTACTTTCCAACTTGATCTACAGACTGAATCCAATAGCTGTAAAACCTCAGCTGCCATTTTTAAAGAATTGGACAAGCTAATCCTAAAATTCATATGGAAATGCAAGGAACCCAGAATAGTGAAAGCAATCTTGAAAAAAAGTAACTAAGTTGGAGTTACTTACACACTTCCCAATTTCAAAACTTACTAAAAGCTACAGTAATCAAGATAGTGTGGTATTGGCATAAAGGCAGATACATAGATCAATGGAATAGCACTGAGAATCTACAAGTAAATTCTTCCACTTATGGTCAATTGATTTTTGACAAGCATGCCAAAAAAATCAGTAGAAAAACAATAGTCTTTTCTTTTTTTTGAGACCGAGTCTCGCTCTGTTGCCAGTCAGGAGTTGAGTGGCACAATCTCAGCTCACTGCAACCTCCACCTCCCAGGTTCAAGCGATTCTCCTGCCTCAGCTTCCCGAGTAGCTGGGACTACAGGCATGTGCCACCACACCCAGCTAATTTTTTTGTATTTTTAGTAGAGATGGGGTATCACCATGTTGGCCGGGATGGTCTTGATCTCTTGACCTCATGATCTGCCTGCCTTGGCCTCCCTAAGTGCTGGGATTACAGGCGTGAGTCACCGCGCCTGGCCAACAATAGTTTTTTCAATGTATGTTCCTGGGACAACATGATATCCACATGCGCAAGAATGACACCTACAAACATGAAATTGAATCTCACACCACTTACAAAAATTAACCAAAAACAGATAATCAATTTATAAGAGTTAAAACATAAATCTCTTAGAAAAAAATCTAGGGGGATATCTTTGTGACCTTGTGTTAGGCAATGATTTCTTAGAGAGGACACCATAAGCACAAGCTATAAAATAGGAAAGAGATAATTAAACTTCATCAAAAGTAAAAACTTTTGAGCTTTAAAAACTCCCCAAGAAAGTGAAAAGACAACCCACTTGAGTGGGAGAAAATATTTGCAAATTATATACCTGATAAATGTTTAGTATCCTTAATATATAAAGAATTCTTGCAGCTGGGCACGGTAGCTCACGGCTGTAATCCCAGCACTTTGGGAGGCTGAGGCGGGTGGATCACCTGAGGTTAGGAGTTTGAGACTAGCCAGGCCAACATGGTGAAACCCTATCTTTACTAAAAATACAAAAATTAGCTGGGCATGGTGGCACATACCTGGAATCCCAGCTACTTGGGAAGGTGACACAGGAGAATCACTTGAACCCAGGAGGCAGAGGTTGCAGTGAGCCGAGATTGTGCCACTGCATGCCAGCCTGGGTGACAGAGCAAGACTCTGTCTCAAAAAAAAAAAAAAATTATTGCAACTCAACTACAACAAAAAGATGGCCCAATTAAGAAATGTGCAGGCCGGGCGCGGTGGCTCACGCCTGTAATCCCAGCACTTTGGGAGACCGAGGCAGGTGGATCACCTAAGGTTGGGAGTTCGAGACCAGCCTAACCAACACAGAGAAACCCTGTCTCTACTAAAAATACAAAAATTAGCCGGGTGTGGTGGCGCATGCCTGTAATCCCAGCTACTTGGGAGGCTGATGCAAGAGAATTGCTTGAACTTGGGAGGCGGAAGTTGTGGTGAGTCGAGATCGTGTCATTGCACTCCAGCCTGGGCAACAAGATTGAAACTCTGTCTCAAAAAAAAAAAAAAAAAAAAAAAAAAAAAAAGAAAGAAAAAGAAAAAAAGAAAAGAAATGGGCAAAGGATTTTTTTTTACAGCAAAGAAAGCAGCAAAAGTTTATTAAGCACAGTATTACACTCTCACAGGGGGAGAGCGGACTGATCTCAGCAAGATGAGATCAGCCAAGAAATTGGCAAAGGATTTAAATAGTCATGACTACAAACAACATATACAGTAAGCCCTTCATATCCATGGGTTCTACATTTGCAGTTTCAATTAACAGCAGATTGAAAATATTTGGGGCTGGGCACAGTGGCTCATGCCTGTAATCTCAGCACTTTGGGAGGTTGAGGCAGGTGGATCACTTGAGCTCAAGTGTTTGAGACCAGCCTGGGCAACAAGGCGAGTCTTCGTCTTTCAAAAAAAAAAAAAAAAAAATTAGCCAGGTGTGGTGGTGCATGCCTGTAACCCCAGCTGCTCCAGAGGCTGTGGTGGGAGGATTCCTTGAGCCCAGGAGGTTGAGGCTGCCATGAGCCATGATCATGCCACTGCACTTCAGCCTGGGTGACAGAGTGAGACCCTGTCTCAAGGGAAAAAATACATATTTGGGAAAAAATAAAATAAAGATAACATACAACAATAAAAAATAATACAAATTAAAAAATACAGTACAACACCTAGTTAGACCATATTTACATTATGTTAGGTATTGTAAGTAATCTAGAGATAATCTAAAGTATATGGGATGGGCCTGGTGAGGTGGTTCACACCTGTAATCCCAGCACTTTGGGAGGCTGAGGCGGGTGGATCACCTGAGGTGAGGAGTTCAAGACCAGCCTGGCCAACATGGTAAAACCTGTCTCTACTAAAAATATAAAAATTAGCCAGGCATGGTGGCAGGTGCCTGTAATCCCAGCACTTTGGGAGGCTGAGGTGGGAGGATTACTTGAGCCCAGGAGTTCAAGATCAGCCTGGGGAACAAAGTGAGACCCCCGTCTACCTCAAAAATCAAAACTGAGGCTTAGGCAGGAGAATTACTTGAACTTGGGAGGCAGAGGTTGCAGTGAGCCAAGATCATGACACTGCACTCCAGCCTCGGCAACAGAGTGAGACTCCATCTCAAAAAATAAATAAATAAATAAATAAATAAAAATAAAGTGTATGGGAGGATGTTCATAGGCTATATGCAAATACTATGCCATTCTGTATAAGTGAGACGAGCATCCTTGCATTTTGGTATCATCGTGTGTTTCTGAAACCAATCTTTTGCAGATACCAAGGGAAGACTATGTAAGTAGCCAATAAATACAAAAAAAGATGTTCAATATCAGTGGGCATTAGAAAAACTCAACTGAAACTCCAATGAGATGCCACTTACGATAGTACCACAATGAGATATTAGAATGGCTATAATAAAAAAAGACCAACAATAAATATTGGATAGCATGTGTAGAAATTAGAACCCTCATATATTGCTGATGGACATGTAAAATGGTGCTGCCCCTTCAAAAAAAAGTCTGGGGCCAGGCATGGTAGCTCACACTTGTAATTTCAACAGTTTAGGAGGTCGAGGTGGGAGGATCGTTTGAGGCCAGGAGTTCAAGACTAGCCTGAGCAACATAATGAGACCCCATCTCTACGAAAAAAGTTTTAAAAAACGAGCTGGTTGTTGTGGCACGCACCTGTGGTACCAGCTACTCGGGAGGCTGAGGCGAGAGGATTGCTTGAGCCCAAGTGGTCAAGGTTGCAGTGAGCCATGGTCATGTCACTGCACTCCAGCCTGGACAACAGAGGAAGATCCTGTGTCAAAAACAAACAAACAAAAAAAAACAAAAAAAGTCTAGCGTTTCTTCTTCAAATAGTTAATCACAGAGTTACCATATGCTCCAGCAATTCCACTCCTAGATACACATACTCAAGATGAATGATTAAAACGTATCTACACAAAAACTTATGCCCAAATTCTCATATTTTTATTTTTTATTTATTTTTACTTTATTAACATTATTTTTATTTATTATTTTAAAGACAGCTCTTGCTCTGTTGCCCAGGCTGGGGTGTAGTGGTGGGAATACAGCTCACTGCAGCCTCAACCCTCCTGGGATGAAGCTATCCTACCTCCTCAGCCTGCCTCCCAAATAGCTGGGACTACAGACATGCACTGCCCCAGATAATTTTTTTTATTTTTGGGGTAGACGGGGGTCTCACTTTGTTCCCCAGGCTGATCTTGAACTCCTGGGCTCAAGTAATCCTCCCACCTCAGCCTCCCAAAGTGCTGGGATTACAGGCATGAGGCACTGTGCCCAGACAACAACATTATTTTAATAGCCCAAAGGTGTAAAAAAAGCAAATGCCTATCAACCAATTAATCTGGAATGTTATTTGAAATATAATAAGTGGCATATATTCTATACGGGATATTATTTGGCCATAAAAAGGAATGAAGTGCTGATACATAGAACAAGATGGGTGAAACTTGAAAACGTTATGCCAAGTGAAAGAAGCCAGTCACAAAGGACCATCCATATATTATATCATTCCATTTATATGCAATGTCCAGATTAGGGAAATCTTTAGAGATGGAAAGTAGATTAGTAGTGGCCTAGGACAGGGAGTGGGGTAGTGGTGATGGGGTGAAGGCTAAACAGTGTGAGGTTTTTTTTTTTTTTGAGGGTAACAAAATATTCTAAAATGGGTTGTATTAATGGATACATCATTGTGAATATATTAGTAGCTATTAAATTGTATACTTCAAAAAAATTAAAAATGGGCCAGACATGGTGGCTCATGCCTGTAATCCCAGCATTTTGAGAAGCAGATAGGAGAATCCCTTTTGTCCAGGAGTTTGAGGCTAGCCTGGGCAACATAGCAAGACCTTGTCTCTACAAATAATTTTTAAAAATTAACTGGGAGTGGTGGCGTGTACCTATGGTCCCAGCTACTCGTGAGGCTGAGGAGGGAGGATTGCATGAGCCCAGGTGTTCAAGGCTGCAGTGAACCATGATCATGCCACTGCACTCCAGCCTCAGCAATGGAGCAAGACTTCATCTCAAAAAAAAATTTTAATTAATTAATTAAAATTAAAAGTTATTAGGACATTTGAATTTTTCGAATACTTATTAATAACAGTTTGACTTGTTTCGTGATTGTTCATAATTATTATAATACTATTCTATTATTAAATGGGAGCCTATTTCTCACCACCAATCTTTCAATACAGTGATCCCATTCTTTTTTTTTTTTTTTTTTTTGTGAGAGTCTCATTCTGTCACCCAGGCTGGAGTGCAGTGGTGTGATCTCAGCTCACTGCAACCTCCACCTTCCGGGTTCAAGTGATTCTCTTTCTTCAGCCTCCCGAGTATCTGGGATTACAGGCACCTGCCACCCTGCCCGGCTAATTTTTGTATTTTTAGCAGAGACAGGGTTTCACCAGTTTAGCCAGGCTGGTCTGGAACTCCTGACCTCAGGTGATCCACCCGCTTCGGCCTCCTAAAAGTGCTGGGGTTACAGGAGTGAGCCACAGCACCCAGCCGATCTCTTTATTTTTGAATCTCTATTTTGGCGATGCTCTTGATTAGCTAGAATCTTTGAGTGTTTTTTCAGGAAGAGTTATGGGTGGTACGTATCTTCAGACCCCTTGCATATCTGAATTTTGTTTGTGTTGTCTTCACATATGAAGTGACACCTTGACTAAATATAGAAGTCCTGGGACTCTACCTCTTTCTATCAAAATACAAGGATTTTGTTTTTTTACTTTCCAGTATCTAATGTTGTAGAAGAAAAAGTCTGAACATGATTTGATTCTTTTTGTTGTTCTTGACATTTGCTCTTGATTTTTGTTTTAGCTTGTGTATTTGTCTGATTCTTCTATTTTTTTCTTGACACATTCATTTCTCATTGACTTCTGGAAATAGATAATATTAGAATATAATGTTCATTCTTTTTTTTTTTTTTTTTTTTTTTTGAGATGGGATCTCACTCTGTCTCCCAGGCAGGAGTGCAGTGGCACAATCTCGGCTCACTGAAACCTCCACCTCCTGGGTTCAAGTGATTCTCCTGTCTCAGCCTCCTGAGTAGCTGATACTACAGGCATGCACCACCACACCTGGCTAATTTTTGTATTTTACTTTCGCCATGTTGGCCAGGCTGGTTTTGAACTCCTGACCTCAGATGATCCGCCCACCTCAGCCTCCCAAAGTGCTGGGATTACAGGTGTGAGCCACTGCACCCAGCATGAATATAATGTTCATTCTTCTAAGAATCTTAATGATTATTGAAGTCACTAAAATATCACATTATTTTAAAAACTAACTAGAAAACATATTTTTTTTAAATTTCAATATTCAAGAGACATTTTTATAGACACTGTGTTTAGATTTTTCAGTATTTTATTCTTGTATCCCACAAAAAATTATTATTTTGATTTGTAATAGTCTATTAGTGGCAAAGAGGTTTATTGATAAATGTTCAAAATAAACATGCTAGATTAAAAAATAATGCTACTAAATTATGATTTTCAAATTAATCATGCTCATTTTTGTCTGAGCTCTAAAGATAAATTTAGCTTGGTTGTCAACTAAGGCAATGAGAAGCAGAAATAAAAGGAGGCCAGCTGAGTGTGGTGGCCCACACTTGTAATCCCAGCATTTTGGGAGGCTGGGATGGGACGATCTCTTGAATCCAGGAGTTCAACACCAGCCATGGGCAACATAGTGGAGATGGGGTTTTACCATGTTGCCCAGGCTGGTCTGGAACTCCTGGGCTCAAGTGATCCTCCCACCTCGGCCTCCCAAAGTGCTGGGATTACAGGCGTGAGCCACCATTCCCGGCCTTAGCCAGTATTTCTAATTCTGTAATTCCTCTAATCTCTGAGGTCTGAGAAATTCTCTTCTGAATTTGAAAATCATAATAATTCACCAGAGAAAAATTATTATTTTAGGTTCAGCTGAGGAGTGTAGAACACAGTTATGACAGAAGTGCATGATTTGGTGGATTCTCTACCTCTCTGTTTTACAGTGTTTATTGTCATAGAAGAAGAAATCGTCAGAAGAAAGCCATAATTTTTAATAAGCCAGAGTTTAACAATTTACTTAAAATATACCAAAGTAGGATAATTTTACTGGTAAATAATAATGCAGACCGGGTGCCATGGCTCACACCTGTAATCTCAACACTTTGGGAGGCAGAGGCGGGAGGTTAGCTTGAACCCAGGAGTTCAAGACCAGCCTGGGCAACATGGCGAGAACCTGTCTCTACCAAAAAAAAAAAAAAAAAAAAAAAATTAGTCCGGTATGGTGGCACGTGCCTATAGTCCCAGCTCTCGGGAGGCCCTGGGAGGTCAAGGCTGCAGTGAGCTGAGATCACTCCACTGCACTCCAGCCTGGGTGACAGAGGCTTTTGATATAGACCCTGTATAAAAAAAGTAAAAATAAAAAATAATAATGCATATATTGGCTGGGTGCAGTAGCTCACACCTGTAATCCTAGCACTTTGGGAAGCAGAAACAGAAAGATCCCTGGATCCCAGGATTTCAAGGCTGCAGTGCACTATGATCATGCCACTGTGCTCCAGCCTGGGTGACAAAGCAAGGCCCTGTCCAAAAAAAAAGAAAAGAAAAGAAATGTTCTTTTTCTGAATCAAATTCTATGTTACATACTGCTCTTTCATTAGTATTAAAATATTTATTAAATATCCACATACATGTTCTGCCATACCAAATATGAGAGGAGGTAGAATACAAATCTATAGTGCTTATCTTCTTGTACTTTTCTTTCTCAAATAGATAATATATGTGACGACAGATTCTTAGCAGTGGATCAAAAAAAGAAAAAAACATACATATAAGTGAAGCCAGACATATAACAGACCAACTGGCACTTAACAAGCAGACCGCTGATTAACAAAAGAACTACCTATGTTTGTCTATGATAAACCCCCAGCTAAGTTCTAGCACCTCTTCTCTAATATACTGTTTATCCGTTCCTTGAATCATTGTCTATGGATCATTTGGAAGTAGCATGTGTCTAGATTCCCAATTCTGTTTCCAAATCTAATTCAATTAATAACTCCCTATTAATGGCATACAATGTGCTTTGTACCCTTCCTTATACTTTTAACCTAATATTTCTAAAACTTAATAATTTTTGCAATATCATGCTAACTGTGCGATTATTTAAAAAATAATTTTAAGTTGATTCATACTCCTTTCATTGTAATGCTTTTTTTAACCTAGTCCTAATCACTAATATCCATGGAAATGCAGATTTTTTTTTAATGTGTCTGTATTTCATCAACTAAAATAATCATGTGTCCCCCCTAGTGGTATGATAACCACACTTGAGTAACTACTGTGTTGAGTCTGCTTTGCTATCACCTAGTAAGAATGATAAATGTACCAACATAGAATCCTGTCCTATGGAACAGAAGCTGCTCTATCTTCCATCTCAAAAGGCAGTCTCATTTTTTTGGTAATCTCCTTTGAGTAGGCACATTCCAAAATACATATAGCAAAGAATATTTAAGGAACTCTTCTGAGTTTCTTAATTTAATATGTTCATATATTTCACAGATTAAAATATCTCTTTCAGAAAATTCAATACAAATATTAACCAGGTGTGGGGGCACATACCTGTAATCCTAGCTACTTGAGAGGTTGAGGCATAAAAATTGCTTGATTCCGGGAGGCAGAGGTTGCAGTGAGCTGAGATTGTACCCCTGCCCTCCAGCCTGGGTGACACAGTGAGACTCCATCTCAGAAAAAATTTAAAAAAAGAAAAGAAAATTCATCCTTGGGTTATTTTGTTTGTTTGTTTAAAGTTCTTCAGACTGATTTAGTAATGAATGAAATTTACTCTGATAATAACAACACAACTATGTCAGTCTCTTAATTCTTTTTTCCTGTAGAAATTAGGTCTTGCTATGTTGCCCAGGCTGGTCTCGAACTCCTGGCCTTAAGTGATCCTCCTGCCTTGGCCTCCCAAAGTGCTGGGATTACAGGTGTGAGCAACTGCATTTGTCCAATTTCTTTTTCTTTCTTTTTTTTTTTTTTTTGAGATAGAGTCTCACTCTGTTGCCAGGCTGGAGTGCAGTGGCGTGATCTCAGTTCACTGCAAACTCCACCTCCTGGGTTCCAGTGATTCTCCTGCCTCAGCTTCCCAAGTAGCTGAGACTACAGGCACACGTCATCACACCCAGCTAATTTTTGTATTTTTAGTAGAGACAGAGTTTCACCATGTTGGCCAGATGGTCTCGATCTCTTGACCTCGTGATCCACCTGCCTCGGCCTCCCAAAGTGCTGGGATTACAGGCATGAGTCACCACGCCTGGCCACATTTGTCCAATTTCTTAATTCTTATTGTGCAGAATAGTGTAAGTCAAATGTAGCATTTGTGGAGTTCAGATAACAAGTAAATAAAATAAAATAAATAAAGCTTCTTTTATTTATTCATTAATTCAACAACTATCTATTGACGGCATATTATGTGCCTGCTGTTTTCCTAGGTGCTAAAGATGCATCCATGAAGAGTTTTTTAAAGTAGATAAAACCAGTTATCATGGATATGTAATTATTGTAATACAGGATTTTATAAAAAGTTTGAAAGTACATATTGATATTTTTATTTTTTATTTCTGTTTTTATTTTTTGAGGCAGTTTCTCCCTGTTGCCCAGGCTGGAGTACAGTGGTCCAATCTCAGCTCACTGCAACCTCTGCCTCTGGGGTTCAAGAAATTCTCCAGCATCAGCCTCCTGAGTAGCTGGGATTAAGGTGCCCGCCTCCACACCCGCCTAATTTTTGTATTTTTAGTAGAGACGGGGTTTCACCACATTGGCCAGGCTGGTCTCAAACTCCTGACCTCAAGTGATCCGCCCTCTTTGGCTTCCCAAACTGCTGGGATTACAGGCATGAACCCTCATGCCTGGCCTTACGTATGTACATATCTTAATGTAGATATTTGCGTGTGTGTGTGTGTGTGTGTGTGTGTGTATTTCCAGCCCTGAAAGTACATGTTAATCTTTGAGATATTCCCATTAGCATCAGTGTTTTCTAGTACCTCATTTCTTAAATATTATTCTTATTTTGAAAATATCCAAGGCCGGGCGTGGTGGCTAACGCCTGTAATCCCAGTATTTTGGGAGGCTGAGGTGGGCAGATCACCTGAGGTCACAAGTTCAAGATCAGCCTCACCAACATGGAGAAACCCCGTCTCTACTAAAAATACGAAATTAGCTGGGCATGGTGGCACATGCCTGTAATCCCAGCTATTCAGGAGGCTGAGGCAGGAGAATCACTTAAACCTGGGAGGCAGAGGTTGCAGTGAGCTGAGATCGTGCCGTTGCACTCCAGCCTGGGAAACAAGAGCAAAACTCTGTCTCAAAAAAAAAAAAAAAGGTGAAAATATCCAAATATTTCAATTAATATTTTAATTTGCATTTCTAGTTCCTTTTGACAGGGTCGCACTGTGTCACTCAGGCTGGAGTGCAGTGCAATGCAGCCTCGACTTCCTTGGCTCAGGTGATCCTCCCACCTCAGACTCTCAAGTAGCTGGAACTACAGGCATGTGCCACTATGCCTGGCTAATTTTTTGGTATTTTTTGTAGAGATGGGGTTTCACCATGTTCCCCATTCTGGTCTCGAACTCCTGGGCTCATGCAATCTGCCCATCTTGACTTCCCAAAGTGCTGGGATTATGGGCATTAGTCACCACACCCAGGCTTGTTTTTAGAAGTTATGTATTCTCACCATTTATGTATTATAAAATACTTCAAAAATATAGAAAAGTGCAGACAACAATATAAGACTGTTTCTTCATTTGTTCAGACTATAAACATTGGGGTCACTGACTCCTTTCACTTACCATTCTTCAGTTTTTGTAATATCATTATGCCAACTAAGCTATTATTTTGAAAAATAAAGGTTACTTATTTTCTTTTCATTCTAATACCTATAGCACCTACTTGATTCCTTTCCTTCACTGACACCCTAAAGTTTTGTTGGTTGTGCCTTCAAAATATAGCCAGAGTTCTGTCATTTACCGTTCCCACTACCACCACCTTGGTCCAAGACACCATCATCTCTTGCCTGAATTATTGCAATGGCCTCACAGTGGATCTGCCAACATCTGTCTTTGCCTCTCCTTTCTCCCCCGACAGTCTGTGCTCAACACAGCAGCCAAATTAATCCTGTAAGAATGTAAGTTAGATAATATTCTTCCTCTGCTACAAAACATTACAGCGAATTCTCATCTCACAGAGAACAAAAGCCAGGGTTGTTAATATTCTGTTTCTAAGTGGTGTCTGTGCTTTTGTATGTAGTTATAGTAGATTCATTTTCATTGTTAGATGATATTCCATTGTAAGAAAATAACTCATTTTATCAATCCATTCTTTCATCTTTGGACACTGGGGAGCTTTTAATTTGTGTTACTATTATAAGTAATGCTGCCACAACAAGAAATGCTAAGGGAAACTCTTAAGGATGCAGGAAATTATATAAGATGTAAATTCAGAAGTACAGGAAGGAATGAATAACTCTTATATTATGGTCAATTGATTTTTAACACGAGTGCCAAGAAAATTCAATGGGAAAAAATAGTCTTTTCAATGAATGGTGTTGGGACAATTGAATATTCAGATGCAAAAGACTGAAGCTGGACCCCTACATCACACAATACACAAAAATTAACTGAAAGTGGATCATTGACCTAAAAAGGAAGAGCTAAAACTATGAAACTCTTAGAAGAAAGCCTATGTGTATATCTTTGTGACTTTGGGTCAGGTGATGGTTTCTTAATAGAATACCAAAATTATAGCAACAAAAGAAAAAAATAGATAAATTGGACTTTATCAAAATGAAAAACTTTTGTACTTCAAAGGACATCATCAATACAATGAAGACAACACACAGAATTGGAGAAAATATTTGCTAGTCATATGTCAGGTATGGGACTTGTATCCAGAATAATTAAAGAATTTTTGCAACTCCACAGTAAAAACAAACAATTCAATTTAAAAAATGAGGAAAGTGCCAGATGCAGTGGCTCATGCCTGTAATCCCAGCACTTTAAGAGGCCAAGGCAGGTGGATTGCTGGAGCCCAGGAGTTTGAGACCAGCCTGGGCAATATAGTAAGACCCCCCTGTCTCTACAAAAAAATGTAAAAATTAGCTCAGTATATTGCCATGGGCCTGTAGTCCCAGCTGCTTGGGAGGCTGAGGTAGAAGGATTGCTTGAGCTCAGGAGGCAGAGGTTTCAGTGAGCTGAGATTGTGCCACTGCACTCCAGGCTGGATGACAAAGTGAGACTCTGTTTCAAAAAAAAAAAAAAAAAAAAAAAAGAGCAAAGTATCTGAATAGACTAGACATTTTTCCAAAAAAATGCAAATGTCCAATAAGCACATAAAAGATGCTCAACATCAGTAGTCATTAGGGAAATGCAAATCAAGATGACAATGAAATGGCGAAAATTAAAAAGACTATAAGGGCTGGGCACAGTGGCTGACGCCTGTAATCCCAGCGCTTTGGGAGGCCAAGGCGGGTAGATCATCTGGGGTCAGGAGTTTGAGACCAGCCTGGTGAACATGGGGAAACCTGTCTCTACTAAAAATACAAAAATTAGCTGGGCATGGTGGCATGCTCCTGTAGTCCCAGCTACTCTGGGAGGTGGAGGTTGTAGTGAGCGAGATTATGCCATTGCACTCTGGCCTGGGTGTCAGAGCAAGACTTCATTTCAAAAAACAAAACAAAACAAAAAAACTTTGATTGTGAAGCTGGTAGCACTCATTGAACTGTACATTTAAAATTTGTGCATTTTATTATAAGTAAATTATTCATTAATATTTTATTTAGAAAAATAATGTTGCTGGAAATATATATATGAGTCATTTTTATCCATGTACATTATTTATGTATTTACTGTTGTTTTTTTTTAACAGGGTCTTGCTGTGTCACCGAGGCTGGAATGCAGTGGCGCAATCATAGCTCACTGCAGCCTCTAATTCCTTGGCTCCAGCAATCCTCCCAGCCTCCGTAGTAGCCAGACTATAGGCACGCATAACTGAGCTTGGCTAATTTTAAAATTTTTTGTAGAGATGGGATCTCACTATGTTTCCCCAGCTTGCCTTGAACTCCTGGGCTCAAGTGATCCTCTCTCCTCAGCCTCCCAAAGTGCTGGGATTACAGGTGTGAGCCACCAGGTTTCCTAGCCTACGTGTACATTTTGCAAATGCTCTAGCTATACATAGCATATGCCTAGGAGTAGAAATTCTCTGTCTTAAGGTTTGCAAATTTTCAAATTTTATAAGATAATGTGAAATTGATGTTTAAAATTGTTTTACCAACTTCCACTTCCACTTATGGTTCCAGTAGAGGCATGTGAAAAGTTCCTAGTGATTCATATCCTCACCAATGCTTAGTATTTTCAAATTTCTTCTTCTTTTTTTTTTAGACGGGGTCTCATTCTGTTGCCCAGGCTGGAATCAGTGGCGTGATCTTGGCTCACTGCAACCTCCAACTCCCAGATTCAAGTGATTCTCCTGCCTCAGCCTCCCGAGTAGCTGGGACTACAGTCATGTGCCACCATGCCCGGCTAATTTTTTGTATTTTTGGTAGAGATGGGGTTTCACCGTGTTAGCCAGGATGTTCTCCATCTCCTGACCTCGTGATCCGCCTACCTTGGCCTCCCAAAGTGCTGGGATTACAGGTGTGAGCCACCGCGCCCGGCCTAAGATTTCTTAATTTTGCCAGTCTAACGGGTAAAAACGTTACCTCACTATGGCCCTCATTTAAATTTTTCTGATTACTAATAAGATTGAGCATTACCACCCCCCACGCCCATTTACTGACCATTTGGAATTTTTTCTTCTCTAAAGTTGCAGTTCAGCTATTCTAGTCATTTGTTTATTTTTTTGTACTGATTTATAAAAGTTCTAGATATATTCTGAGGCCTTGTGCAGTGGCTTATGCCTGTAATCCCAGCTACTTGAGAGACTGAGGTGGGAGGACCCTTTGAGACTGGGAGGTCGAGGCTGCAGTGAGCCAAGATCACACAATTGCACTCTGGCCTGGGCAACAGAGCAAGACCTTGTCTCAAGAAAAATAAATAAAGATAGATAGATAAATAAAGATTTTAAAAAATAGATATTTTCTGGATTCTAGGTCTTTATTATGTGCGGAAAAGATCTTCTTTCTGTGATTTGTCTTATGTCTTAAGACATTATTCCACACCCTGAAGCTAAAAAGATAATTTTATCTTCTGAAAGTGTTAACATTTTGGTTATCACGTTTAAATTTTTAATCCAATGTCTTAGTATGGGTTTAGCTTAAGCTTGCTGAAGAAAAGATAACCCCAAATAGAGGGACTTAAAGAATATAGACTTTTGGGGCCGGGCACGGTGGCTCACGCCTATAATCCCAGCACTTTGGGAGGCCTAGGTGGGTGGATCACCCGAGTTCAGGAGTTCAAGACCAGCCTGGCCAACATGGTGAAACCTCCTCTCTACCAGAAATAGAAAAAATTAGCCGGGCGTGGTGTCACATGAATGTAATCCCAGCTACTTGGGAGGCTAAGGCAGGAGAATCACTTGAACCTGGGAGGTTGGAGGTTGCAGTGAGCTGAGACAGCGTCATTGCACTCCAGCCTGGGGGACAGAGCAAGACCCTGTCTCAAAAAAAAAAGTAGGCTTTTGTCTTTTTCAAGTAACTGCTCCAAAATAAGCATTTTAGCATGGGAACTGGTTTTGCTTTATAGGGTCATTCAGGGAACCCAGTTTTTTGTATTTCTTCCTTTCTTTCCTTTCCTTCCTTCCTTCCTTCCTTCCTTCCTTCCTTCCTTCCTTCCTTCCTTCCTCCCTCCCTCCCTCCTTCCTTCCTTTTCCCTCCCTCCCTTCCCTCCTCCTTCCTTCCTTCCTTTTTTTTTTTTTTGAAAGGGGTCTCACTATATTGCCAGGCTGGCCTTGAATTCCTGGGTTTAAGGGATCATCCCACCTCAGCCTCCCCAGTAGCAGGGATTACAGGCAGGAACTCCAATTTTAAATGTCTCTGCCAAAGGCATTCTGTTCATCGCCATTACATGAACAAGATATATCCCTTCACTTCTTTAGGTCTCCTTTAACTAATAACTGTAGAGGCTGTGCGCAGTGGCTCATGCCTGTAATCTCAGCACTTTGGGAGGCCGAGGCAGGCGGATCCCCTGAGGTCGGGAGTTTGAGACCAGCCTGACCAACATGGAGAAACCCCATCTCTATTAAAAAGACAAAAATTAGGCCGGGTGTGGTGGTGCATGCCTGTAATCCCAGCTACTCAGGAGGCTGAGGCAGGAGAATCGCTTGAACCCGGGAGGCAGAGGTTTCAGTGAACCGAGATTGCGCCATTGCACTCCAGCCTGGGCAACAGGAGCAAAACTCTGTCTCAAAAACAAAACAAAACAAAACAAAACAAAAAACTGTGGAAAGGAGACATCACCCCTAGGGCAGGGGAAACAAAATGAGAAGTAGCATTAATAGAATCTAGGGGCTTAGAGGGGGGGCCCCAAGTGGCTGTGCTCAGTCCTTGAGAGCAGATACTCCACAGCTGAAACCTCTGGGGGGCGCCATGGGACTGGTTCTCTGGTGCACCACAGATGTTGCTCAGTTGGGTGCATTCTGAGATTGATGTTGGAACTTCTGGAAAGAAGGGGCCAAGTAGTTGAAGCTGTGAGCCCCTAAAAAAGCAAAAGGCTGGATGTATAGCTGTCCTCATGCTGCTTGGGGGACCTGACTGGAACTGGAAACAGGAAGCACATCTCTTCCCTTCTTCCGCCTTCCATTCTCTGCCTCCATTTGCAAACCCTAAGATAAATCATCTGTCAATGAAACAAATGGTGCTGCAATGGACAACCTTGTGCATATGTTGTTTCTGTTTTTCTTTAGGTATCTCCTCAGGGCAAGTTCTTGTAAGGTTATATGTAGTTTTGCTAGATATTACCAAAATTTTCTCCATTTGGAGCTGAACCATTTTGCACTCTCAGCAACAACTTGAGAATGTTTTTCCACAGAGCCACATGAACAGAGTACATTGTCAAGCTTTTGAATCTTTGCCAAACTAATAGATAGTAAATGATATTTCTGTTTGGTTTTTATTCAGATTTCTCTTATGAAGTTGAATGTCTCGTAAGGGTTTGAGACATATATTTTTCTGTGAATTGTCTGTTCATGTTTTTTGCCCATTTTTCTTTTTCTTTCTTTCTTTCTTTTTTTTTTTTTTTTTTGAGACATTGTCTCATTCTGTCGCCCAGGCTGGAGTGCAGTGGTGCGATCTCAGCTCACTGCAAGCTCCACCTCCTAAGTTCACACTATTTTCCTGCCTCAGCCTTCCGAGTAGCTGGGACTACAGGCACCCACCACCATGCCCGGCTAATTTTTTTTGTATTTTTGGTAGAGACAGGGTTTCACCATGTTAGCCAGGGTGGTCTCAATCTCCTGACCTCATGATCCGCTTGCCTCAGCCTCCCAAAGTGCTGGGATTACAGGCGTAAGCACCGCGCCTGGCCTTTTTTTGCCCATTTTTCTTCTTCTTTTTGTTTGTTTGTTTGTTGTTGTTGTCGTTTTGAGACAGAGTCTCACTCTGTCACCCAGGCCGAGTGCAGTGGCACCATATCAGCTGGCTGCAACCTGCGCCTGCCAGGCTCAAGCAATTCTTGTGACCCAGACTCACGAGTAGCTGGGATCACAGGCTAATTTTGTATTTTTAGTAGAGACAGGGTTTTGCCATGTTGTCCAGGCTGGTCTCAAACTCCTGGCCTCAAGTGATTTGCCCACCTCAGCCTCCCAAAGTGCTGGGATTACAGCACTCGGCCCTTTTGCCCATTTTTCTTTTTCTCCTTTTTTTTTTTATTGATACAGAGTCTTGCTCTTGTTGCCCAGGCTGGAGCACAATGATGTGATCTCAGCTCACTGCAACCACTGCCTCCCGGGTTCAAGTGATTCTCCTGCCTCAGCCTTCTGAGTAGCTGGGATTACAGGCACTTGACCACACCCAGCGAATTTTTGTATTTTTAGTAGAGATGGGGGTTTCACCATGTTGGCCAGGCTGGTCTGGAACTCCTGACCTCAAATGACCCGCCGGCCTCGGCCTCCCAAAGTGCTGGGATTATAGGCGTGAGCCACTGTGCTGGCCTATACATATATGAATTTTGGAGAAAATTGACATCTTTATGATTATATTTGCCTTATCCAAGAACAAAGGATCCTTTTTGTTTGTTCAGGGTTACCATTGTGTCTTTCAAGGGTGTTTTCAGGTTTTTCTCATATAAGTCTGCATACTTTCTGTTACGTTTACTCTTAGATATTTTACCTTTTTTGTTGCTTTTGTCAATGGGGTTTGCTTTTACTTTAAATCTTCTATCTTGTTGTTTGATATGTATGAAGGGTATTGTTTTTTGTATGTTAATTTAATTTTTTTTTGAGATAGGGTCTCATTCTGTCACCCAGGCTGGAGTACAGGTGGAGTGCAGACGAGATCACAGCTCACTGCAACCTCTACCTCCCAGGCTCAAGTGATCCTCCCACCTTAGCCTTTGGAGTAGCTGGGGCTATAGGTGTGCCCCACCATACCAGGCTAATTTTTATGCCCGTGTGTGTGTGTGTGTTTTGTAGAGAGGGGGTTTTGCAATGTTGCCGAGGCTGGTCTCAAACTCCAAGCGATCCACCTGCCTAGGGCTCTCAAAGTGCTGGGATTACAGGTGTGATCCACTGTGCCCAGCTTGTGTGTTAATTTTAAATCTAGCTACATCAATGAATTCCTTAATGTTTAAGATGAATTATCTTGGGTTTTCTAGGTATATTCTCATAATATCAGTAGATGTAATTAAACTTCTTTGCTATATTTTAAACCTTTATTTGAATTGTTTTGTCTTATTATGTTGGCTAATCTCCATTCAAATATTAAATTACAGTGGAGATAGTGAGCATCCTTGCTTTTTTCCTGACTTTGGTAAGAATGCCTCTAATGACTAAGTGATTAAGGTGCTGAGATATATTTTATCATGTTAAGGAAGTACCCAACAATTCCTATTTTATTCAGAATTTTTAAAAAACAGAAATAGATACTGAATTGTATCAAAGGCCTTTTCAGCACCTGTGGAAATAATCTGATTTTCCTCTTTATTGATTTATTCCACTATTGATATAGTGAATTATATTAATGGTTTTCTTAATAGGAACCATCTTTACAATCTTTGAATAGATTCACCTGGGTCATAAAGTATTTTTTAAAATGTCGACAATTTATGTTTTTAAGCAATTTTAGATTTACAGCAAAATTGAGTGGAAAGTACAGAGCATTCCCATATACTGCCCTCCTTCCACACACACACTCATGCACACAGCTTTCCCCGCTATCAGCATCCGGCACCAGAGTTTACAATCCATGAAACTACATTGACACATTATCATGCAAAGTCTATAGTTTACATTAGGGATTACTCTTCTTGTCATATACTCTTTGGATTTTGACAAATGTATGATGACATGTATTCACCATTGTAGAATTACACAGAATAGTTTCATTGCCCTAAAAATCCTCTGTGCTCCATCTATTGATCCCTCCATCCCCCCAATCCTGACAATCACTGATCTTTTCACTCTCTCCATAGTTTTGTCTTTTCTGGAGTATCATATACTTGGAGTCATACAGTACGTGGAGATTGACTTCTCCTATTTAGTAACATGCACTTAAGTTTCTTCCTTGTCTTTTCATGGTTTGGTAGCTCATTTCTTTTTAGCACTGAATAATATTCAATTGTCTGGGTTTAACACAATTTATTTATCCATTTACTTACTGAAGGACATCTTGGTTGCTACCAAGTTTTGGCAATGTGAATAAAGCTGCTATAAACATTCACTTACAGGTTTTTGTGTGAATGTAAGTATTTAACTCATTTGGGTAAATACCAAGGAGCAAGATTACATAAAGTATTTTTAAAATGTGCTTTTGGATTCTGCTGTTAATACTTGACTTGGAATTTTTTTTTACATTCATATTCATAAATGAGAGTAGTTTATAGACTTTTTTGTACAGTCTTTGTCAGATTGTGGAATCAATATTATATTGATTGGCTTCATAAAATGTCACTGGCTTCATAAAACAATTGGGAAGTTTTTCTTATTTTAAAATGGTCCAAGCCGGGTGTGGTGGCTCATGCTTGTAATCTTAGCATTTTATGAGGCCAAGGCGAGAGAATCTCTTGAGGCTGGGAGTTCAGGACCACCCTGAGCAACATAGCAAGACCCTGTCTCTATTTTAAATAAAAAGAAAAAGAAATAAAAGGAAAAAGCTGCAAAACAATTTATGTAGCAGCATCTAAGTATCAGATCTTTGGAAATTTAGAATAATTCCTCATGAAGCCATCTGGGCCTCATACTTTTTTGTGTGGATAGTTATTTTATATCTTTATTTTTTCTAGTAAAATAGGTTTGTCTAGGCTATCTATCTCTACTGAAATTAATTTTGGCATATTGCAAGTTCCATTAAATCTAGGCTTTCAAATGTATTTTTGAGCACAGTGTCTCATGTCTGTAATCCCAGCACTTTGGGAGGCCGAGGCAGGTGGATCACCTGAGGTCAGGAGTTCAAAACCAGCCTGGCCAAAATGGTGAAACCTCGTCTCTACTAAAATTACAAAAATTAGCCAGGCATGGTGGTGGGCACCTGTAATCCCAGCTACTTGGGAGGCTGAGGCAGGAGAATCACTTGAACCCAGGAGGCAGAGGTTGCAGTGAGCCGAGATCATGCCATTGCACTCCAGCCTGGGTGACAACAGCAAAACTCTGTCTCAAAAAAAAAAAAAAAGTCAAATGTATTTTCATAATACTATGTAATTTTCTGTTTCAATGGCTATACTTCTCTTATTTTTTAAAATTTAGTGTTATACTTTCTTCTTCTTGTTTTGATTAATTAGTGGTCTGTCATTAAATTGTTTCCTCAAATAATTGGCATGGTAATTTATACATTGGTTCTCTGTATTTGACATAATTGATTTCTGCTTTATCTTTATTTTACTTTCGCTTTTCTTTTTCTTTCTTTGTTTTTAATACCTTGAACTATTAAGGGGTAATCTGCTTTTCTTTGATTTACTTTGATTTAGGTTTCTTTTTTCTTTTCTTTTTTTTTTTTTTTGAGACATAGTTTCACTATGTCGCCCAGGCTGCAGTGCAGTGGTTTGATCTCAACTCACTGCAACCTTCACCTCCCAGGTTCAGGTGATTCTCCTGCCTCAGCCTCCTGAGAAGTTGGAATTACAGGCATGCACCACCATGCCCAGCTAGCTTTTTTTGTATTATTAGTAAAGAGGAGGTTTCACCATGTTGGCCAGGCTGGTCTCAAACTCTTGACCCCAGGTGATCCACCCACCTTGGCCTCCCAAAGTGCTGGGATTACAGGCGTGAGCCACCGTACCTGCCCTTTTTTTTTTTTTTTTTCCTCTTGAGACAAGGTTCTGGCTCTGTTGCCCAGGCTGGAGTGCAGTGGTGCTATTATGGCTCACCAGAGCCTCAACTCCTGGGCCCAAGCAATCCTCTCACCACAGCTTCCTGAGGAGCTGGGACCTCAGGCACGCACCATTATGCTGGCTAATTTTTGTACTTTTTGGAGAGACAGGGGCTCACCATGTTGCCCAGGTTGGTCTCAAACTCCTGGGCTCAAGCCATCTGCCTGCCTCGGCCTCCCAAAGTGCTAGGATTATAGGTGAGAGCCATCGTGTGTGTAGCTGGTTTAGGTGCATCAGTGAGAAATCAAATTCATTTTTGGCCGTTCTTTCATTTTTAGCAATAGAAATATTTAAAACTATAAATTTTTCTTTAGTCACCGATTTTTTTACAGACTTTGATATGTATTGTTTTCATTATTATTTTTTAGAAATTATTCAAGCTCAATTTTAATTCTGTTTTCCATTTCATCCAACAGTTGTTTAGTAGGGCACTTTATTTATTCAGGTTTTTTTTTCTGTTTTTTGTTTGTTTGTTTGTTTGTTTTGAGATGGAGTCTCCCTCTGTTGCCCAAGCTGGAGTGTAGCGGCACAATCTCAGCTCACTGCAACCTCTGCATCCTGGGTTCCAGGTGATTCTCCTGCCTCAGCCTCCTGAGTAGCTGGGACTACAGGCATGTGCCACCATGCCTGGCTAATTTTTGTATTTTTAGTAGAGACGAGGTTTCACCATGTTGGCTAGGCTGGTCTCCAACTCCTGACCTCAACTTATCTGCCTGCCTCTGCCTCTCGAAGTGTTGGGATTATAGGTGTGAACCATGTACCTGGCCTAATAGGGCACTTTAAAATTTCCAGGTGGAAAGAACTACTTGTCTTCTGTTTTTGTTACTGATTTCTAGTTTTATTATATTGTTTATTTATTTAAAATTAAAAAAAAATAGAGACAAAGTCTTGCCGTGTTGCCCAGGTTGGTCTTGAATTCCCCGGCTCAAGCGATCCTCCTGTCTTGGCCTCTCAAAGTACTGGGATTACAGGCGTGAGCCACAGCACCCAGCTTATTATATTATTTACTCACTAATTATTGTTTAACTAAAATGAGCCTGATGATGTGGCTCACGCCTATAGTACCAGTACTTTGAGAGGCCAAGGTAGGAGGATTGCTTGAGCCTAGCACTTCAAGGCCAACCTGGGTAACATATAGAGACCCTGCTTTTACAAAATAATAATAATAATAATAAATTAGTTGGGTGTGGTGGCATGTGCCTGCTGTAGTCCCAGCTACTCAGGAGGCTGAGGTGGGAGGATCACTTGAGCCCAGGAGGTCGAGGCTGCAATAAGCCATGATCATACCATTGCACTCCAGCATGAGTGACAGCATGAGACCTTATCTCAAATAAAATAAAAGGAAATAAAATAAAATTTGCTTTATTTGCTTTATTCTACTATTGAAAATTTCCTTATGATATAGCCAATTTTCATTGCTGACTCCATATGTGCTTGGGAAGAAAGTATGTTCTGTATTTTTTTTTTTTTTTTTTGAGACGGAGTCTCGCTCTGTCGCCCAGGCTGGAGTGCAGTGGCGGGATCTCGGCTCACAGCAACCTCTGCCTCCTGGGTTCAAGTGATTCTCTTGCCTCAGCCTCCCAAGTAGCTGGGATTACAGGTGTGGGCCACCACACCTGGCTAATTTTTGTATTTTTAGTAGAGATGGGGTTTCACCGTGTTGGCCAGGCTGGTCTTGAACTCGTGACCTCAGGTGATCCACCCACCTTGGCCACCCAAAGTGCTGGGATTACAGGCATGAGCCACCATGCCCCGCCTATTTTTTTGTTTTTCTTGAGATGGAGTTTCACTCTTGTCGCCCAGGCTGGAGTGCAGTGGTGCAATCTCAACTCACTGCAACCTCTGCCTCTGGAGTTCAAGCGATTCTCCTGCCTCAGCCTCCTAAGTAGCTGGGATTACAGGCGCTCACCACCATGCCTGGCTAATTTTCATATTTTTAGTAGAGACTGGGTTTCACCATGCTGTCCAGGATGGTCTCGAACTCCTCACCTCAGGTGATCCACCTGTCTAAACCTCCCAAATTGCTGGGATTACAGGCATCAGCCACCTCGTCTGGCCCTTTCTGTATTTTTGAAGTGTAAACTTTACCATATATCATATCCAGCAGGTCTATGTTATTATTTATTTATTTTTAAAGGCTTATCAAGTGAAGCAGTGGGAGTGAAGAAGGAACAAAGAAATCTGTAGCTGGTTGTGATCAATTAGTTGTAAACACCACTGCACTCAGACCAGCCAAGGTCTATCTTATTTATTATTAATATATTGTTTAAGGTTTTTATATCCTTGCTTAATTTGGCTGGTTAGACCTATCTTAGCCTGACAGAGAAATGTTAATGTCTCTTATTTTTATTGTTTTTATTGTGAGCTGAGCAATATGATTAATGCATCACTTTGCATTTGAGGGTAAAACAAACAAGACATACAACAGGATTTCTTTAAATGATGCATTTATTTCTGTTAAAAACATGTCCAGGTTCTAATTCAGGGACGGACACTACCAGTTTTATTAGGCAAATACTTTAAGCCTTTAGTCTTCTCCTGTGTAAACTGACGTCGGTTATGGAATTTTTAAAATCTAATACTTTAATTGACCTATTCAATAAAGTGCTTTTGAAATGATACTCTTCCAAGCCCCGCAGTTACTGACTGAAATAATTGCAATAATGACAGCTATCATTTGTTTAGTGCTCACTGCCCACCAGGCTCCACGCTTGGCACTTCACGTACACAGCTCCACTGAATCATGGCATCTTCCTTTTAATTTTTCCTCAATCTCTAGGATGTTGGACTATGGTTCAACTGGCAATACACAACTTGCATCTTGTTGGATGCAACTTTCTACTTTTATTAGGACAATGGTCAGAAAGAACCATTAGTCAAGGGAGCAATTAGCCAACATTTATTTCTGTTAGTTTCCAAGTTTGACAGGAAACAAGACCAGAATGAGATAAGGAGCTCTGGCCTTTACAGGGTGTGATCCAACTCTTGGAAAAACAGAGCTGTTTTCTTGGCTAGCTATTTTCATCCAGGTTTATACAAGTGCTCCCAAAGTGGTAAAAAATATTGTAGCCAAAGATTGTTCCTTGAGTTAGACAGAGATAGCATAACAAGGAGTGTTTAGCACTAAGTTAATCTCCTTTTTTTTTTTTTTTTTTTGCAGTAACATAGTAATGCAATAGGAATAAGTAATGAGATGGTCTCACCTTGCCTCAGATTAATGAATATTATACCTGCTTCTTCAGATGAAGAGACTTTGTGTTGTTTTTAAATTCACTTACCCATCTGGTGAATCACTTAACATTATTATCTCCTATTACCACCAGGGTTGATAAATACATGATAGCATTGTCACACTACCACCTTCTGTGCCCATGACAGAGAATCAGTCATTAATCAACTTGTATACTTCCTTGCCAAATCTAGATGGAACCCCACAATTTTTTAAAACATGGCACCCAAGTATAAGACTGGAATTAGCTCCTAAGATAAAATCTGTTGCCATCCTTGTTTAGGCACTCAGGATGCAAGTATAAACACATGAGGGTGGGATGCAGAAATATAAATAGCAACTCTTGTGCCATGAGATCGGGCGACAGGGAGGAGTTGCTGCCTAACTTAGAGTGGTGAATTTAGCATTTCTTTAATGGCATGAGGATGGCCAACTCTCTTGAGTTCCTTAGACCATGATTTTTGTTAGTGACTCTTGGTTCACCTGCTCAGTACGCTGTGCAAGTATATGCGGAATGTCTACTTCTGTGGTTCTCACCCATGTGTCACAGTATGTTTGTGTACCAAGTCACAGATGTGCTTTCATTTTGATCAACTTGCAAAACTTATGCTTATTGCAATTGGAGTTAGCAAAGTCTCTCAGGCAGGCTGTTGAGCCCAACGGATCATTTGTTATAAAATACAGAGGATTGATGGGGCATGGGGCATAATATGACAACATACTTTTTTTTTTTTTTTTTTTGAGATGGAGTTTCGCTCTTGTTGCCCAGGCTGGAGTGCAACGGCATGATCTCGGCTTACTGCAATCTCTGCCTCCTGGGTTCAAGCGATTCTCCTGCCTCAGCCTCCCAAGTAGCTAGGATTACAGGCATGAGCCACCACACCTAGCTTTTTTTTTTTTTTTTTTTTTTAGTAGAGACGGGGTTTCACCATGTTGGCCAGGCTGGTCTCGAACTCCTGACCTCAGGTGATCCACCTGCCTCAGCCGCCCAAAGTGCTGGGATTACAGGTGGGAGTCACTGCACCTGGCCGACAACATACTATGTTATCACACTACATTTGTATTTCGGTACATGGAAGAGTGTACGCATGGCCAGGTTCATGGCAACCCTTACTGTTTCCTAGTCAGAGATGTAACCATATGAGCCATCCATTTATAGGCCCAGGGTTGTGTTTTAAAAGAACTAGGTATGTCTCAGTTTGGCTTAACATTAACATTTGATTATCACTTCAAAGTACAGAGGATCTGTTTCATTGCACTTGTCATTAGTTTAATCTGCTGATTTAAAAGTATGTATTAATTTAATATCCAAACTAGGATGGCTAAGAGACACCACAGGTAATTAGAAGGGTCTAATTAGAGACACCTAAAAATATTTTGAGACATTGTATTCTGGACTCTTTAAGGTGTACTAGACAACATGGAGCAACAGTTCTTTCACTTCAACAAGGGCTTGTAACATAGATGCCTGGAAGGAAACAATGACTAGGAAATTGTAACATTTTCTCCAGAGACTGTTACCATTATGATTTTGCAGGATTTACTGTAAAGAAAGCAATAGACATAGAATGGAAATGAATAGAACCGAGAAGAGAAAAATAGCAGACAATGCTTTGTATACAGCTCCACAAATCCTAGAGCCCAACTTCTCCCTAAAATTGGCTCTCCAGCTTGCAACTCTCCAACCCATCAAGCAAAGTGGTTTTAGGAAAAGACAGCATATGGCCGGATGCGGTGGCTCATGCCTGTAATCCCAGCGCTTGGGGAGGCCGAGGTGGATGGATCACGAGGTCAGGAGTTCAAGACCAGCCTGGCCAAGATGGTGAAACCCCATCTCTACTAAAAATACAAAAATTAGCCAGGCATGGTGGCGGGCGCCTGTAATCCCAGCTACTTGGGAAGGTGAGGCAGGAGAATCACTTGAACCCAGGAGGCAGAGTTTGCAGTAAGCCAAGATTGCACCAGTGCACTCCAGCCTGGGCAACAGAGCAAGACTCTGTCTCAAAAAACAAACGAACGAACAAACAAAAAAACCCAGAAAGTTCTTTTTGGTTTATAGAGCTTTGTTGTGACTCAAGCCATTGTTAATAAATCATGCAAAGCTAGGTAGTCTGAGAAGTGATACCATTGGAAGGATAATCTAGGAATACAAGGAACTCTGCATTTGTGAAGAGTTGAGCTACTGACCATTAATAAAATGTGCATTTCAAATAATTTGCCTGAATCATCCTGGTAGTCACAGAGGTAAACGTTTTTGAAACAATTGTTCCAAATTGTGGGTACAACTTACAACTAATTTTTCCCATTAATATATGTTTGCTGAATGCATTATCAAACGTCTAATCTCTGCTCTTTGCCATCTAGTTTGAGTCACTTAAATAATTCAGGCAAGATTCTGTAGCCACAGACATATATATGAACTTGGAGTTTTAAGAAAAGTTAAGGCCGGTTGCAGTGGCTCATGCCTGTAATCCTAGCACTTTGGGAGGCTGAGGTGGGAGGATCACTTGAGGCCAGGAGTTTGAGACTAGCTTGGGCAACACAGCCAAACCCCGACTCTAAAAAAATGCAAAAATTACCGGTGTGGTGTCGTGCGCCTGTGGTCCCAGCTACTAAGCGGGGGGGGGGGGGGGGGGAATGAAATGGATGAAATGGGGGGGGGGGGTTGAGGCTGGAGGATATCTTGAGACCAGGAGGTAGAGGCTGCAGTGAGTTTAGATCGCGCCACTGTACTCCAGCCTGGGCGACAGAGTGAGACCCTGTCTAAAAAATGAAAAAGTTAAATTTGATTGTGATAGAAACTCAATAGAGAAATATTGAAAATCCGCTGCTTTTTAATGTAATAATAGTGAGGTGCGCCTTTTATTTGGAACTTCAAGTGCCTTAGTAATACGGTAATCACAGCGCTAGAGGTAAGTGGGTGTCAAGTGGCATCATCCTGGGTCCAAAGGGACTGATTATGGGCTGGAAAATCAAACTGGCACCTGCAAGACGCAGTTCCAAGGATGCAGTTCGCAGTGAGTTTTCAGACCTGGATGATGTATGTCAGGTCGGACGACTGAGACAGCTCTCCACTTCCCCTCATCCAAGGGGAAGGAGGAACCCAGTTATCTGCATTAACAAACGCCTCCCCTTCTCTCCAGGTGACCCCAAGATCCGGACCACACTACGAAATACGGATCCAGATTTTAAAGGCCTTCGAATCCAAAGTCCTCGTTTTACAAAGAGCCCGCGGGGTGAAATGACTTGCTCATGGTCTGGTAGCTAATCGCAGATCTGCTCTCTAACTCCTACTTCCAAGACCCAGGAATCTACGGGTGTTGGAGAAGACCCCTCCTGAAATCCTCCAGAAGAGCTTTTTGAGGGAGCTTGTGGCTCCTGTTCACCCAGCCCCGGGTAAGAAAAGGGTCGCGAACCTGCATTGCGAGGTGGTCTCTCCCTCACACCACCTCTGATGTCCCAAAAGACGGGGAGAAAGTTGCCCGCCCCGGGCTGCGGCGGGGCCTGCTGCTCCGCCCCGGCGCTGGCGGGCGCGCTCTACACTGGCCGCCGAGGGGCGAGCGCGGGACCCGGAGGCGGGCGGCGGGCGGGGAAGGCGCGGGGCGTGGTTTGCCGCTTTCCGAGCGCCAAGGAGCGGAGCGCGCTCAGCTGCGCCCAGAGCCTTCGGCCGGACCTGAAAAAGCGAGAGGGAGAGCGAGCAAAAGGCGCGATCCAGAGAGCCAGGCAAGCGGGGCGCCGACCTCGGGCGGCCCCGGCCCGCGCCCTTGCCCCTCGGCCGGGCGGACGGTGGGTGAGCGCGGCCGCGGGGCCCCAGCACCCCGGTGCGCCCCGGAGAGAGTGGGAGGGAGGGGAAGGGGCGGGGGCGAGAGAGGGAAAGGTCTCTGAGCCGGGGGCGGGGGCGGCGGGAGACGGGAACCGACCCGATGCCGGGGTCCGAGCCGGGCCACAGGAAACTTTGCTCGGGTGGGGAGAGCGGGGTGCGCGGAGGGCGCCGTAAACTTGTCAGCGGGCGGGGCGCTCCGGGGATTGGAGCGAGCGCCAGCGGGTGGCGTTTGTCTCTCTGGGTTCTTTGTGTCACCTCCGGGCCCCAGCCCGCCGGTCCGCCCGGCTCGGGCAGGCGCTGCGCGGGAGGCTGTGCCCGGGTGCCCCGGCCGCCCCCTCCCGGGCCCAGGCCCCGGCCCTCGGGGGCCGCTGATTGTTTTCATTCCTCGCGTCACGCCTGGGCGGGAAAGATTTTGAACGCCGCGTGAGCTGGAAGGCGGACAGCCGCGGCGCAGAGATTGCAGGATCGTGAGCGGTGCGGTGCTCGCCCCGGGGACCCGGGAACCCGCGGGTCGGGGCGCACCGGGGCTGGAGAGGGCGCGGGGACGGGCGGCCCGGGCACTGGAGGGGCGGCGGCGGGTGCGGCAGCCTAGCGCCTCCGCGGGGGCGGGGGGGCGCTCCGACGGCCGGGATTATAATTCCATTTTGATTGCTTGGGGTCTTTGTTGTCTGAAATTGCCTTTAGGGTCTGACGGTGGCACCTTCTCCTCCTTAGGTTATTTTTCTTCTGTTGAAAAGGGCGGGGCGGGGGCTGTGTATGGAATCAGTGCTGCTGGGAACATTAGCGCCTTATTTGATTGAGGCTGAGAAGTCCTGTGTAGCATTCGCGTTTGTGGAAGCCTGCTGTTTCCGAAAGTTATTTCCCCCTCCCTCCGTGAAAGGGAGCGTCTGAGCTGGACGCCGCAGGCACGGTTGTGTACAAGCACCAGCAAGTCGGAGCCAACCCGTGAGGGTTCTT